>NC_000008.11:34708587-35011617 GCF_000001405.40 Homo sapiens
TAAAGTGAGGTACAGTTAATTCCCCATGAGAAAAATTTTGACCAATCGAGACAGGAGTTGTGAGTGACCTAGACAATTCTGTCTCCATTCCAATGTCCTATTGACTCTTCCAAAGCACAGTTTTTTTCCATGGTGTCTGTCCAGAAATGCCTTGCCAAGCACATACACAAGACACAAGAGAGACAAATTGTGCCTTTTTGTAACTCATCATGAAGAGGTAGCCAGAACAGGAATGCCTCACTCTGTTTTAGCATCCCTTGCTTCTCTGCCTCACTTCAATTTTTTTTGAGACTATATCTTACAGTAAAGAATAAACACTTATAATTAGCTTCAGGCTCCATTTTGTAAAGTTATCAAATTGAGATAGTATGCATTCTTGCAAATTGTAAATTATTCTGTTTGCATAAATTTTATTTACATAAGAATATTATGTTTCTTACTTGTTTTCACTCGACCCTTAATTTTTATTTAAATTCTACCCTTGTTGCTGTCTGTACATGAATTCCACTCTAGTTTGCATTGCTGCATTTTACACATCCACTTACCTTATGATGAATGTATAGATTTAACCCTCCAAATGCTTGCAACCACTAACACCAATAAATATCTTCAAACTTGTCTCTGTCTCTGCATGTATGTGAATATATATGTAGGAATTTCTGTAAGGTTTACAGTCAGCAACAGAATTGCTGGACTTCTGATTCTGTGTATATTGAGTTCTTCAAGAGTGCTTCCTCTTTTTGTCTAATCCATGCATCAGTCTGCATTTCCCCTGGCAGTGTAGGGGAGGTCCACAACATTGCCAACGCTAGGGAGTATGTAGTTTTCTAATATAAAGTGATGTTTTATTGTTGTTCTAACGTTATCACATTTTTCTTACTTCTAATAACACTGAATATTTTACTAACATATAAGCTATTTGAGTTTCTTCTTATATAAATTACCTTTTTATATATTTTATGGTTTGCCCAATTATTCCACTGAGGCGTATTTTTTCATGTTGATTTGCAGAAATTCTTTATCTCTTCTGTCAGTTTTATGCACAACATACACTGTTATCTATGCATTAACTTTATTCAAGGTTTTCTTTAGTGAACAGAATTATTATTTTGATGTAAACAAATCTCTTTCCTGCTGTCCCTACCCACACCTCACTTTCTCTGTCGCTCTTTGTGTTCACTTATTTGTCTCTTTCTCTCTCTCTTTCCTTATAGTTTGTGTTTCTGAGATCCCACTTAAGAATCTTGAAGTGATACCATCCAAAAAATATATTGTTCTAACTTTTTTTATAAAGTTTTAATTTTTCAATTTTTTTCTATTACATGTTTATATTTTACTTTTTATTTACTTATCATGCCTAATACATATGCGTTGTAAAGTAGGGAACCAGTGTTTGCAAAATATCTATTATGTCACCCAACCCTCCTTACTGATTAATAGAACTCATTTGTTTTAATACATATATGTAATAAATATATTTGGTTCTGGGGTTTCTATCCTCTTACCTTGTTCTACTTGTCTCTTTATTTTCCAGTACAACAATGTTTTTATTATTAAGGCATTTTAGTAAATCCTAGGATGTTTATGACAAATTATTCTTTATCATTTTTTTCAGAAATGATGTTGTTAATTACAAATCTCTGCTCTTTCATATTGACTCTAAAGTAAGTTTATCATATTCTTCCAAAAATGTTGCACTGGAATTTTTATTTGTATTATATTCATATTTTTATATTAATTTGAGAAAAATCTATATGATTAAAATTGTTTTCCATATAAGAACATGTGCATGTGCCTTATCCAGATCATCTTCTATGCCTTTTATTAATGCATAAAATTATGTATGTAAGAATCTTTTAATGTTAGCTAATTCCTAGATTTTTATTGAACTTTGCTGCAGTTGTAAATGATATCTTATTTAGATTATAATTTATAGTTGGCTATTATTAAAGTAAAATTATGTCTTTTTTGTAAGTTGATTTTATGATTTTATATTGCTAATTCTTTTTTTTTTTTTTTTTTTTGAGATGGAATCTGCCTCTGTCACCAGGCTGGAGTGTAGTGGTGTGATCTTGGCTCACTGCAACCTCTGCCTCCCGGGTTCAAGCAATTTTCCTGCCTCAGCCTCCCAAGTAGCTGGGATTACAGGCACGCACCACCATGCCCAGCTAATTTTTGTATTTTTAGTAGAGACGAGGTTTCACCATGTTGGCCAGGATGGTCCCGATCTCTTGACCTCGTGATCCACCCGCCTTGGCTTCCCAAAGTGCTGGGATTACAGGCTTGAGCCACTGCACCCAGCCTATATTGCTAATAAACTAATATTATCTCATTGTTCTAATATTGTTTATGTATTATCTCTTCCCTTTCAATATTTATACTTATTGCTTCCTTTTGTTTATAATTTATGTCACTCCATGTTTCAGAATCAAGCATCCTATTTGAGTTGAGGTCTGTCACTAGCATAAGAATGATAAAACAGTTGTGCAGTTCTGGGTCACATGCATTTATTCCCAATTGAAATAAAATGCATCAAGATTTTATATGTGAAGTATAATGATTGCTATAAATTTTGGAACATAGTCTTAATGGAGATTAGGACATTCTTTTACATTTCTTTTTTACTAAAAGTGATTACCAAAACTTTTAGGTGTACAACTGTATTATATATTTTTCTTCATTAAAATATAAACCACTTAACTCATTATGTGAAATTAGTGTAATCAGGATTACAAAAAAATATATAGGAAACTAAAAACTATTTAGAGTTTATTTCACTACCAACATAGATACAAAAATGTTACATGGCATATTTACTTACTGAATGCAAAGTATATTTAAGAAAATTACTATGTAAGAGATTTTACTCAGTTATTCAAGAATATAAGAATAAGTCAGAAGACATATCATCGTAATTCACAACATTAAAAAGTGTAATTGCATGTATGTTAATGAATGATAATATTCTGTACTTTTCTGTCCTTCTAATAGCTTTATCAGGTTTGGCATTGGGCAATGCTGGCCTTGGGAGGTGAGTTAGAAAGTTTTTCTTCTGCTCCTATTTTCTAAAAGGGATGGTCGAGAATTGATATCCTTGCTTCCTTGAATGTTTGGGAGAATTCACCAGTAAACTATTTTGGCCTGGTCATTTGTTTTTTTGGAAGGGTATTAATTATTGATTCAATTTCTTTGATAGCTATTGGTCTACTCATATTCTATTTCTCCCTGTGAGTTTTGCCTATTTGTATTTTTCAAGAAATTTTTTCATTTTACCTCAATTATTGAGTTGGGGAACATAGAGCTGTTTACTGTATTTTTTATCATCTTTTTAACATCCATGAGATCAGCAGTGTTTACTCTTCTTTCATTTACAATATTGGTAATTGGTTTTTGCTTTTGTTTTTGTTTTGTTTTGAGACAGAGTCTCACTCTGTTGCCCAGGCTGGAGGGCAGTGGCATTATCTCGGCTCACTGCAACCTCTGCCTCCCAGATTCAAGCAATTCTCCTGGCTTAGCTCCCACTAGAAGCTAGGATTACAGGTAAGCACCACAATGCCTAACTAATTTTTATATTTTTAGTAGGGACGGGGTTTCATCATGTTGGCCAGGCTGGTCTCGAACTCCTGACCTTAGGTGATCCACCTGCCTCAGCTTCCCAAAGTACTGGGATTACAGAGGTGAGTCACCACACCCGACCACAGTATTGGTAATTTGTATCTCCACTCTTTTATTCTTGTTAATTTGACTTTTCCAGTCATATTTATCTTTTCAGAGAAGCACAAAGTCACAGCCTTGAGACACAGATCCAGCTTTTGTTTATGTTGATTTTTTCTATTCTTTTTCTGTTTTCAATTTCATTAATTTCTGCTCTAATTTTAGTATTTATTTCATTCTACTTTCTTTAGACTTAGATTTGTTTTACATTCCTAATATATTTTAGATATTTTTAAATCTGTTCCATATGCATTTAATCTTATAAACTCTGCTTATCAGCTCTGCTTTTACTATATCCCACATATTTTTATAAATTGCATTTTAATTTTTTATTTAGTTACAAATTTTGAAAACTTTTGTTGAGAACTCTTGACCTAGGTGTTATTTAGAAGCAGGCTGTTTAATTTCAAAGCATTTGGGGACATTTCATCTATTATTCAGTTATTAAATTCTAGTTGAATTTTACCATAATCTGAGAATACATTTTGTACAATTTCTATGATGGCTAGTTTTATGTGTCAACTTGACTGGGCCAAGAGGTGCCCCAATATTGGGCTAAATATTTTTTCTTGGCATGTTTGTGAGGGTGACTCTGGAAGAGATCATCATTTGAATTGGTGAATTGACTAAAGCAAATTACTCTCCCCAATGTGGATGGGTATCATCCAATCCACTTAGGACATTGATCTTCCCCTGATCTCAATGCTCTTTGTTCTCTGGCCTTCAGACTCAGCATGGAATCTACACCATTGGTTTTCCAGCTCTCAAGCCTTTGAACTACACCATCAGCTTTCTTAGGTCTCCAACTTGCAGAAAGTGGATCATAGGAGTTCTCTATACTATGGAGGCTCTCCATAATATCAGCCTCCTTAATTATGTGAGTCAACACCTAAGAGAAGTCTAATACATTTCTTTCTCTTCTTTTCCAAATTTAAATAGATAGACAGATAGATATTCTCTTGGTTTTGTTTCTCTGGCAAACCCCGAATAATATGGATTTTAGTACCAAGAGTTGTTCTACAGAGACTTAATTTTAATAATAAATTGAATTGATTATGTCAGTGTATTAGGCTATTCTTTCATTGGTATAAAGAAATATCTCTTTGGGAGGCTGAGGTAGGTGGAACACTTGAGGTCAGGAGTTCAAGACCCAGCCTGGCCAACATGGTGAAACCAGCTACTCAGGAGGCTAAGGCAGGAGAATTGCTTGAACCCAGGAGGCAGAGCTTACAGTGCATCAAGATCACACCACTGTACTGCAGCTTGGGTGGCGAAAAGAGACTCTGTCTCAAAAACAAAACAAACAAACAAACAAACAAAACCTGAGACTGAGTAATTTATAAAGAAGTGATGTTTAATTGGCTTATAGCTCCACAGACTATACAGGAAGCAAGAGACTGGCAGCTACTCAGCTTCTGGGGAGGCCTCAGGAAACTTCCAATTATTGCAGAAATCAAAGTGGGAGCAGATGTCTTACGTGGCAGGAGCAGGAGCAAGTAAGGTGCTACACACTTTTAAATAACTAGATCTCATAAGAACTCACTCACTATCAAGAGAACAGCAGCAAAGGGAAGGTGTTAAACTATTCATGAAGGATCCACCCCCATGATCCAATTGTCTCCCACCAGGCCCCACCTCCAACATTGGGGATTATAATTTGTCATGAGATTTTGTGGGGACACAGATCAAAACCATTCATTCTGCCCCTGTTCCTTTCCAAATCTCATGTCCTTCTCACATTGCAAAATACAATCATGCCTTCCCAATAATCTCCAAAGTCTTAACTGATTTTAGCATTAACTAAAAATGTCAAAGTCCAAAGTCTCATCTGAGACAAGTTCCTCCTGCCTATGAACCTGTAAAAACAACTTAGTTAATTTCAAGAAACAATGAGGGTACAGGCACTGGGTAAATACACCTCTTCCCAAAGTGAGAAATCATCAAAAGAAATGGGCTACAGGCCCCATGCAAACCCAAAACCTAGTAGGACAGTCATTAAATTTTAAAGCTCTAAAATAATCTCCTTTGACTCCAAGTCCCACATCCAGGGCACACTGATGCAAGGGGTGAGCTCCCAGGGTCCTCAGATGCGCCACCCTCATGGTTTTGCAGGGTTTCATCCCCAGTGGCTGCTCTCATGATATGCTGAGTGCCTGCGGCTTTTTCATTCTCAGGTTGCAAGCTGCCTGTAGATCTATCATTCTAGGGTCTGGAGGATGGTGGCCCTCTTCTCACAGCTGCACTAGGTAGTGCCCCAGTGGGGACTCTTTGTGGGGGCTCCAACCCGACATTTCCCCTCCTCACAGCTCTCATATTCTCCATGAGGGCTCCATCCCTGTAGTAGGCTTCTGCCTGGTCACCTAGGCTTTTCCATAAATCCTCTGAAATCTAGGTGGAGGCTCAAAAGCCTCAACTCTTACACTCTGCACAACCACAGGCTTAAAACCACATGGAAGCTGCCAAAGACTTATCGCTTGCACCCTCTGAAACAGTGGCACAAGCTGTACCTGGACCCCTTTGAGCTGCAGCTGGAACTGGAGCAGCTGGGATTCTGGGAGCAGAGTCTCAAGGCTGTGCAGGGCAGCAGGGTCTTGAGCCTAGGAACAAAACCATTCAATCCTCCTAGGCCTCTGGGCCTGTGATGGGAGGGGATGCCCCTGAAATGCCTTTGAGGTTTTTTTTCCTGATTGTTTTTGCTATCAGTACTTGCCTTTCTTTTAGTTATACAAATTTCTGCAGCCTATTTGCATTCCTCCCCTGAAAATTGGCTTTTCTTTTCTACCACATGGCCCAGCTGCAAATTTTCCAAACTTTTATGGTCTGCTTCCCCTTTAAATATAAGTTCCAACTTTGGGTCATTTCTTTGCTCACACATATGAGATAGGTTGTTAGAAGCAGTGAAGGCACATCTTGACTGCTTTGCTGCTTAGAAATTTCTTCCACCTGCTACCCTAAATCATCTCTCTCAAGTTCAAAGTTCCACAGATTCTAGGGTAGTGGCACAATGCAGCCAAGTTCTTTGCTAAGGTATAAGAAAAGTGACATTTGTTCCAGTTCCCAATACCTTCCTCATTTCCATCTGAGACTTCCTCTGCCAGGAATTCACTGTCCATACCACTACTAGCATTTTGGTCACAACCATTTAGTCAGTCTCTAAGAAATTCCAAACTGGCCCTCATCTTTCTATCTTCTTCCAAGCCCCCCAAATTCTCCCAACCTCTGTCTGTTACTCAGTTCCAAAGTCACTTCCAAATTTTCAGGTATCTTCATAGCAATGCCCCACTCCTCAGTAACAATTTTCTGTATTAAGCTATTCTCCAACTGTTATAAAAAAAAATACTTAAGACTGGGCAATTTATAAAGAAAAGAGGTTTAATTGGCTCATGGCTCCACAGGCTATACATGAAGACTGATGCTGACATCTGTTCTGTTTCTATGGAGGCCTCAGGAAACTTCTGATTATGGCAGAAGGCAAATGGGGAGCAGACATCTTACATGGCAGCAGGGTGAGCAATAGGGTGAAGCAGGAGGGGCTACACACTTTTAAACAACCAGATCTCGCAAGAACTCACTCAGTAACACAAGAACAGCAACAAAGGGATGGTACTAAACTATGCATGAAGGATCTACCCCCATGATCCAATCATCTCCCACCAGGCCCACCTCCAACATTGGAGATTAAAATTTGACCTGAGATTTGGTGGGGACACAGATTTAAACCATATCGTGGAGTTTCAGGAGTTGGCTCTTTAAACTGATTAAATTTAAAGACACTAAGGACTCTATTTTCTTACTAGAAAAAAAAAATTGACATTTAATGGCATGGTCTGGCAATAGAGATATGCCAAATATTTGCATTAGATACACCGAATCAACCATTTATAAGAAGGAAAGAGCTGAGTGACCATGTATGTGATACTTTCAAACAATTTTGGAAAACTAATTTAATAAGATTGGCTGGTTGCTCTTACTGTAGGTGAACAAAAAGTATTGAAAGAAAATTATGAGCTCTGGGATTCAAATTCTCAATTTAAGTGCTGTACAAATAAACTTAAAGTTTCTATGTGTGCCCTGAAGGAGAACCTTATCTCCTATAGCCACAGAACTGATTTTATTAGAAATTAAATGCAAAATCAAGATCACTTTCTGCAGCTGGCTGAATTACAAAGCTATTTGAAAACACACACACACACACACACACACACACATTTTATTGGTTCTGTTTCTCTGGAAAAACCTGACCAAACTAATGCAGAGGTCTTAACAAATTTATTAGTATTCATTTTATTTCCCGAATAACAATTCTGATAATAATCTAGTTCTGATGTTTGCTGTGTCTTTTCAGACCTCTTTTTTTTTGCTTGCCTTTTGCCATGTCCTGTAATTTTACTTTGAAAATGGGGTCTTATTGTAGCAGGTAATAGAATTGAGGTAAATGGGTCTTGAGTGTGTGGATTTATGTTAATCTGACTATGATTTGTACAGTACTTAACATTTGTTATAGCTGTAGGGGCCAGAGGGTTCAATTTATCTAGTGTTTTTGTTTTTATCTCTACTTTCTTTTTTTCCTTCCCGATTTTTATTTTAGGTCCAAGGGACACATGTGCAGGTTTGTTGTTACATGGGTAAATTGTGTGCCACAGCGGTTTGGTGTACAGATAATTTTGTCACTGCTAAAAACTAATTACCTAGTTATCAGATAATCTGTCTAATACCCTATAGGTAGTTCTTTTCAATTCTCACCTCCTCCCACCCTCCACCTTCAAGTGGGCCTTGGTGTCTGTTGTTCCCTTCTTTGTGTCTATGTGTACTCAATATTTAGTTCCCACTTATAAGTAAGAAAGTGGGGTATTTGGTTTTCTGTTTCTGCATTTATTTGCTTAGGATATTGTCTTCCATCTGCATTCATTTTGCTGCAAAAGACATGATTTCATTCTTTTTTATCTTATGTAGTATTCTATGGTATACCTGTCTCATATTTTCTTTATCCAGTCTATCATTGATTGGTATCTAGGTGGACACCATGTCTTTGCTACTATGAATAGTGTTGCAATGAACATACCCATGCATGTGTCTTTATGGTAGAACAATTTATATTCTTTTGGGTGAATACCAAATAATGAGGTTGCTGGGTCAAGTGGTAGTTCTCAGTTCTTTGAAAAATCTCAAGACTGCTTTCCAGAGTGGCTGAACTAATTTACATTCCCACCAGGAGTGTATAAGTATTCTCTTTTCTCTACAACCTCTCCAGCATCTGTTATTTTTTGACTTTTTAGTAATAGCCATTCTGACCGGTGTGGGATGGTATCTCATTTTGGTTTTGATTGAGCATTTTTTAATATTCTTGCTGGCTGCATGTATGTCTTCTTTTGAGAATTGTCTCTGCTCATGCCTTTGCCCATTTTTTAATGAAGTTGATTTTGCTTGTTGATTTAAGTTCTTTATAGATTCTGGACAGTAGACCTTTGTTGGATGCCTAGTTTGCAAATATTTTCTCCCACTTTGTAGGTTGTTTCTTTACTCTATTGGTGGTTTCTTTTGCTGTGAAGAAGCTCTTTAGTTCTATTAGATTCCAGTTGTCAATTTTTGTTTTTGTAGCAATTACTTTTGGAGTTTTCATCATGAAGTCTTTGCCAGGGCCAATGTCCAGAATGGTATTTTCTATGTTTTCATCCCTATGTTCTATGTTTTCATCCATCTTGAGTTGATTTTTGTATATGGTTAAAGATAGGGCTCCAGTTTCAATCTCCTGCATATGGCTAGCCAGTTATCCTGGCACTGTTTATTAACGAGAGAGTCCTTTCCCCGTTGCTTGTTATTGTCAGCTTTGTGGAAGATCAGGTGATTGAGGTGTGTGGCTTTATTTCTGGATTCTCTAGCCTGTTCTACTGGTCCATGTGTCTCTTGACTTTGGGCTTCTCTCAGTACTCTCCTTCTGAGAGAGTCTGCATCTTGCAGCTAGTTCAGCTGCAGTTCACCATTGTTATACTGGAGCACTTATAGTGTGGGGTTAAAATGTGGGGGAGGCCACCAAGTCTACAATCTTATAATAAAATTTTATGATAAAATCTCAGTCTTTTAGTGTGTCTTGAGGTTGTGACCTTCACCAGTATTTCTTCAGTGAAGAAATATAGCTTCCCTCCCCTTTGGTGAAACAAAAAGGCTATGGAGAGCCTGAATATTAGGAATATGTCTTCCCTAGGTTAGATAAGGCCCTGCTACACTATTTTTCCATGCACATGTATGTCTTGGTTGTGGACATCTCATCCCTCTCACTGCCAGACAGGATCTTTCTTGGCATTATTATGTGAGAATCTGATGGGGTTTCTCGAAGTAAACTGAGATCACCACCCAAGACTGGGGGACACCCCATTCACCAACTGCTGCCCCCAGAGGTTTTCTCACTCTCATGGTAATCTACACACAGCCTATCGCCATTCATCAAAACTACCAGTTGAGTGTATCTATAAGTTTATGGCTTCTGCTCCAGGTAAACTGATCTCAGCTGTGACTCTGGATTTGCGGTGAAGTTTTTTCTCTAAGCTCTAATCCATGAAAGGTTTCAGAAAAGTCACTGGTCTTTAGTTTGTTTGACTTTTTCTTGTTTTTAGAATTAGAGTGACAACTTCACACTCTATACATGTTGGAGCTGAAGCTAGACTTCTTTATTCGTCTTACTTTTATTCTTCTTGTTCTACCACCTTCTGAGAAAGATGTATTAAGATTTTCAGGTAAAAATGTTGATCTATATGTTTTTCTGTAGTGCTGTCAATTGTTCAGTATATATTGAGGCTGTATTCTGGGTTATGTTTACTGTGGTATATTTGTTTTTTAACAGTATTTCTCAACATTTCCCAATTTTATTTTGACAGAATGTAGGATTTCTAAAACATTGCTCTCCCCATATTGGCCTGGTTCATTGGTTTTAGTTTTGAACATTTGTCTGTCTTTTTTTTTTAAAGTACATCTTTTATAGAGAAAATATTATTGTATTTTAAATTTTAATCTGAAAACTATTACTTTTAGTTTATTTGACTTATATTATTTACTAACTGCCATATTCTTATTTATTTCTGCCATCGTGTAGATATATACACCATATATATAGATAGATAGATATGTATGATGGCAGAAATAAATAAGAACAAGCTCATAAAATATATATATTATTTTTCTATTTACTTCATTCTTTTCCATAGATAGATCAAATGTCTTTGTCTCAGTTTAAAAGTTACATATTTTGTTTTGTTTTGAAATAGATTTATTGAAACATAATTCACATATCATATAATTCAACCATTTGAGGGCATACTGTTTTTATCTGTAAGTGGTGGCCTTTGATTTAAGATCCATTAATTAATTTGTAAAGATATACAATGTTGCTTTGAGATTGAACACTTCTGAATTTTAATTTTAATGACACTTAATGCCCATGTATTTCTACTAGAAAATAATTTCTCAATTTGTTTCATTAAAACAGCAAGAACTTACTTTTTTTTTAAAAAAAAGGAAAAAGAATAACTTACCAGATTCAATAATGACTGATATTGTATCTCCATTTTTCAAGGACAATTCTGTTCCTAGCTCTCAGGAGGAGTGATTTAATCTGTAACCACAAGAAGATAAGCATATCAGAATAAAGATAGCAATTGCCATACAAGAAACACACAAAGGGTCAATTCTTAATCAATACACAAGGGGATGTGAGAGAGAAGAAAGAGCATAGGATTTGACCTGGGAGATCTGGGTGCAGTTGCATCAAATATATACTAGTTAAATTAAAGGAGTGACCAAGTCAAGAGTCTCAGTCAATAGAGGTTTATTAAGCTAGAGCTTGAGGGCACACCCGGAAAAACACAAGTCACAGACATATCTGTGGCTGGAGTCATCTGAAGAGTTTCTCAGGAGGTTTATTATTTATACAGTTCCTTAAAATGGGTAAGACAGGAAGAAGGAGCAGTAAGGGAAAGAATGATTGATCTCATCTTGTCTTTGTTCCACACCTGGGAAGATAAGCACTATCAGTGTGAAAATTAACAGAGGTTAGTTTTAGGAGCCACACTTAGATTGCAGACCTCAAGTTATAATTGGCATGTCCTTGTTTTATGGGAGTATATGCGTCTTGAAAAATTTTGTGGCCAGCAAATCATCTGGAGATGCCTGAGTCCTTTTGCCTTTCTTTGGGGGTCTGGCTAATGGACAATGCTTTGATCAAAGTTCTGAAGTAAAAAAAGAAACAAACGTGAGCCATGTTGCATGATTCAGTGTCCTAGCTTAACTCTCTCTTTGGAAATGAGTTTAGGGACCTGAGATTTTTATTTTCCTTTATATCCTAAATTACTGAACTTAGAAAACAGTAATTGCATCAATCTGCTAGAGTTATTGCAAAAATGACATTAGTATAAGTAAATGCCTTAAAAAGCAAATATATATCCAAGCAATTATTTTCTTTTACTTTTGTAAATTATTTTGTAACAGATTATAAAATCAGCACTCATTATGAAAAATAGACAATATAGACATTTATTAAAAGTAACATCTCATTTCTAACTCCAATGATATTGTAGTATTTCTACTACAGCAATATCATTTATTTATAATTTATACTTTATACTAAAATGGAAATACTATACAAAAATGTTACCTTGCATTATATGGGTATAATTTTTTAAACATATAAAGATGCTTAGTGCATCTTTTCTTGTCATTAAAAAGAATACAGTATCACTTTTAATGTTGCTTACTATTCTGTTTGGTTACAAGTTATTTTCTTATTATTAACTTAGTATTAATTTTTAATTTATAATCATACACAATGATTATAGATCTTCAAGTTTTGTATTACAGTATTTTTCTTAAGATATATTTCTAAAGTTACAATCTTTTGATCATAACATATTAATATTTTATGTAACTTAAAATAGGCTGTCAAAGTTCTATTCAAAATATGTGCTAATTTACAATCCTGTCAACAGAAGGTTGTAGTGTTTTTCAGGCTGTACACTCACCAATATTTTAAGTACATCTTTGCTAATTAGAAAGGTGACAAGTAGTAACTTTGTAGTTATAATTATTTCTCCAAATTGTAAATTTGAACATCTATTTAGACATTTCTTCTTTTCTAAGTTGTCTGAAATTTATTCCCAGTTTATCTTTTGCTGACTCTGTTTTTCTTACTGAGCTTATGTAAATCCTTAAGTATTATATTGAGCTTAAATACTAAGGATTTTAAAATTTTCACTTATTTGCAATTATTATATATTTACATTTTCGTTGTGATTTTTTTGAAATTTTGCGTAATTTAAAATTTTGTCTTTTTTTTTTGAGATGGAGTCTTCCTGCGTCACTCAGGCTGGGGTGCAGTGGCGCTATCCTGGCTCACTGCAACCCCCGCCTCCCGGGCTCAAGCGATTCTCCTGTCTCAGCCTCCCAAGTAGCTGGGTTTACAGGCGGGTGCCACCATGCCTGGCTAATTTTTGTAGTTTTAGTAGAGACGGGCTTTCGGCATGTTGGCCAGGCTTGTCTCAAATTCCTGACCTCAGATGGTCCGCCCACCTCGGCCTCCCTAAGTGCTGGGATTGCAGGCGTGAGCCACCAAGCCTGGCCTTAAAATTTTTATGAAAATTATTTTTGAAGATTTTATCTAATTTTAATGTAATTGTAAAATGTGCATAACAAGCAATACAAAATGTATAAGGAAAAAAGAAGTTATTTTCTACTAACTCGTTTCCACATTAACAGCCTCTTGTTCGGTCCGTGGTTTTCATTTTGCTGATACAAAAAAACAGAAGCATACACACACACGTGAATTGTTGGCTTGTGCAACTTAAATAAAACTGTGCACATATACCTGTAATTTGCCTTTTTTCTCCCTCTCTTAACACTTTCATGGACAACCCTGCAGATTTACAGATTATTTAATTCTCTCTATAAATGTACTCATATATATAATTTTTAAATAAAGGGACACTGCATTTCTCTTCACTGTGGTTTTATTTTCCTGTTTTCTTGTTTGCTTGCCTCCTTCCTATTCTCCTTCTCTTCTTTTCCAGCATCACCTAAACATGGATCTCACATTATTTGTCTTAAAAACACTTTCATATTTTCTTCTTACTTAGATAATAATTATGTGTCATTGTAGTTTCTAAAAGGATATTGGTGTATATCACGAAAAGTCACTTAAGTTCACAGTCAGAATAATACCATATTTTAAAATTACTGCATGGCATTATGTAGTAGAAATCAGGTCATCATTTATTAAACCACTTCTCCTATAATGGTGATATGTTCATGGACATTCACTTCAGAATTTCTAGAGTTTTGTTGTTCTAAAAAGGTTGAGCAACCTCAACATTTTTATGAAGACCTTTTTGTATATGAGATTTTATCTATGAAATATATTTGTTGAAGTGGTATTTCTGAGTGAAAGGATACACATTTAATATATTATAATATGTTTTGCTTTTAAAGAGGCATATCTGGGAAGATTTCCACTGAGTCTGTAAAAATTCCCTCTTGACATCAGCAGTAGTAATTATTGCCCTTTTTCCCCCAGTTTGATGGTTATACATTGACATCTTGTTATGACTTGTCTTGGCTTTTCTCTGTTTGAGTACCTTTTCATAATTTTGTCAGTGTTTTAAATGTCTTCTCCATGAATTGCCTATTTCTCCATTAGAATATTTGCCTCTCATTAATATGAAGACTTCTATATATATACATTGTATTATGCATATGTATTTCAAATCTTAACATTTTTATCAACCATGATATAATTTACTAATTTTGTCTTCTTTAATATTCATTTGTTGATTTTGTTTCATCTGTTGCCTGCTCTACAAAAGTTTTTGTTTTTAATTTTAATATCTTTAAATATGCCAATGTTTCTTTGTTGCTGAAATTCTCTCTAGTTTCTTTTAAGGTCATAGATTTTAAAAAAATCTTTTACTTATTCAATTTTTTCAGAGACAAGGTCTCCCTCTGTTGCCTAGGCTGCAGTGCAGTGGCATGATCATACCTCACCGCAGCCTCAAATTTCTGGGCTCAAGTAGTACTCTTGCCTCCGCTTCCAGAGTGGCTAGGATTACAGGTGTGCATCAGCAGGCCCAGCTAAGGAATCATAGATTTTGAATGCAGTACCCATGTCCCTTAAGAGTTTTTAAAACACAGATCAATCTCTATTATATATGGATTTAATTTTTGATACAGGTTTGATAAGGGGTCCAAATTTTATTTTCTCTGGAAGAAAGTCTGCTGTGCCAGTATTATTTATAAATTAATTTATATTTTGTCTCTGAATCCAATTAGGTCCTTGGTCATGTATTAATTTTTTATTTTTATATTTCAGATATAAAAATTTATATAGAATGAATATATAATTTACAATATAAAAGTTATATAAAAATGTGAACATTAATATTTTATTTTTATATTTTGGATCTGTTTCAAATTGATGTACTCTAAAAATACTTATGTCATAATCATAATTATTTTGTGTTGATTTAAGGACAGGTGCCCTATAATACTTCCTAATGTCTGGTGAGTCATGTGCTTTATTAGACTACTTTTTCATACTCTTATTTGTTCTTTAAAATTTACTCCATTCTTTTTTATTATTATTATACTTTAAGTTTTAGGGTACATGTGCACAACGTGCAGTTTTCTTACATATATATACATGAACCATGTTGGTGAGCTGCACCCATTAACTCATCATTTAACATTAGGTATATCTCCTAATGCTATCCCTCCCCCCTCTCCCCACCCCACAACAGGCCCTGGTGTGTGATGTTCCCCTTCCTGCGTCCATGTGTTCTCATTGTTCAATTCCCACCTATCAGTGAGAACATGCGGTGTTTGGTTTTTTGTCCTTGCGATAGTTTGCTGAGAATGATGATTTCCAGCTTCATCCTAGACCCTACAAAGGACATGAGCTCATCCTTTTTTATGGCTGCATAGTATTCCATGGTGTGTATGTGCCACATTTTCTTAATCCAGTCTATCATTGTTGGATATTTGGGTTGGTTCCAAGTCTTTGTTATTGTGAATAGTGTCGCAATAAACATACGTGTGCATGTGTCTTTATAGCAGCATGTTTTATAATCCTTTGGGTATATACCCAGTAATGGGATGGCTGGGTCAAATGGTATTTCTAGTTCTAGATCCCTGAGGAATCGCCACACTGACTTCCACAATGGTTGAACTAGTTTACAATCCCACCAGCAGTGTAAAAGTGTTCCTATTTCTCCACATCCTCTCCAGCACCTGTTGTTTCCTGACTTTTTAATGATCGCC
Organism: Homo sapiens; assembly: GCF_000001405.40. Taxonomy (NCBI): domain Eukaryota; kingdom Metazoa; phylum Chordata; class Mammalia; order Primates; family Hominidae; genus Homo; species Homo sapiens. Next base: position 34,724,596 of record NC_000008.11, read on the forward strand.
ATTCTAACTGGTGTGAGATGGTATCTCATTGTGGTTTTGATTTGCATTTCTTTGATGGCCAGTGATGATGAGCATTTTTTCATGTGTCTTTTGGCTGCATAAATGTCTTCTTTTGAGAAGTGTCTGTTCATATCCTTCACCCACTTGTTGATGGGGTTGTTTGTTTCTTTTCTTGTAAATGTGTTTGAGTTCTTTGTAGATTCTGGATATTAGCCCTTTGTCAGATGAGTAGATTGCAAAAATTTTCTCCCATTCTGCAGGTTGCCTGTTCACTCTGATGGTAGTTTCTTTTGCTGTGCAGAAACTCTTTAGTTTAATCAGATCCCATTTGTCAATTTTGGCTTTTGTTGCCATTGCTTTTGGTGTTTTAGACATGAAGTCCTTGCCCATGCCTATGTCCTGAATGGTATTGCCTAGGTTTTCTTCTAGGGTTTTTATGGTTTTAGGTCTAACATTTAAGTCTGTAATCTATCTTGAATTAATTTTTGTATAAGGTGTAAGGAAGGGATTGAGTTTCAGCTTTCTACATATGGCCAGCCAGTTTTCCCAGCACCATTTATTAAATAGGGAATCCTTTCCCCGTTTCTTGTTTTTGTCAGGTTTGTCAAAGATCAGGTAGTTGTAGATAGGTGGTATTATTTCTGAGGGCTCTGTTGTGTTCCATTGTTCTATATCTCTGTTTTGGTACCAGTACCATGCTGTTTTGGTTACTGTAGCCTCGTAGTATACTTTGAAGTCAGGTAGTATGATGCCTCCAGCTTTGTTCTTTTGACTTAGGGTTGACTTGGCCATGCGGGCTCTTTTTTGGTTCCATATGAACTTTAAAGTAGTTTTTTCCAATTCTGTGAAGAAAGTCATCGGTAGCTTGATGGGGATGGCATTGAATCTGTAAATTACCTTGGGCAGGATGGCCATTTTCACGATATTGATTCTTCCTACCCATGAGCATGGAATGGTCTTCCATTTGTTTGTATCAGAGAATACTATAAACACCTCTATGCAAATAAACTAGAAAATCTAGAAGAAATGGATAAATTCCTCGACATTTACATCCTCCCAAGACTAAACCAGGTAGAAGTTGAATCTCTGAATAGACCAATAACAGGCTCTGAAATTGAGGCAATAATTAATAGCTTACCAACCAAAAAAAGTCCAGGACCAGATGGATTCACAGCCGAATTCTACCAGAGGTACAAGGAGGAGCTGGTACCATTCCTTCTGAAACTATTCCAATCAATAGAAAAAGACAGAATACTCCCTAACTCATTTTATGAGGCCAGCATCATCCTGATACCAAAGCCTGGCAGAGACACAACAAATAAAGATAATTTTAGACCAATATCCTTGATGAACATTGATGCAAAAATCCTCAGTAAAATACTGGCAAACAGAATCAAAAACTGATGTAGCAACACATCAAAAAACTTATCCAACACGATCAAGTAGGCTTCATCCCTGGCATGCAAGGCTGGTTCAGCATACGCAAATCAATAAGCATAATCCAGCATATAAACAGAACCAATGACAAAAACCACATGATTATCTCAACAGATGCAGAAAAGGCCTTTGACAAAATTCAACAACCCTTCATGCTAAAAACTCTCAATAAACTAGGTATTGATGGGACATATCTCAAAATAATAAGAGCTATCTATGACAAACCCACAGCCAATATCATACTGAATGGGCAAAAACTGGAAGCATTCCTTTTGAAAACTGGCACAAGAGAGGGATGCCATCTCTCACCACTCCTATTCAACATAGTGTTAGAAGTTCTGGCCAGGGCAATCAGGAAAGAGGAAGAAATAAAGAGTATTCAATTAGGAAAAGAAGAAGTCAAATTGTCCCTGTTTGCGGATGACATGATTGTGTATCTAGAAACCCCATCGTCTCAGCCCAAAATCTCCTTAAGCTGATAAGCAACTTCAGCAAAGTCTCAGGATACAAAATCAATGTGCAAAAATCACAAGCATTCTTATACACCAATAACAGACAAACAGAGAGCCAAATCATGAGTGAACTCCCATTCACAATTGCTTCAAAGAGAATAAAATACCTAGGAATCCAACTTACAAGGGATGTGGAGGACCTCTTCAAGGAGAACTACAAACCACTGCTGAATGAAAATTTACTCCTTTCTTACATAAGATTTAATATCATTTTATTCAATTCATCTAATTCTGTGTGTATTGTAAGTCCTCTGTTAGTTTCCTAGGGCTGCTATAACAAATTACCACAAACTTGGGGGTTTATGACAGATTCTCTTATAGTTCCAGAGGCCAGAATTCCAAAATCAAGTTGTTGGAGGCTCGGAGAATTCCAGTCCATGCCTGTCTCCTTGCTTTTGGTGGCTCTAGCAATCTTTGGCGGAGCTTGTGGAAGCTTCTCTCCAATCTGTATCCCTGTCTGCATTTAAGTTTTCCCAGTGTCTCTTCTATTTCTGTATCAGAATCTCCCTCTTTTATGTATATATATATATATATATATATATATATATATATATGAACATCAATCATTGGATTTAGGACCACTGAAAATCCAGGATGTTCTCATCTTAAGATTCTTAATTTAACTACATTTGCAAAGCCCTAATCCAAATAAGGTCACATTCACATGTACAAGAAATTACGACTTGAACGTATGTTTTTCATGAGCACCATTCAACCCATTACAATTATAACCATTTAAGTAACAATTTTCAAATGAATTTGAGTTATATCATCAAAGGATACTGTACAGCTTTATATTAACTCAAATAATTTTATACTTTGATAAGTTTTTATTATTTTCTTTGTATAGGTCAGAGATCTATCTTATTAGCTTTGTTCTTACTTTTTTGTTTCGTTTTTTATTGTGGTAAGACACACATAAAATTTACCACCTTAGTTATTTGTAAGTGTGTAGTTCAGTTGTGTTAAGTATATTCACATTGATTTATATTTTTGTTACTTTTAAATAAATAATATTTTTCCTATTTACATGTGATGATTACTGTAAAAATAAAACAGCTATTGATGCTTTCCATTTATCTTATGTTATGAATTAAATTGTACCCCTCAAAATTCATATGTTGAAGTGGTATTATACTAAAATTAGAGATATTAAAACAAATTCATGTTCATATCAATATATACACACAGATAAATATATATATGGATACATCAGTTAGCGTGCAGTCACATATTTTCTTTTTTTTTTTTTCTGAGATGGAGTCTTGCTCTGTCTCCTAGGCTGGGGTACAGTGGCACAGTCTCAGCTTACTGTTCAACCTCCACCTCCCGGGTTTAAGCAATTATCCTACCTCAGCCTTCCAAGCCTACGATTACAGGCGTCCGCCACCACCCCCAGCTAATTTTTGTATTTTCAGTAGAGACGGGGTTTTGCCATGTTGACTAGGTTGGTCTTGAGCTCCTGATCTCAAGTAATCTATCCGATTCAGCTTCCTAAAGTGCTGGGATTATAGGCATGAGTCACCACGCCCACCCCACATATTTTCTGTCTCTTTTTACTGAGATGTAGAAACAGTGACACCCCAGTAGTAATGAGCATATCTCGTGCCCAGAACTCCTTGGAGAAACAGATTATTCTTGGCTTGGGACAAGGCAAATATAAGATGAGCCTGGTGCATCTTGTAGCAGCAGAAAGTGCTGCTGCTTACACTTACATGCAATGACTGTAGCTGGAATGATCTTAGCAACAAAGTACAAAAAGCTAGTACTGGATTAAAACTCAAAGAATAAAATAAATTCCCATAAGTACATACCAAAATAAACAGACAATTGTGCAAACAAATAAGTGGAGGAGCAGGAACAAATTTTTCTTACAAAAGATTTCAAATTAATAAATGTAGAAACAATGAGAAAAATAAAGTCAGGATTAGAACACCAGTTATAATTGCCCAAGGCAAGATCCACCAGTGAGTGCTAAAACTACTGGATAAAACTTTAAAAGGAAACACAATTGTTGTTTAGCCCACAAATATTGCCCCAAACTATTAATTATCATGACAATTTTATCACTTGTTTACCAATTCTTGATGCACTTCTTCCTGTAGAGGGAGCTTACTTCCTCACCCTGAGTGTAAACTGGACTTAGTGACACACTTTTAACAAGGAGGTTGTGGAAGGGGAAAAATAATGACTTTACAGTGGCGAAACTAGGTACACACCACCTTAACCAAGTGATCAGGATAATGTCATCAGTGATAAATCATGTGGATATCATAAACCTCTGGATATGATTTGATGAGAAGGGCACTTCAACTCTGTGGTATTCTTTCTAAAATTTATTAAGTCCAACCTGAACAAGAGAGCACATCAGACAAACCAAAATTGAAGGTCATTCTATAAAATACATCACCAGTATTCCTTAAAGTGTCAAAGTCATGAAGACAGGAAAAGTCTGAGAAACGATCACAGATTGGTGGAGTATTTAGTACATGATGCCTAAATGCAGCATAGTATTCTGGACTGGATCCTGGAACAGGAAATGGACGTATATTGAAAGCATGAAAAAACTGCAAATAAAAACTCTAATTTTGTTAATAGTATTGTGGCAATATAATTTTAGCTTTGATAAATATATTATGTTTATGTAAGATGTTAACATTATAGGAATCTAGGAGAAAAGTATACATGAACTATATTCTACCTTTGTAAGTCATTTGTAAATTTGAAATTATTTTTAAATAAAAATAATTTTTAAGTGGGTATCCAAAGAGATATTAGGTGAATGCAAAAGAAAAAAAAAGAGAGAAGAAAGTAACGACAGAAGGAAAGGAAGGAAGGAAGAAGGAAGGAAGGGAGGGAGGAAGGAAAATGACAATGTGAAAATCAGATTAAATATATGACTAAGTACTCCAAAGAGAAAAAAGAAGAAATTATACCAGTAAACACAGCAATATAATTGAAGAGTGTAAAATGCATTTAAACCTGTATGCATAAAACCACATCACAACTAAAAATGTAAGTTTTAAAGCTAATAGAAATACAGGCAGAATGTAACAGGTTACCTTCTGGTAACTCAGTAGTGTGAAAATTTATTTCCAAGAAACAGATGAGGTTTGAAAGAAAAAAGAAAAATTAAAATCATATTGTTTTTCCTCAGGCAGCCCCACAGACATAAGATTATTTTCTATCAGGCTTTGTGCATTTTCCTAGGAAACAGCTGCTCTGATTTTGGAGGCAGTTGTGGTCAACAAGGGTTGTGTGAGGTTCTTGTGACCTCCTGACTCTGGGAATCAATGTGCAGTTGAGGGGTATTGGGGGCTCCCTGACCTTTGTTCTTCCAGCCTTTCTAATAGTTGTATCAGTATCCAGTTCACCTTATTCAATCTCTCCCTGCTTGAAGTAATTGACGTGTTTTGTTTTCTGAATAAAGCTGCGAGATACAGAGATCTTCATAAAAATAAAATGACATTGGTAGATTTCAAAACACCTCTCTCGGAATTGTCAGATATAACTTTAAGAAAAAGAAAAAAAGAAAGAAAATAGATAAACTGAATAAAAGTGTTGACAAATTCAGCTTAATAGGTATATAGAAAATTTATATAACTTGAAATTATATTTCTGGAAGCACATAAAAATATCAATCTCATAACTAACAAATGTATATCAACAACTATTTAGAAGTAGGGATTTTATAAACTAAAACACTTTCACCATGATAACCCTTGGCTGAAAGCATAAATTAGATAATCAATTATGAAATATCTTTGAAAATAATTTTAAAGATAAATTTATGTCAAATCTAAAGGACCCAGAAATACTTTACTCAGAAAACAAGTAAAAACCATAGACACCTTCAGAAGAAAATACATTAGTACTTAACTTAGGAAACTGAGAAACAAACAAAAAAGTACAAAATTAATAATAATATTAATTATATATAATAAACAGAAGTCCTAAAGTTAGTGGATGAGAAACAAAGGAAAAAAGTAGGAACAATAAGTAAATTCAAAAGTTTATCTTAGAAAATAAGTTTTTTAAAATTAAACCTTTTGTGAAAAAAAAAGTTTAGCTAGAAGAATGAATAGCCAAACATACATTAGAGCATTAAAGAATTATAAAAACAATGCTTTTCTTTGGCAGTAATTTCATTGGTTTTATGTCAAACAGATTTTATTTTTTTCCATTGGAAGATCAGGTTGATCATCACGTATTTTTTTTAGTTTTTAAAATCTGTCTATATTGTATATAAGGCACTTCAAAAAGTCTGTGAAAATGGAATTAAAAGATAAAAATTAAAAATATAAACTATGTTTTTCAACATAAGCTCCATGAAGTTCAAGACACTTTTGGAAGTGATGATACCAGCCATTTAGTCCATCCCTAAGGAACTGAGGGTGCTGGGAATTTAGTCATGTCAAAGCATCCTTGTTTTGCATTATTAACTGAAGAAAAATGGGTGCTTTTTAAAGATTTTTTAAGATTAGGAGCAAAAAGAAGTAAGAAGGAGCTAAATCAGGACTGTAAGCTGCATACGTAATGATTTCCTATCAAATCTCTCACAAAGTTGCCCCTGTTTGATGAAAGGAATGAGTAGGAGCATTGTTATGGTGGAGAAAGACTCTATGGTGAAGATTTCTGGGTGTTTTTATCCTAAAGCTTTGGCTAATTTTCTCAAAACACTCTCATAATAAGCAGATGTTGTTGTTCTTTGCCCTCCAAAAATTAACAAGCAAAATGCCTTAAGTATCGGGAAACAAATAAAAATAAAAACTGTTGCCATGACCTTTGCTCTTGGCTGGTCCAATTTTGCTTTGGCTGGACCACTTCTACCTCTTGGTAGCCATTGCTTTGATTGTGCTTTGTCTTCAGGATGGTATGGTAAGGCCATGTTTCTTTCTTGTTACAGTTCTTTTAAGAAATGCTTCAGGTTCTTGATCTCACTTGGTTAAAATTTCCATTGAAAGCTCTGTTCTTGTCTGCAGTTGATATGGGCACAATAGTTTTGGCATCTATTGAGTGGAAAGTTTGCTGAACTTTAATTTTTCAGTCAAAAGTGTGTAAGTAGGAGTTTGAAACCAGCCTGGCCAACATGGCAAAACCCCATCTCTACTAAAAATACAGAAATTAGCCAGGCATGGTGGTGGTCACCTGTAATCCTAGCTACTCAGGAGGCTGAGGCCAGAGAATGACTTGAACCTGGGAGGTTGAGGTTGCAGTGAGCCAAGATCACACCATTACCACTGCTTTCCAGACTGGGTGACAGAACGAGACTCCATCTCAAAAAAAAAAAAAAAAAAGAAAAAAGGAAAAAAAAAGGAGAAACAGTTGAGAAGTCTATGGTGTTGGCTATTGCTTTTGCTGTTGTCAGTTGTCTTCCATGTGGGCACAAACAAGACTAATTTTTTTTCTCACAGATTGATGTCAATGGTCTGCCACTGAGAGCTTCATCTTCAACATCATCTCATCTTTTCTTAAAACAAGTTATCCATTTGTATACTACTGATTTCTTTGGAGTATTGTCCTTAGAAACTTTTGGTAAAGCATCAATAATTTCACCATTCTTCCACCCACACTCTGCCATAAATTTAATGTTTGTTCTTGCTTTAATTTTAGCAGAATGCATGTTGATGTTACAGAGACTTTTTTCAAACTGATGTCTTATTCTTCTCAGTGTCTCAGACTAGATCCTGTTCAGACATATTAAAGCAGGTTAGTACAAATTTATATTGGGTTTACAGAACCGTTGAAATCCATGCATCGTTTTTTCATAATATGCATTTCCATGAAGTTTTGGAAGACCTCTCTCTCGTGTGTGTGTGTGTGTGTGTGTGTGTGTGTGTGTGTGTGCTTATCTCTAACTCCTGAGCTATTTAAAATACATTTCCTTATGTGTGCAGTGGAGATGGTTATTTGTGTGCCTGAATCCATTCTCTCATTGTGTTGTAATGGAGTTGTAAGTGACACACAGTTGTTCGATGAGAGAATCCATTTCCAAGCATGCATTTAGATCTGTTCATGTTACGATGTCATCACGGATGAAAGGTAGATGGAAGTGATGGGTATCATATTCAAATTTTCTATACCTGTAGGTCTGCACTCCTCTTCATGTATGCTTCCTATAAGCTGGAACCAGGATGTACAGTATTTGCAATCCAAGTTTCAACCAATCAAATGAGAACAACATCTCAGGCAATGGACAATGGAAAAACTTTAGGTCCCTGATTCTGTACCCACAGCTTAAAAAAAATGTTACAATGGAGAGTTATTTGTTAACAGTAATTTATTATTTACTCCAACTACTATGTTATATAAATTTAACTATTTTTTCCACAATAGTCAAATAGATTTCTGAACTGTATAAATTCAATTTTCTTTGTTTGAATTTCCAGCTTTTATATACACAAATTTTATATATTCTAATTTCTTTTTCTGAATTAACTATGCTACTCTGATCTGTCCCATTTACTTTTGTTTGCTTAGACACAAGAAAAAAAATGTGATCAAAGAGTCAGAAAATCTTAGAGCTTAGTGGAACTCAGTGGCCATTTGCTCCATCATTTCCCAGCTGTTAAAAAAAATAATGTTCTGTAAGATGTGAATAGATTTTTCTAAAAATGAAGAGTAAATCAAAGAGTTTCCATGGCTAATTAAGTTTGGGAAGTCCTGTATACTTTTTTTCTCTCTTGAACGTTTACAGAATATATTAGGATATCAAAGGCTTTGTGAAATCCTGCAGTAACTAAGAATTTCTCAAACATATATAATCATTATATTCATTTCAAATGGGACACTTTCAGTTACTTGAGAGGGCCTAGCATTTCACCAACATTGAAAACAAAAATAGGAGCTATGTACCACCCCACATAGCATCTTTTGTATCATATCTAGCTCCAACTCAGAGATGTCTAATAACGAGGCACTCCATGAGCTTTCCTTTTTCATTCCTGAATTATCCTAATTGTTGGAGGTGCCTTTATAATGGGCTATAAAACATAAGAAATACAAGATCAATGGTATTGGCAAATTATGAAGTTTCTCACATAAACATAATCCCTCTTAGATGGTCAATATGCTTATTGTTTAGATGGCAGAGAGTGAGTGACAAAATAGAGGTAAAATATTAACATTTCTCAGAATCTGTGGTCTAAGATGCTCAGTCACATGCCGACTAAAAAATTGTAGGTCCTGAATATGTTCCTATAGGACACACTAGCAGTGGCAGCGAATAGTGCTCATTTACTTGACGGTTAGGATGTCTGTGTCCACTGAGGATCTCTGTCTACTTTGTTTCCTCATCCCATACCCAGTAGTCTCTCTTTTCCATATCATTTTATAATGTGTTATTTTATCCAATCCTCAAAACTATTTGTACTCAGAAGTAATGTGTTTTGTTCTGAATATTCGACCTCTCCTCATTGTGAATTTGATGCTCCAAAATTGAAGCATCTGAAATTCAGAAGCTTTTGCTCAAAATTGTTTTTCTTATTTTTTAAAACCTATCAGAAGCCCTAAAGCTGACCACTCACTACTCTATTTTGCTGTTTTTCCTCTATCACCCCTTTTCTGGAATATACCATCAAATACCCTAAATGCTGTCTGAGTAGAAAGAAGGGTAACATCACAGAACAGCAGATGGATGTGTGTGGATGGGAGCACACTATGCTGGCCAGTGTCTCAAAATATTATATTTTCTCATACGTCTTGTATATAACTTGCACGAAGTACTTTAAATATGACTTCTGAAGTAACAAAAGATTACTTTATTTCTCCCATTGTCACTTTTTTGTGATGATAATTGAGGACAGTTAGCATTTTCTATCAAATCATCTTTCCTCCAGATCATCCATCCTTTTAATTATTCTTGATAGGTGATAATTTCCAAATTCTCTATCACTTTCCTGATTTTGTCCTTCTAGTTACATGTATGTTTTTTTTTTTTTTTTAAAGGAGTCTCACTCTGTCCCCCAGGCTGGAGTGCAGTGGCACAATCTCTGCTCACTGCAAGCTCTGCCTCCCGGGTTCACGCCATTCTCCTGCCTCAGCCTCCTGAGTAGCTGGGACTACAGGCGCCCGCCACCATGCCCGGCTAATTTTTTGTATTTTTAGAAGAAACGGGGTTTCACCGTGTTAGCCAGGATGGTCTCGAACTCCTGACTTTGTGATCCGCCCACCTCTTCTTCCCAAAGTGCTGGGATTACAGGCGTGAGCCACCGCGCCTGGCCGTTACATGTACCTTTTTATAACACATGCTTCAGTAGATCTCATGCTCAGCAAAAACATGACTTTTCTGAGGGAACTTTTATACACTGTAAGTGGGAGTGCAAAATTAGTACAGCCATTTTGGGAAACAGTATAGAGGTTTCTCAAAAAACTAAAAATAGAGCTGCCATACAAGCCAGCAATCTCGCAACTGAGAATTTTTTCAAAGGAAGGAAATTAGTGTATCAAAGTGATATCTTCACCCCCATATTTATTGAAGCACTATTCACAATAGCCAAGATATGGAATCAACCTAAGTATCCATCAGTAGAAAATGTGGTGTGTATACACAATGGAATACTATTCAGACATAAAGAAAGAATAAAATCCTGCAATTTACAGCAACATGGATGGAGCTGGAGGCTGTTAAGTAAAATAAGCCAGGCACAGAAAGACAAATATTACATGTTCTCACTCATATGTGACAGCAAAACATTTAATATCATGAAGGTAGACAGTAGAATGTTGGATATGAGAGACTGGGAAGGGTGCCTTTGCATGAAGGGGATGAAGAAAGGTTAGTTAATAAGAACAAACATAAAATTAGCAGAGGAAATTAGTTCTGATGTTCGATAGCACAGTAGGATGACAATATTATATTGTATATTTCACAATAGCAAGAAGATTTGAAATGTTCTCAAGACAAAGAAATAAATGTATAAGGTGATGGGTATACTAATTTTCCTGATTTGATCATTACACGTTGCATGCTTGTTCCAAAATATTACATGTACTCCATAAGTATGTACAAATATTATGTATCTATTAAAAAACCCATACACTTTCCTATAGAAATAATGTTGAAAAGTTACTAAGAAGGTTCTTTGGACCATGTATTTTATCATTAAATTAGTTTTGGCCACGAATGTTTTTTTCTTTAGATATGCCTCATGATTTCCAGACAATTGTCTTTTAAAATACACATACTGTCGTGGCAGGCATAACATAAAAGTTTTAAATAATTTACTATGGAAAAGATTTTCAGACCTTTTATCTTTTTCTTTTTTTTTAAATGCAGAAACGTTAACACTTGTTAGTCAGCAAGAAGAAAGAGTAAGTATGCTGATAAGAGAGGATTTCAGTTTTCTATGACAGATGTAATAAATTACCACAAAGTTAGGCAGCTTTTAACAATGAAAATTTATTATTTCACAGTTCTGTAGGTCAGAAGTTTGGCATGGATCTTACAGGACTAAAATCAAGTTGTTAGATGGGCTGTGTTTCTTACTGAAGGTTCTATGGGATAAACTAGTTCTTTGCTCATTCAGTTTCTTGCAGCTATAGAACTGAGGTCTTTTTTATTTTTTATTTTTTTTGCTGGCTGAGCTATTGGCCACCTGGTGGAGGCTGCCCACATGTCTTGGCTCAGGGACCTCTTCCTTCATCTTCAAAGTCAATAACTCCTGAGTCAAGACTTTGAGTCTTGACTTTGAGTCAAGAGTAAGAGGAACTCAGGCAGGCACAGTTCCTCTCACTCTTCAAACTTCTCCTGCCTCTTCTTTCATCACATCATTCTGACCAACCCTTTTGCTTTCTTTCCAGTTTTCAAGGTTCATGTGATTAAATTGGGCCTATTCAGACAATCCAGGATAACTAGAATATATTTTCCAAAGGCAATATCTGCCGCAACTCAAGGTGTGTTAACTCTAGATCTACGATGTCATCTGAAGAAGTTTTTCATATAATTTCAATAATGCTATCCCAATGTTTATGTTTTTATTTGTTTTGTTCAGAGTAAAGGTGAATAAAACATAAGATATGCTTTATATGTCCATATCCAAGGCAGACAAAATGCTATATCTTCACCAAATTTTTTCATTTCTTCCTATATAGACAGAAACACTACATTTTTTAGCCTCCTGTTTCTGGATTGGGCCGTATGACTATTGTTGCCCAATAGCATATTGGTTAATATAATGTGTGCCACTTCTAGACTTGGCCAATTCAAAAATTAAACCTTTCATAATAATGTTTTTCTTTCTTCCTCTTTTGTTGTATCTAGAGAGAAATGTGTTGAGGATGGTGTCATTACAGTTATAAAAAGGTGTGAGTCCCTGAATAACTAAATGAAACATATCATCCTTCCAGCCCCACCCATGTAGGGATGTTATGCGAGCAAGAAATACACTTTATTGTGTTAAGCCTCTGAGATTTTGGGATACTTTATTATATTTATTAGCCCACCTTTGTATCTGTCAAATGCTCACTGAGCATTTACTTTCTCAAAAGCTTTAATTTAAAACTATCAAATATAAGAAACAGAAAGAAATTTACATCAATGGTCCCAGCCTTGGTTGCATAAGAAATATTTGGAGGAAGTTTTAAATATATTTATGTAGCTAATGAATCAAAATTTCAATGCTTTTAAGGATATCAAGGATATCAGGTAGAACTTTCATTTTGTCCAGATGAGAAATCTAAGATTGAAGCTCCTTTGAAGCATCTTAAATAGTTGCTTCACATAATGACAGTAGCACAGTCAGCACCAGGACACACATTTCTCAATTCTCAGCCCAGTGATATTTTATTTCTTCCATACTGTAATTGTCAATTTAACTCATGAGAATTAATGGAATGAGAATTGAGATGATATGTAAATTAAGTAATTAGAAGCAAAAATATTTTCATGTTTCCAGAATTATCTATAAATTAAATTCTAACTCCCCAATTTTATAGCACCTCTACCTCAATCCATCTTTGCAAACATGAATGTCTACAATTAGAGAATTTCATGTCATGTAACGTATTGTGTGGGATATAAACTACCTTAACTATAAATGAGCTTAATTTGTTAAAAGTCCCAATTTCAACTCATGACATTTTGTAAGTAATTCTTTTTCCTTAAACACTCTTCACTCTACACCCACACCATTAAAATTTTGCTTACCCATGGGAATTCTATCAAATAGTTGAAAGGCAGGGACGGAAAAGAAACTTTTTTACTTTTTTACATTTGAGTTAATTAGAAACTGAAAAATGTAGACTGTTGTAGAATTGCTATTGAGTAAGTGAGAAGACTCTGTTGATGGCAACTGAGGAAAGAGCCAGCACAGCATCCAAGTCCAACCCACCTGCTCCCACCAGGAATGTCCATTATAGATGTATATCCATTATAGATATATATCCACATATATCCATTATATATCCATATATATATATTTGACAGTAATTCCAAGTAAAATATAAACTTTGTTTCCAATAATAGACGTTGTTCCTGTAAAAGAATTTTTATCCTTTACCAATCATGTGTAACTCATCACCTCGAAATAAATTGAGACTGTTTAAAGCAACTCAAATTTTTACTCTTTTTTCTATAAACTTCTCTTCTCGCTTTATTTCATTCATTTGATCTTTAATCACTGATACCCTTTCTTCCATTTGATCAAATCTGCTACTGAAGCTTGTGCATGTGTCACGTAGTTCTCGTGCCATGGTTTTCAGCTCCATTAGGTCATTTAAGGACTTCTCTACACTGTTTATTCTAGTTAGCCATTCATCTACTCTTTTTTCAAGGTTTTTAGCTTCTTTGCGATGGGCTCGAACATCCTCCTTTAGCTCAGAGAAGTTTGTTATTACCGATAGTCTGAAGCCTTCTTCTTTCGACTCATCAAAGTCATTCTCTGTCCAGCTTTGATCCATTGCTGGCAAGGAGCTGTGATCCTTTGGAGGAGAAGAGGCACTCTGATTTTAAGAATTTTCAGCTTTTCTGCTCTGGTTTCTCCCCATCTTTGTGGTTTTATCTACCTTTGGTCTTTGATGATGGTGACGTACAGATGGGGTTTTGGGGTGGATGTCCTTTCTGTTAGTTTTCCTTCTAACAGTCAGGACCCTCAGCTGCAGGTCTATTGGAGTTTGCTGGAGGTCCACTCCAGACCCTGTTTGCCTGAGTATCACCAGCAGAGGCTGCAGAACAGCAAATGTTGCAGCCTAATGCTTCCTCGGGAAGCTTTGTCTCACAGGGGCACCAGGCCTTATCGGGTGTCAGTCGCCCCTCTACTGGGAGGTGCCTCCCAGTTAGGCTACTCAGGGGTCAGGGACCCACTTGAGGAGGCAGTCTGTCCGTTCTCACATCTGAAACTCCATGCTGGGAGAACCACTACTCTCTTCAAAGCAGTCAGACAGGGACATTTAAGTCTGCAGAAGTTTCTGCTGCCTTTTGTTCAGCTATGCCCTGTCCCTAGAGGTGGAATCTACAAAGGCAGGCAGGCCTCCTTGAGCTGCAGCAGGCTCCACCCAGTTCCAGCTTCCCTGCCACTTTGTTTACCTACTCAAGCCTCAGCAATGGTGGACGCCCCTCCCCAAACCTTGCTGCCACCTTGCACTTTGATCTCAGACTGCTGTGCTAGCAGTGAACGAGGCTCCGTGGGCTTGGGACCCTCCGAGCCATGCGCGGGAAATAATCTCCTGGTGTGCTATTTGCTAAGGCAGTTGGAAAAGTGCAGTATTAGGGTGGGAGTGTCCCAATATTCCAGGTGCCCTCTGTCATGGCTTCCCTTTGCTAGGCAAGGGAATTCCCCAAACCCTTGTGCATCCCAGGTGAGGTGATGCCCCGCCCTGCTCCGTGGGCTGCACCCACTTGTCTGGCAAGCCCCAGTGAGATGAACCCGGTACCTCAGTTGGAAATGCAGAAATCACCCGTCTTCTATGTCATTCACTCTGGGAGCTGCAGACTGGAGCTCTTCCTATTCGGCCATCTTGGCACCACAAACAAAGCCTCCAAGAAATATGGGACTACGTGAAAAGACCAAATCTACGTCTGATTGGTGTACTTGAAAGTGACAGGGAGAATGGAGCCAAGTTGGAAAACACTCTGCAAGATATTATCCAGGAGAAATTCCCCAAGCTAGCAAGGCAGGCCAACATTCAAATTCAGGAAATACAGAGAATGCCATGAAGATGCTCCTCGAGAAGAACAACTGCAAGACACATAATTGTCAGATTCACCAAAGTTGAAATGAAGGAAAAAATGTCAAGGGCAACCAGAGAGAAAGGTCGGGTTACCCACAAAGGGAAGCCCATCAGACTAACAGTGGATCTCTCAGTAGAAACTCTACAAGCCAAAGACAGTGGGGGGTCAATATTCAACATTCTTAAAGAAAAGAATTTTCAACCCAGAATTTCATATCCAGCCAAACTAAGCTTCATAAGTGATGGAGAAATAAAATACTTTACAGAAAAACAAATGCTGAGAGATTTTGTTACCACCAGGCCTGCCTTACAAGAGCTCCTGAAGGAAGCACTAAACATGGAAAGGAACAACCGGTACCAGCCACTGCAAAAACATGCCAAATAAGACCATCGATACTAGGAAGAAATTGCATCAACTAATGAGCAAAATAACCAGCTAACATCATAATCACAGGATCAAATTCACACATAACAATATTAACCTTAAATGTAAATAGGCTAAATGCTCCAATTAAAAGACACAGACTGGCAAATTGGATAAAGAGTCAAGACCCATCAGTGTGCTGTATTCAGGAAACCCATCTCACAGACAGAGACACACATAGGCTCAAAATAAAGGGATGGAGGAAGATCTACCAAGCAAATGGAAAAAAAAAAAGAAGCAGGGGTTGCAATCCTAGTCTCTGATGAAACAGACTTTAAACCAACAAAGATCAAAAGAGACAAAGAAGGCCATTACATAATGGTAAAGGGATCAATTCAACAAGAAGAGCTAACTATCCTAAAAATATATGCACCTAATACAGGAGCACCCAGATTCATAAAACAAGTCCTTATAGACCTACAAAGAGACTTAGACTCCCACACAATAATAATGGGAGAGTTTAACACCCCACTGTCAACATTAGACAGATCAACGAGACAGAAAGTTAACAAGGATATCCAGGAATTGAACTCAGCTCTGCATCAAGCAGACCTAATAGACATCTACAGAACTCTCCACCCCAAATCAACAGAATATACATTCTTTTCAGCACCACATCACACTTATTCCAAAGTTGACCACACAGTTGAAAGTAAAGCACTCCTTAGCAAATGTAAAAGAACAGAAATTATAACAAACTGTCTCTCAGACCACAGTGCAATCAAACTAGAACTCAGGATTAAGAAACCCACTCAAAACTGCTCAACGACATGGAAACCGAACAACCTGCTCCTGAATGAATACTGGGTACATAATGAAATGAAGGCAGAAATAAAGATGTTTTGAAACCAATGAGGACAAGACACAACATACCAGAATCTCTGGGACACATTTAAAGCAGTATGTAGAAGGAAATTTATAGCACTGAATGCCCACAAGAGAAGGCAGGAAAGATCTAAAACTGAAACCGTAACATCACAATTAAAAGAACTAGAGAAGCAAGAGCAAACACATTCAAAAGCTAGCAGAAGGCAAGAAATAACTAAGATCAGAGCAGAACTGAAGGAGACGGAGACACAAAAAATCCTTCAAAAAATCAATGAATCCAGGAGCTGGTTTTTCGAAAAGATCAACAAAATTGATAGACCACTAGCAAGACTAATAAAGAAGAAAAGAGAGAAGAATCAAACAGATGCAATAAAAAATGATAAAGGGGATATCACCACCAATCCCACAGAAATACAAACTACCATCAGAGAATACTATTTTCACCTCTATGCAAATAAACTAGAAAATCTAGGAAAAATGGATAAATTCCTGGACACATACACCCTCCCAAGACTAAACCAGGAAGAAGTTGAATCCCTGAATAGACCAATAACAGGTTCTGAGATTAAGGAAATAATTAATAGCCTACCAACCAAAAAAAGTCCAGGACCAGATGGCTTCACAGCCTAATTCTACCAGGGGTACAGAGGGGAGCTGGTTCCATTTCTTCTGAAACTATTCCAATCAATAGAAAAAGAGGGAATCCTTCCTACCTCATTTTATGAGGCCAGCATCATCCTGATAACCAAAGCCTGGCAGAGACACAACAAAAAAAAAGAATTTTAGACCAATATCCCTCATGAACATCAATGCAAAAATCCTCAATAAAATACTGGCAAACCGAATCCAGCAGCACATCAAAAAGCTTATCCACCACGGTCAAGGGGGCTTCATCCCCGGGATGCAAGGCTGGTTCAACATATGCAAATCAATAAATGTAATCCAGCATATAAATAGAACCAATGACAAAAACCACACGATTATCTCAATAGATGCAGAAAAGGCCTTTGACAAAATTCAACAGCCCTTCATGCTAAAAACTCTCAATAAACTAGGTATTGATGGGACATATCTGAAAATAATAAGAGCTATTTATGACAAACTCACAGCCAATGTCATACTTAATGGGCAAAAACTGGAAGCATTGCCTTTGAAAACTGGCACAAGAGAGGGATGCCCTCTCTAACCACTCCTATTCAACATCTTGTTGGAAGTTCTGGCCAAGGCAATTAGGAAAGAGAAAGAAATAAACGGTATTCAATTAGGAAAAGAAGAAGTCAAATTGTCCCTGTTTGCAGATGACATGAATGTATATTTAGAAAACCCCATCATCTCAGCCTAAAATCTCCTTAAGCTGATAAGCAACTTCAGCAAAGTCTCAGGATACAAAATCAATGTGCAGAAATCACAAGCATTCATATACACCAATAACAGACAAACAGAGCCAAATCATGAGTGAACTCCCATTCACAATTGCTACTAAGAGAATAAAATACCTAGGAATCCAACTTACAAGGGAAATGAAGGACCTCTTCAAGGAGAGCTACAAAACACTGCTCAGTGAAATAAAAGAGGACATGAACAAATGGAAGAACATTCCATGCTTATGGATAGGAAGAATCAATATCACGAAAATGGCCATACTGCACAAGGTAATTTATAGATTCAATGCCATCCCCATCAAGCTACCAATGACTTTCTTCACAGAATTGGAAAAAACTATTTTAAAGTTCATATGGAACCAAAAAAGAGCCTGCATTGCCAAGACAGTCCTAAGCCAAAAGAACAACGCTGGAGGCATCACAGTACCTGACTTCAAACTATACTACAAGTCTACATTAACCAAAACAGCATGGTACTGGTACCAAAACAGAGATATAGACCAATGGAACAGAACTGAGCCCTCAGAAATAATACCACACATCTATAACCATCTGATCTTTGACAAATCTGACAAAAACAAGAAATGGGGAAAGGATTCCCTATTTAATAAATGGTGCTGGGAAAACTGGCTAGCCATATGTAGAAAGCTGAAACTGGATCCCTTCCTTACACCTTATACAAAAATCAATTTAAAATGGATTAAAGACTTACATGTTAGACCTAAAACCATAAAAACCCTAGAAGAAAACCTAGGCAATACCATTCAAGACATAGGCATGGGCAAGGACTACATGTCTAAAACACCAAAAGGAATGGCAACAAAAGCCAAAATTGACAAATGGGATCTAATTAAACTAAAGAGCTTCTGCACAGCAAAAGAAACCACCATCAGAGTGAACAGGCAACCTACAGAATGGGAGAAAATTTTTGCAATCTACTCATCTGACAAAGGGCTAATATCCAGAATCTACAATGAACTCAAACAAACTTACAAGAAAAAAACAAACAACCCCATCGAAAAGTGGGCAAAGGATATGAATGGACACTTCTCAAAAGAAGACATTTATGCAGCCAAAAAACACATGAAAAAATGCTCATCATCACTGGCCATCAGAGAAATGCAAATCAAAACCACAATGAGATACCATCTCACACCAGTAAGAATGGCAATCATTAAAAAGTCAGGAAACAACAGGTGCTGGAGAGGATGTGGAGAAATAGGAACACTTTTACACTGTTGGTGGGACTGTAAACTAGTTCAACCATTGTGGAAGTCAGTGTGGCAATTCCTCAGGGATCTAGAGCTAGAAACACCATTTGACCCAGCCATCCCATTACTGGGTATATACCCAAAGGATTATAAAACATGCTGCTATAAAGACACAAGCACACGTATGTTTATTGCGGCACTATTCACAATAGCAAAGACTTGGAACCAACCAAAATTTCTATCAGTGATAGACTGGATTAAGAAAATGCGGCACATATACACCATGGAATACTATGCAGCCATAAAAAAGGATGAGTATGTCCTTTATATGGACAGGGATGAAGCTGGAAATCATCATTCTGAGCAAACTATCGCAAGGACAGAAAACCAAACACCGCATGTTCTCACTCATAGGTGGGAATTGAACAATAAGAACACATGGACACAGGGTGGGGAACATCACACACTGGGGCCTGCCAGGGGGTTGGGGGAGCGGGAGCGATAGCATTAGGAGATATATCTAATGTAAATTACGAGTTAATGGTTGCAGCACACCAACATGGCACATGTATACATATGTAACAAACCTGCACGTTGTGCACATGTACCCTAGAACCTAAAGTAAAATTTAAAAAAAGTTTAAAAAAATAAAGTAACTCAAATTTATAAATTTATACACATCTCACACACACACAAATGCGCACACATAAGGCAATTCATTTAAGCCTTGATGGCTATATTTTCCCTTTTTTCTCTGTCAGTGTGGATGTGTAAAAACTACTTATATTACTATCCAGATTAAAATTTTATTTTCCCCTTTTACCTGTGTTAATCAAATTAGCTGGGTGAATAAAGTTCAAGTAATTGCTTTATTCCCAATAGAAAAAAGTGAAAAGGGGGTGAGGAGTGGGGATGTGGAGAGTGGGAAAGATTATATAAAATTATAGTTATGCTGTGTTTCTCACTGCTGGTCACAGCCAGAATTTTTCTAGAGAGAAGTATCACTTGTGAAGCTGGCCAGGTGGAAAATGACTAGTTTTATTAAAAATAGCAGTAACGAAAAAGCATCTACCTACTATCAAATATACTTTAATATGAGTATAAACTGTGAGCATGGCTCTGGTGCTCTAGCCATCTACAGGCTAGGAAGTGTGTCATGTTTTGTTCAAACAGACTAAGAGTTTAATCAAAGCAGACAGGTAGCACTAAGTATCAAAAGAAAAAAAAGTGGTCCCTCTTATCTCTCCAACTCATGCCTTTATTTTGGTAATGTGAAGATTACAGAAGGAAATTGAAGAGGTATACGGTGGTAGTCTAGTAAAGAAGGCTCTGACCAGAGGGAATCTTTGGCTCTGGGAAATTTTCCCCCACACAGCACAGGAAATATTCTGTAGCCCCAGCTGAGCCATCAGTCTGTGGGTCACACATAACATTCCTGTACCAGTCAGCAAATCTCCAGGAACTCTTGGGTGATAAAGAATGATTCCACTGATACGAAAAATCAAAATAGTCCCTAAAAATCTGAGATCTTTAAAGTTTTTTTATTGATAACTTCTTTTAAAACATAGAAATGAAGAGCCATATCTCAGGCTCTAGCTCCAGTATTTTGAATTCTATTATTCCTAACTTGATCTTTGCACACATCATAGCAAGTCCTAAATATTTTTGAATATTTTGAACCATGTTTGAGGTTCATTCTTTTTTATTTTTATTTTTATTTTTTTCTGAGACTGAGTTTTGCTCTGTTGCCCAGGTTGGAGTGCGGTAGTGAGATCTCGGCTCACTGCAACCTCTGTCTCCTGGGTTCAAGCGATTCTCCTGCCTCAGCCTCCTGAGTAGCTGGGACCACAGTTGCGTGCCACCATGCGTGGCTAATTTTTTGTCTTTTAGTAGAGACAGGGTTTCACCATGTTGGCCAGAATGGTCTTAATCTCCTGACCTCAAGTGATCCACCTGCCTCAGCCTCCCAAAATGCCGGGGTTACAGGCATGAGCCACCGTGCCTGTCTGAGGTTTATTCTTCACATTCATTCCACTGTGATCTTCATGATTCTATCCCTGAGGTCTTAGCCTCAATTTTGCTAAAGATCTAGGTCAAAGCTGACCTTTGTCTATGAAGCCATAATTTTCAATTAAGGTTTTACCTTTTTTTATTTTAGGAAATGCAAAAGATCTTTGCCAAATAGCAATTTCAGTTGATTGATTTTTATCCTCTGGGAACACTGTGATAAGAATACTTGTGAAGGTTCAATGTTGCAGACTGCTTTGATGAAGAAACGATATCTTTCATTCAGTAAGAGTAGTATGACACACATTTGCCAGCTTTATGTTGTACCTTCTCTTGAGCCTCTACTGAAATAATATGTTAGTATTATAGCTAATGAAAATGCATTCAGGCCTAGTTGCCAGTTTTTGAAGCATTGCTACATGGGGAAAAAAAGAAAACACTAACAAAAGCAACATAAATAAGTAGAGAGTTTGGGAGCAATGCAGCTTCTGCATTACTATTGAAAATTCTTTTCCCAAGGTAATTATTTTCCAAGACTCTCTTAAAAACATTTATTCAACTCCTTCTATTGCTAGGTCTCACCCTCCTTTCCATTCTTCACAAATCCTCCTGCCTTTGTCACTAAACAACCTGGTTGTCCGTACCTAATAACTTGTTGTTGACTAATAGTTTTATCTGATTTTTGTATAAATCAGCAGTCAAACAAGAACTAGAATGCCAGCTCGTTTAAGTAACGTCACTTCCCATATAATCACAGAGTCAACACAATTGAACCACAAGTATAAAGACACCTATCAGTGGTTAATCTAGTAAACATAGACAAAAATATTTTTGTCATTTCGTGTTATTCAGAATGGTCTCAACATTTGTCAACTAGCCAAGAGAAAGAAACATGAATACATTATATATTTACTCTGCTGTTCTCTTATGGTTGATGTTTATTTTTGAATATGTACTACCAGTGGTTGTTTACATGGTTAATTTCTTTTTAAAACATTTTCCCCACAAGCCTCAGTTGTAGCAAAGTGACAAATAAATGGACCTCCCCGCCAAGAGAATATGAAGAGGGCAAAAGATTGATGTATCAAAAAGCCAACTTAACAGATATTCAAAATGAAATCCTCAACAGAACTCTGCATAATACTCTCATACAGCCATCTGTCATTTTTTATAATACAAATGTGTCAATAAACATGTAAGTTTTTAATGATTTATATACATACACAATCATTGATTCACTTATTAAAATTTAATATTTTTATGTTTTTAGATTCATAATGTAAAAGACAGAATTTCTAATGTTTTTATCTTCAACACTCCACTTTGAAGACATCTACCTTAGTATAATCATTAATTATCCAAAATGTTTATTTTTAGAAAATAACATAAGTAATGGAAAAGTACACCAGATGATTCCTGTTGGGTAGTAGCACCTGTCTTAATGCAATTGTCTTCAGACATCCTCCACAAACCACAGTGCAACAAGGTGAACAAATAAAATCACAGAAGCTTAATGTAAACAGTATAACTTGGAAAGACAGATGATTGTATAAACATCAATTTACATATTAGTTAGGAAATAACTGTCTGAAACCATTAGAGACACTCCTGAACCTGTGCCAGAATGGATCAGCAGGGAACGTCTGTACAAAAATGAGGAGAAGGTAGTGGGAGCCTAGCACTGTTATATACAGGTAAAATCACCCTCAGAAAAAGTAACACCCTGGTTGAGAAATACTGAGAATGGTTGTCCTGACAGTTATAGAATGGGCATGACTAACCTCTGCTGGATAGAAAATCAATCAGTCTGGAGGTAAGGATTGCCTGAGAACAGTCATGAAAGAATTTTCTAGGGTAATGATAAAGTACTATATTCTGAATAGCTGGCTAAGTAACATAGTTGTATGCATTCATCAAAAATCATCAAATAGAACACTTGATGTCTGTACATTTTATTTTACATAAATTTTACCTTAAAATGCAAATGCATTGAACTCTACTTAATTAAAAGTAACCAGAAGTAGTTAGCGATGGCATGCACTGATTTCAGCAAGCAACCTGCTGGTAAATGAATCCACAAAAAAATGAAGAGGGAGAAGAAGAAAGAATAAGAAGGAAGAGGAGATGGAGAAGAAAAAGAAGGAGGCAAAACGAGGAGAAGGTGGTGGAAGAGGAGAAGGAGAGGAGTAGTAAGCTGGAGTAAAAGAGTGATTATGATTTTGTGATTAAGACAATATAGGAAAGCGTTAACTGAACAGTCAGGTTGTTGTATATGGATATTATGTGTAATTCTTTGAACTTTTTGTATATTTGAAATTTTTTCTAATAAATTCTTGAAAAAAGTTCAAGAAAGTTTTGCCTGTTACTCTATATTTGTCTGTTTAGAAACATATAAATGCTTACAATTATTAACCATGATGAGCGGTGAAAGTTTTCTACCTGAAACGTAGCTTCATGGGAAAAAAGCCTTGTGTATTAGTATGTATTAATTTTAAGAAATTGGGCTCAACTCTAAAAATTGTACCACTTTCTAAAAGGATCAGCAACTTTGCAATTTTCATTTCTTTTTTTTTATAATGATGATATTGTAAGAAGCCATTGATACACAAATTTATGCATTCATTTGTTTATTCACTTAATTAATATTTATTGAGACTGTTCCATGTGTTTTGCAAAGCACTAAGAACACAGTAGTAAACACTAAAGAGAGAATCCCTATCTCCTGAAGAATATGTCTCTAATGGAGAAGGGAGCAATCAGACATGTAAATATAATTAATAACTTAAGCATTCTGATAGCCAAAGGTCCCAGTGCTAAAGACATGTAACCATTCAAACAACAGTTTTATCCCTGTATCTGAGTATTTACTGAGAAAGAATGCATTTATGCAGCAAAAGAAATAGTTCAGCACTTGAGGGGCGGCTGATATTTTCAGGCCTTTGATGGCAGAAATTTAGATTAGTGAATCTTCTTGCTAAGAGTTCAGCTAACTTGTGTTGGAAGCAGCCCAGTCCCATAATTATGAGCCTGATTCTAAAGGACCCATTCTAGCACTTGCTAAGTTTAGCGCCCTTACCACATTATTAAAACTCTCTGTGCCTTGTTCCTAGGTTAAGGCTTTATAATAGTAGCCACTACATATGGCTATTTGTTTGTTTGTTTGTTTTTTGTTTTTTTGAGACAGAGCCTCACTCTGTCACTCAGGCTGAAGTGCAGTGGTGCTATCTTGGCTCACTGCAACCTCCGCCTCCTGGGCTCAAATGATCCTCGCACCTCGGCCCCTCAAGAAGCTGGGATTACAGGCATGTGCCACCACATCCGGCTAATTTTTTGTATTTTTTTTTTTTGTAGAGACAGAGTTTTGCCATGTTGCCAGACTGGTCTCGAACTCCTGGGCTCAAGTGATCCACCCACCTCAGGCTCCCAAAGTGCTAAGATTACAGGCATGAGCCACTGTGCCCAGCCCACATATGGCTATTAGACAAAAATTTTAAAAATAAAAAAAAAGACTGGATTCATGTGATGTGCTTAGAGCAGTCCCTGGTCCACAGTAAACATTCAATAAACATTGATTATTATTATGTGGTCACTGACTCTTTGATATGATTCTTGAACAATTTTCTTCAAATTTAATTGAGAAAGTTAAATATTGTCAGTAACCCAACAGGAAATATAATTTTACTCAGATGTAGAGACTTTCATGAAGGGCATCTTTAGAGGAGAGAAGAAGGGATGTTTAGGCACTCAGAGACTGACAATGGTAGGAAGCCTCAAGGAAGCCTAAGACTAGTGGAGCAAATGAAGGAAACAATATTGTATAAGAATCCCAGTGTGGGCTGGAGCCTTGGTGGTCGGATGCCTGGGCTGCAGATGCCGAGGATTCCTGCCAATGCCAGAAATTCAGAGTCCAAAGCAGGGAAAGAGCAGGGATGAAAACACATCCTATTGCCCTCCAGCACCTCCCGTTGGCTAAACCTAAAAAAGAACCCAGATGATGAGGTAGCTTGGAGATGCAGAGCAAGAAGAAAAAGATCAGAGCAAGAAAGAAAAAGATAGAAAGTGGATCTGAGGAAAATCAACATAGTAACCAGCTTCCTAGATCCAGATAACACCAACATCTCACAAATGGGTCACATGAAGAAATTTATCCTTTTGACTGCTATACTGAGCGCTCCAATAACAGCAAGAGAGTGATTTCTTAAGAAAAGGCAACCCTGGAAAATTCAGTGGTTGTGTTCATGTTTAGGGTTTGCTATGGTCTTGTTGCAAAGATACACACTTGAAGATTTATATAGAGTAGACTTGGCTTCACCTCTGCACCTGTTCATTCACTTTTTCTGTCAAAAATATATTTACTGGTAGTTTTCTACAAAATATTTTACAATTAACCCATTTTCAAAAATATTATAACAACATATTCAGAAATATAGTGAAAAGAGACTTTAAAATTTTTCAATCATACATTTTCAGCTATAATCTAAACATCTCAGTTAATCTTATTTTTACTACCTAGTATCTAAATAATCTTTTTAGGAACAGAAAAAACATGTCATTTTACTTCTGCTTCTATAAAACTATCTTTTGGGAATGGGAACCTGGTACTTAATCTCTCTCTCTTTCTCTCTCACACTTGCTCTCTGGCTTTCTTTTTTAATTCAAAAATAGGTTGAGGTTATCTATAGGTAAAGTCATCACCAAATTTTTTCCAATTACTGAAGCTTCAACAACTCCTAAGGCAAACTTGAAAGACCTTGAAAAAATTTCAAACATGCTTTCACTTGCTTATTTGATTTTGCTTTTCATTGTATTATACCTAGACAACACTTTCTATTTTTGTTTGCAAAAAGCTGGTAATTTTCTTCCATCATTTTCATTTTGTTTTTTAATGTGTCTGCAAGTGTCATGGTCTCACTGACTTATTACTTAAAGTTTATTCACAAAAGAGGCCTAGGTTTACTTCCATACTAATAACAAAAATTACTTTTTAATATTAGTATTTAAGTACAACCTGCAATTATTAAGTTAACTATATTTATTTGCCTGTGTCTGTGAAGAGAGGCATATCACTTTCTCCAGTGGAAGAATTATTGTCTAGATTCTTAGGGGAAAATCTCTTCTCCACTACTTGACTTTATATTATTTCAATTTTAAAAATTATTATTTTTATTGGTTTTAAATTTTATATTTCAAGTTTTATATTTGTATCCAAAAATATATGTTTCTTGTGGAAATACAGTTTTAAACTGATACATTTGAAAAAATATAAATGAAGAAAAACACTAAAGCCATACTCATGCACACACAAAGACTTTACCAACAATCACTTAATAAATTTTCAGTACTTTTATATTTCAGAAAGCCACATTTTCACTATAAATTCTTATAACTTACAACCCAATTTATATCTGTTTACTTCTTTGACTTTCCTTCTGGAAAGTATCATATAATTCTTAATTATCTACTCCCACTGCCTAGTACTTTTACTGATACAAAACAGGCACTAAATATATATTTTTGAAGGAGTCAATGCATAATTGAATAAATGAAAATAGAAAATCGAATGACCAATTTTAATTTTTCTATGGGCTATTGATACTCAAGGAGATAATTCTTTGGCATAACATTCAATTCTTAAAATGTCCAAACATTAAAACAATGTCCACACAGATCATATCTTAATGAAAATCTCAAAGAAAGTGAATTTGATCAAATAATTAGAATGATTTTTTAATTTGTTCATCAATTTCACTATAGCCAATTAATGTTTTCAAATATTTTATAACACTTGAAAAATTGTGTTCTATTAGGTAGTCATCCTATTAGCAGTGTTGCTTATATAACTCATTTCCTTAGGAGGTAAAATAAATTTATTAATAAAAAGAGAAAAAAACTTTAAGTGAAGCAGTTCAAATTGCCACAAATTGTGACTTACGTATGATATTGTTACAGAATCTTGCATAAACACTTTGGAAGTTAGCCACTGCATGACAAGGGCTACTCATTCCTTTATCTGAAACAAAAACTATGTTGTAAATGACTTCCAGAATTACAAGGAGGACCAAATGAGATAGCATTATTGAATAAGCTTTATAAAATAAAAACTTTATATGTATGAAGTACTTGTTATAATTGATAACAATTTTTATTATTTCACAAAAATGATTTGTTTTTTTGAACACATCTCCCTAAAATTCACTATATACTATTCCAAATTTAATGCAACCCCTCTGTAGCTTCAGTTATCTTTCATAATTCATAAAATACGTCTGTTTTCTTGCTCTTTCATATGCTTGGTGACATAAGAAGAAGCTATAATTTTAAACCAACCCCTAAAAGAGTTTAAACAATATCTCTATAAATTCTTAGTTCATTTTAAGTCTTGGTAAAAGATTTAAAAACCATACTCACATTTTACTTAAGAACTGGCTCAATGCACTCCAAAGTGCTAATATCGCTACTTTGATTTGGCACATTCGGTTTAATCCTTTCAGTGACAGAAAACAAATCATAATTAAAGAAGGGGTGGAAACGGTTCTTTCAGAAGACTATTTCTTGCATACAGACGAGTAATTAGAGTGACCTCAATGTGGTGGCTTTCCTTTGTTGCTCAGAGACAAATACCTTTGTGCAGCAAATAAACAAGCTCAGCTCAGCAAACCCTTGGTGTGAACTGTCTCCCTGGAAGCCAGGAGTCGTCTTTGGTGTCTTTGCAGTTAGATGAAAGGGAGCAGATTCTGCAGTGAAATCAAGAGTGTGGAAGTTTAAAGTTTGACTTTGTTGTTACCTTACCATGCAAAGTTAGCTCATTAGGAGTTTGCTCTTGCCAGAAATCCACAATCAAGATTCTACCATACTTCTTTTAAACAAATACACACAGAAAACACAGAATACTTTGTTTAGGAGAAAACAAGGTATAGTTGGTTTGAATTTAGAATGCCTCAATTTAAAAACTAAATGTTCTCATATTGAGAATTATGAGCAATTAGAACTCGGTTTTCTTTGACATTGATAGTGGATGATCAACGGTCAAGGACCATTTCAACTGGCATGAAGCCCAAACCTAAAGAATGTTTGGTGTAAAAAGCAAACAGACCAGTCTCTGGTCTGTTTGCCTTTTGTGAGGATGGACTACATAACACAGAATCCAAAATTTGATCATTAAAATAATAAAAGAATGCATTTATTTCGGAAATAATGGCAATACATATAATAAATGCGTAGATTTATTGGGAATTGTGGATATATAACAGGAATAATATTGTCTATTTAATATTTCTTTTTTAAAGGTACAAGAAAATGATGCCTGTATTATAATCACAGAATATCAGATATAAAACCTTGTTTTCTGTTAGAATTTCACAAAGTGAAAATTAATCTATTCATTCCTCCTATTCTTTGTTTTGTTTTGTTTTGTTGGGTTGTGGATTTTTTTTTTAACATGGTCTTGCTCTGTCACCCAGACTGGAGCGTGGTGGCATAATCATAGCTCACTGCAGCCTCAAACTCTTGGGCTCAAGCAATCCTCCTACATAACTAGGACTACAGGTGTGCACCACCATGTCAATCTATTTTTTGTTTGTTTGTTTTTTTGGTAGAGATAGGATCTCCCTTTGTTGTCCAGGCTGGTCTCAAACTCTTGGGCTCAAGCAATCTTCCCACTTTGGCTTCCCAAAGTGCTGGGATTACAAGTGTGGTCACAGTGCCTGGGCTCCTACTCTTGATTGTCTCTAAGAAAAGAAATTTCCAAACTCCACTCAGCAATCTATTTATTGGTATCAAAAAATAGGTTGTTTTTCCCAGCTATCTCTTATCTCCAGTAGCTTCCTTTACTTAAATCCTTTGCTGTGAGACTTTGCCACGCCTGCCAACACATAAAGTATATGCCCAGGTGCCGTTGACTTTGGGCTTGCCCATGTGGATTACTTAGACCAGTAGAATATGGTTGGAGGTGACAATGTATCAGCTTGGAGTGGAAGAGGTGTAGCATGTTTCTTATTCTATTTCTGCTATTCCACCCTCTGAGAGAAGAAAGGGCATGCCCTACATTGGGATTAGCTATTCATTCTGTGTCCTCAAAGACACGTAGAGAAACCCTAAACCTGGAAATGAGCCCAGCAGGACCCCATAGGCAGCAGTAGAGCCATGTAATGACCTGGGAGCAGCAGGTAGCGAAGCCTAGGTTTTGGAATGAAGCAGCCTTGTTTCATATCTAGGCTGTACTACTCAGTTACACCTTGAATGAGTTAGCTGACTTTTGCTTTCCAGTTTTTGTCATGGACATTCTCAGTTTGATAATGCATTACTCACAGGTTGTTATGAAATGTATGCATCTCTCTCTAGCCAGAGTGAGTCTCAGGGTAAATACTCAAAAATTATTACTTTCAGTCTTCCTTTGATAAATCCCTTACCCCTCTAAACCCAAACCAGCAACATGGCCCAAGCTAAGGTGAAAGTCAACCAAGTTAAAACCATCATCAACAGTGGTGCTGATAAACAGTAAAAATATTACTGAAAAGGGTTTGATGAGTCAAAGTCTGTGCCACTTATTGCCTTAGGAGTGCTGTGAGGCTAAATTGCCTTTGGGGTACACAACAATTTGCCATCAAAGTCAGATGTTACAGCTGAAAGAAACTTAAATGATGACTTAATCTTATCACTGCCTTTCATGAATAAGGGAAGTGAGGCCCAGAAAGTTGAATTGTCTTTCCCCAAACTAGTTAATAGCAAATCTGTCACTTAAACCAACAAAATGGTTTTATAGATGTACTGTCTGATATATTAAGAATATACTTCTTTCTGTTATTTTTTTCTAACAATAATGAAATGTCTATGTCCTAGAGCATAACTTCTTTCTTTTCTTAGAATAGCCCACAAATACCATTTTCTGTGAAAGAATTGAAACTCAAGAAAGGGGATATGTTTTCAGTAGGGAAACATATGAAGTATTGTTTGCATGTGAAATCTAACTGCACTCTTACTAAACAGGCTCAGTGTCAGGTAAGAGCACCCTTGCAACTAACACGAACTTTACATACTGTCATCTGCACATCCATTTTTGTTTTTATCTAAAGTGACAGATTCACAATTTAAATGCTGAAACTAATTTGCCCAGTTTTTAAAACACTAAGCTTTTAGGAACAAATGTAAATACTAAGACCAGAGCAGAAGTTCTCAAATTTGTTTCTTTTTAAAACTGTTTTAGTTTCTGGCCATGTGATGTTCAGTGAGACAAAAGCTCTTTCAACCACCTGCTCTCTTTGCCAACATCAAAAGAAACAAAAATATATCAACAGCATTAAATATAAAAGAGCATTTAATAAGACTCCATGTGGCAGCTAAAAAAGATGAAGAAAGTGAAAACAAAAGGGAAACTAAACTGAGTAATAAAAAACAAGAAAAAAGGAAAAATGTGAGGAGAGGAAAGAAAAAGGATAAATAAGAGAAAATAAGAGTGGAACCTGATTTATATTTTTGTAACACACAGACCTTCCACTCCTTCTGGCCATTGGCTCAGGCCTGAAATCAGTCTTAGCTTTAGGGCCCCCTAAAGTCCCAACCAACATCAAACTGATTCTCAAGAAGCAACTCATTGGCAACTTGCTTAGCTGTTGAAACTACTGGGACCATAAGAGGTTTGTGATGAAGACTCACTTGTGTGATGCTTTACCCACTCCATGCAGACCTGACTGTAAGACGCAGGAGACAGAGAAAGAAGTGGTTCCATCAAAGTGAGTACCTTCCATACCTGTCCTGCTGCTCTCCCCTAAAGTATTATTCTGCAAGGAGAAACCTAGAAATCCAGGGTCCCAGACCATCCCTGTTGTTCTCAGGGTTTTTTTCCGGATAAGGAAGTGGCCTGAGCACAGCCAGGCTGTCACTAACACTCCTTAAGCGAAGAACCATACACATAAACCCATCTTAGGCTATTACATCAAATATTACTCCTCTTGAAAAGAGGCAAACTTGTACATCAGATTACATTATGTAATGCTACAGGTTTTTTTTTTCCTTCTACTATGGGAAGAACAGTATGATGAATTCACGGAAAACCCCTGCACTTTCTGTCATGCAGCCATGAAGGAAGAGGGTAATAAGGCAACGGCACTCAAGCATCCTAGATCTGCCTGGGTGGCTGGTAGGCAGTGATTTTCCCCAGCTCTGTGAATCCCAGCAATCCATCAAGGAGAATTGCTGGAGAAAATGAGAGAGAAATGTCATAAACCTTGCTTTCATTTTATTCCAGTGGATGTGAGGATGTGTGCAGTTTAAGCAGATTATGCTTCCAAACTGGAGCTTGGTTTAGTGATTAAAAGATAAAACAATTCAATTTAAATCTTTACCTAAATTTATCGGCTCAGATTTTCTGAATTGTACTGTGAAGTATTGTCATAAAGTGGAAATGTTTGATTCAAAGGTAATAAAAGCTATTGATCTACCGTGAAGCAATATTAATATTAACACACTGCTTTTATGATTAATTTGGTGCTGCATAAAAGAAAAAAATCAGGACCTTTTAGTTTTGGTGACTAAAGGAACAGTAGACTTTTGAAAATATATTTGTATGTACAATAAGATGAACTCATTATAGAGACAGTATACAAAGGGTTAGCCATTAAAGTTGCATATTAAATGTCCAATCAGCAATTACTCAGTTAAATGAGAAGGCAAAACATGTATAGACTTTTGGCAACTCCATTTAAACATGGGACACAGGAATATACCTTTTTATGTGAGAACCAAAGAAGTGTTCATCTGGTCTAAAAAATCTGATGGGTTGTATCATCAAATACAAATGTCTGCTAAATCCCACTATGTCTTTCTTAAAAGAGGAGTGCTTTCTAGACTCCTCATCCCAAGAAAAGGATGGCAGGCATAGTTGAGAGGAACATGGTTCAGTCTGCCCTCAAGGTCTTCATCAGTAATCTCACATAGTGAACACTGAACAGTATGAAATAATACTACTTTCAGCACCAACCTGCATTTCTGTGCAAACTTTAGCAACTCAGAATAGATACATGATCTTAGGAGCTCTTATTCTTCTTTTCTTCATCTACATAAAAAGAAAGAATACATATATTTCAGAGGTATCACAGTCTGTCTTGTGTTACTATAAAGAAATGCCTGAGGCTGGGTAATTTGTAAAGAAAAGAAGTTTATAGGCTTCAGCAGACTATACAAGAAGCATTGTGCCAGAATCTGCTTCTGATGAGAGCCTCAGGGCTGCTTCCACTCAAAAGGGAGGTGAAGGAGAGCCTGTGTGTGCAAAGATCACATGATGAAAGAGGAAGCAAAAGAGAGGGGTGGTGCCAGGCTCTTTTTAACAACCATCTCTCACAGGAACTAATAGGGCAAGAATTCATTCACTGCCCAAGGAGAGCATTAGTCTACTCGCAAGGAATCCACTTCCATGACCCAAGCACATCCTATATCCTATTAGGCCCCACCTCCAACACTGGGGATTAGATTTTAACATGAGGTTTAGAGGCAGGAAACATCCAAACCACAGCAAGAGGATAGCTATAAGATGAAATACAAATACAAATGAAAGTACCTAGCACAATCATGATATATTGCTTCTCAATAGATGCTTTTTTTCTCTCTCTCTCTCTCTCTCTCTGTTCTTACTTGCCTATAAGTATCTCTGTGTGATTTGGTGGTTGTGAGGGACAGAGGAGAAGAAATCAGAAAAAAAATCTGAAAGAGTAGAAGGAGCTATTTAGAGAAAAAAAAAATTAGTTAAAAAGACTCTTTAGCCATCTCTCGACAACAAATAATATGCATCCCTGCCAACAAAACTATATTTTTAATCCCATTTGGATGCTTTCTTTAAGCAATAAAAAGTAGGTTTTCTAAAAATCCATGTATGTTTTTTTCCATTTATATAAGAAATGTACAGCAAGATTACTTTTACAGCTTGCAATGGCATGGGATTTTGTTTCTTTATTTGTTTTCTTTTTAACCATAGGAACTCTTAGAATATGACTACTAAATGTGCAGAGGTACTAAATCTGAAAAGTACAATCCTATAAGGGCATCATTTGCTCAGAGAATTGTGATAAGAACAATGTTTCTTAAAGTTATATATACATATGCATATATTTTAAAAATGTATATAAATATCTCTATATAGATATACACACATACATACACACTCCTTTCCCCAGTAAATATAATGATGTTCTGCCACAAATGCTTCTTTGGCAGTAAACGTGACTATTTCAGGCTATCTACTGACTATAAGTTGGTAATAATAGCTAATATTTATTGAGCATTTACTATTTGAAAGACACTATAATTAGGACCTAAAGTGCATTACCTAATTAAATCCTCACAATTCCCTTGAGAGACTTTCTAGAATTGTGACCATTTTATGGGAGAAGATATCAAAGTATGAAGTTTTTTTATAACTTGCTCAAACACATTCCCTTACAAATGGGCCTAAATCCAGGGATTTGAACCCATTTCTTACTAATTACAAAATTGAATCTCTAACCCTCTATACAACTTAAAGAACCAAACCTCATAGACTACCCATAAACGATAGTTTTAAATGGTAGTCACTTCGGGAAAAATAGATTGTTTACAGAAATTTTGCTCTATTCTTTAGAGAATTTCTCTTTTTATTAGAAAAAAGAATACACAGAGGAGAGAATTTTCTTTGAAATGAAAATTTAAGAAACTAGAAAATTAGATTTATATCATAGGCTCTGCCTTTCTACATATTTTTGTGAGAAATCAGCTATTTTTAGAGAGTCATAGAGTTTGATGGAGGAATTGGGGGTCTTGAAGGGAAATTGCTACCAGACTCAATGACAGATTAAGGACAACTATAAAGCTGTTATAGAGTGACTTAGATTTTCTAGAACTGAAGGATTTTATCAGTCAGGATACAATAGACTATGCTTTGTAATAAACAACCCTCAGATTATTGGTAGCTTCTAAGACAAAAGGTTTTATTTTATTTTTTTGAGATGGAGTCTTGCTCTGTCTCCCAGACTGGTGTGCAATGGCGTGATCTCGGCTCACTGCAGCCTCCGCTTCCTGGGTTCAAGCAATTCTTCTACCTCAGCTTCCCGAGTAGATGGGATTACAGGCGACTGCCACCACACCCAGCTAATTTTTATATTTTTAGTAGAGACGGGGTTTCACCATGTTGGCCAGGCCAGTCTCAAACTCCTGACTTCAGGCGATCCACCTGCCTCGGCCTCCCAGAGTGTTGGGATTACAGGCGTGAGCCACTGTGCCTGGTCCGTTTTGTTCTTTATCTCCTATGTTACATGTTCAGCAATGATCAGCTGGGGGCTAGGCTCCACATTTCTTCACACTGAGACCTAGACTGAAGAGCACCCCATCTCAGTCTATATCAGGACCATTGTTGTGGCAGAGGAAAAGAAATGAGACTCTAGAGAACAACACCAACAGTAAGTAAGTGCTCCATTCATAGATATGTCACTCACACATTCAACACTCATTGGCCAGAATTAGGCTTGTGGCTTTACTCAACCTCAAAGGATCCAGAAATTGAACCATTTCAAGTGTCTGATGGCCAGCGAGGTTCAGAGTAAGTTGAGGAGAATTTGTTGATGGAGTGCCCAAGGGCTGGGATGGAGAAATTTTATAATTACAAAGATTTTAAACTAACTCTGTGGGGAGAAGCTTATTTTTCCTAACAGCAGAAGTCCCCTTAGGATGATACCTGATTGTGTGAGATTCATACTTAGACAAACCATCTGGAACTGGTAGGACCACTGGTGCTCAGGGTGGTGTTGGTGGTGGGGCTGGGGGCAGAGAGAGAGATTATTGAGAGATTGAGAGAGAGAGAGAGAGAGAAGACACAGAGAAATATAAACAGCATTGAGGGGAAATCTAAGAACTGATGGCTGAAGAGGGACTTTAGAAAATATTAGAAATGTTTAAAGGGAATTTAAGATGCTTCTCTTTTCTTTGTCCTCCCCATCAGGTTCTTAGTTAAATTACTATGTTTGTCAATGCCTTGGGGAGTGGTGGTGCAATAATGAAGTGCTAAATTCTGCAGCCAGGTTGGTAATGCCAGGTCAATACCTGACCTCTCTTTATTCTCCATTTCCAAACTACAGAAGAGCATAGGCGCAGAACTTGGGCAGGAGAAACAGCTATAATAACTCAGTTTAGGAGAGTTTCCTCTAAGTCCATACAAATGAGTGAGGATATGAATGAGGGAGATTGTTTTTCCACATTTTCAACATGTTCATCCCCTTCTTGCTGAGACATGATTGTGAGCATTCCAGTGCCTACACAAGGTGCATGTATCTCATAGACTGTGCTGTGATTGCTATGGGTATCAAAATGTGCACTTCTGCTAATTCAGGTTTGAGGAACTCCATACTTCAACTTTGTAAGTAGAATTGCCATTTTGTTTTATATGCCTTAAATATATGCACTTCCTTCACTTATATTACCTCATTTAATATTAGACTCAACTCTACAATGTAGGTAACACCACAGATTTTCTACTCATTTTATATATTAGAAAATGAAGGACTAGGCCAGAGCTGTGGCTCATGCCTGTAATCCCAGCACTTTGGGAGCCCAAGGTGTGTGGATCACCTGAGCTCAAGAGTTCGAGACTAGCCTGAGCCATATGGTGAAACCCTGTCTCTACCAAAAAGAAAAAGAAAATTAGCTGGGGGAGGTGGTGTAGGCCTGTGGTCTTAGCTACTCGGGAGGCTACAAGGGAGCCTCCCTTAGCTACAAGGGAGGGACCCTTGACCCTGGGAAGCAGAGGTTGCAATAAGCAGAGATTGTGCCACTGCACTTGAGCCTGAGTGACAGAGT
The DNA here is from genome assembly GCF_000001405.40 of Homo sapiens. Classification (NCBI taxonomy): domain Eukaryota; kingdom Metazoa; phylum Chordata; class Mammalia; order Primates; family Hominidae; genus Homo; species Homo sapiens. The sequence goes on from NC_000008.11 coordinate 34,760,378, forward strand.
AAGACCCTGTCTCAAGAAGAAAGAAAGAAAGAGAGAGAGAGAGAGAGAAAGAAGAAAAGAAAGAAAGAAAGAAAGAAAGAAAGAAAGAAAGAAAGAAAGAAAGAAAGAAAGAAGCAAGCGAGAAAGAAAAGAAAAGGAAAAGCTAAAGAAAACACACAAATAACTCAGTGGCAGAGCCAGAATCTTATTGCTCAGATGTCTTCTAACACCCAGGCTGGAACTTAGATTTATTGTACCTCCCGCTTTGTCAGAAGCTAAACTCTGAGTTAGCCATGAAGCATGGAAATATTTACCTGTTGGGTTACATTTGACAAAATACACTTGACCTCCTCTGATTTTGCTCATATTTCCCCCTGCTCCCTTCTACCTCTAGCAGTATCTATCTGCTCTAGGGACAGTTCTTTCCAGGAGAGGAGAATGTTTTCACCACCTCCCTCCCAGACAGACCAGTGTATTTTCTGAAGTTACTCCAGAGAGAGATGAAGTGCTTTTCATGCTGAAGACTTTCATCTCTTCTGGGCAGTTTTCTTGAAGTTAGCTTTCTCCTTCCCTAGTGGCTTTTAAAGGTTTATTTCAAAACTCCTATCTTCTCATTTTTTATTTCCTTAGATCTTAGTCATTTTGGGGAGTTCTCGTGAAAGATTGACCGGTTTGTTGTTGTTGCTGTTGTTGTTGTTGTTATTGTTGTTTTAATGGGAGAAAATGTTAGTCTCTCTTTCCTCTTCCCTCACACCCTCTCCAACTCTATTATCAATCATTTATCCCTTCTTCCAGTGTATTAATTGACTCTTGGACTCGTAGAGTCTCTGGGCATGCCTACACTTTGACCTTGTAGTCACTGGAGGCCAGTGGTGTTCACTGGTTTCAGTCTTCCCATGTTCATCCCCATGCCCTGAAGGAAAAGTGCAATGAGCAAAAGCAAGCTACAGGAGGAAAGGCAGCTGCTACAAATGAGAGATTAGAAACTTTAGGTTTGCATCACTTTCTAAAGAGTCAAAGTTCCAAGTCAGAATAACCAATTATCTAGACTAGCTTATAGGCATATGCCTTCCAGAGAACAAGGGGGGCTCTTAGACCACTTAGACTTCCTTTTCAGAAGGAAACTTCCCACGGACAACTAGAATACGATACTGGGGTTAAGGCAAAAAGGCAAACATCCACTAAAATCCAGCACATTGGCTGCCACAAATAAAAATATACCCAATTTTTTACACTTATACTTCTGAAAATGTTTCCATACATAAAAATAAACAGTTCTCAAATGCAGTTGTTTTTCTATTACTAATAATGCCCCTTCCTTAAAGGGAGATGATCCAAAAATCTCACCACTCAATGTATGTAGCTACATGTCCAGAATCTCTAGATGTCCATTTCTCTACTAATTTTGCTATTACCTCATCAATATTCAGCAATCTTGACTGCATATGAAAGTTAAATATGACCAACAAGTCCTCTTTTCAATAGTAAGAAAAATGAAGAGGAAAAAGGGAGAGAGAGCTTTATAAAACTACATAAATATATGGTACTGCATGGAGGAGAAACAATAGCAATAAATAATGTTAACAATAGCTTTTCTAGTTAGTAAGTAGTATTTCTTATGCACTTAATTTTGTACTTGTTTCTATGTTACATCATGTTGTACTACTAGTAATTTTAGAAGGTAGATGCCATTGTTATCCACATTTTCAGAGGAACAGAACTGAGGCACAGAGAGGTTAAAAGCCCACAGAGTTAGTAAGTCAGTGTGCAATCCACACAGCTGACCTCGAGAGCCCGCCGACACCTGCCACATGCTGTCACTTCCCCTGTGCTTTTCAGTCCACCGTGTGATTACAGCCCTCAATTCTGCAGCTGTCCCCAAGGCAATTGAAGTGGATGACATCTGTGATATTCCTTCTTTACTATGCTTCAGTTAGCATCTCGGATAACCTGGTTTCTCTACCCAGTGGAGAGGCGCAAACTTTTATTACTGAAGGAATCAGAACCTTGGACTTATGGCCAGGGTTCTCGTTTGAAGTTGCATTCAGATCCCAAGGACTTCTACTTGTGCATGTAACAATGATAAGTGTTGCTGGTGATCACTTAGTGCAATTCATGCTTTTTTGTTTTTTCCCACCTTCATTGGATGATAACAACACTATTTTCTCTTCTTAGTCTGACCGGATCTACACAACCCATAATGGAACTCTTTCCTTGCCCTTTCATCGAGTTGCACAAGCAAACTTAAATTGAAGAGCAGAATCCTATTTCATTGGAGAATGGATGTGTTCACCAATGATAGAATTCCTCCACTGGGCTCTAAAGCCTAAAGTCACTGAAATGGGAAGCAAATGTTTTGCTGTTGTAGGTGTGTTTTGTGTGAGGAATTTCACTCAATTCCTGTGTTTTTATGCCTGAACCCGTATGGGGAAAATAGCAGTGTGTATTGATAGCATGATCAGATATTGGGCCACATGCTAAAGGCAACACTACAAACTCCTGGGTCTTGTCTTGCAGCGGTGCTGTAACCATGTCTTTAATAAGCTCTTCCACCACTGTCTAAGACCAGCTGCTTCTGAGAGATAAAAGGTTAAGATCTGTGAATCTCATAGGCACCCATTCATTCTCTAGCTTCCTTCACTATAAATTAAATCGATTTGTAGGACTGTATGTAATTTGAGATTCCATTGTCACCCAGAAAGTTTCTCTCATATGATAGTGCTAGAAGATAAATGATAAAAAAAAAAAAAAGCAAACCCAGATCTAGAATCAATTTCTATTTTGTGAGGACAATTCATGGTGCCCGCTCTGTGGTGAAAGAAGTCAATTTAACAACACCTCCACCAGGGAACTAACTGTTACCTGGAAGTTCTGGTACCACAAAAAGGCACAAGCTTGGTTTCACTGGTAGCACATTAGGGATTCAGAGTCAGGTCAGCATCGACAAGGAAAAGCACATCTATCGCCTCCAATCCTGCCTCAAGTCTGACCTTCAATGGACATTTTATTCAAAGTGACCACAAGTATATTGCATAAACTGTTTTGCTACAGCATGACTATGTCTTCAAGGGACCCATCGTGAATTATGATTTGGGTGAGAACTTCCCAGTGACTCTGGAGAACTTATCCAACAGTTGGAAAACTCCGATTATCAAAAATAAATGAATCAATAGTCAGATTTATTGCAGTGATTCCTACTACTGCATTAATCAAATATAATGGGATGCTTAATTGATTGAAAATCATAGATACCTTTTAAAATATAAAAAAGATAATATGGGACAGTTAAAATATGTGGAATCATATTAATTGTAGTTAAAGCTATGTTTACAGTCTTAACTAAAAGGTTTACATCTTTAAATTACTTTTCTTCATACTATCGGGCAATACAATTTGCAGAAAAATTAAAGAAAATTACTTCACTTTTTGAAAGAAAAGAAAATTATAGAATGAATAATAAAGTTATTTCCCCTATACAAATATGACCCCCCTGAGAGTGTTGCAAGCTTTTTTCACATTTAATCTTCAGTATTATTTGGTAATTATTCAGCAAAATTGCCTATTCTTACTTACTAAACTCTATTAAATAGTTAGTAAAAAATTTAAACAATGATTTCAAATTGTTATTTATTTCAATAATATTCTCTCTAATCCTGACCTATGGGTAATTAAGCATTCCATTTCAGTGGCACCACATGTCAAACACTACTGCCCTTCTATTCTAAACTTGTGTGCATGCACAGGCCCATTAATGTGATTTGTATTCTTATTTGCATACTTTATTGTGGTAATATTCTGAGTTGAGAGTTTTTTGGAAAGTCCCGGTTACATAGGCCAGACATTGCCATCTGTTATTCTCATGCTGGAATCACCCAATCCCAATCATATTTTGTTTTGGCAATGGTCATATTTTTGGTGCCACAAAAAAAAAGCGGGGGTGGGGAGGGAAGGAAGGATTCTGGAGGGAGGGGAGAAAGACTTGCTTACTTTAATAGCTACTCTCATTGATACATTTCAGATTGAAACTCCTTGCCTCCTCACTGGACACTTAAAGATAATGGATCTCTAGTTTCTTACATCATCAAATGAGTAAGGGGCTATTTTAAAAAATAACACATGTGTGCCTGGTTTATCTTTTAACTTAGTATATATTTAATTTGGAAGGGTTTATGAAACATAAGAAAATAAGCAATAATAACAAAATCTGTCTAATCCCACACTTAGAATATCTAACTTCAAATGTGCAATCTTCTGCTTAATTATTGGGTGATTAGGGAAGATCTCACTATTAATTTACCCATCTTTACAATTAAAAAAAATCTTAAATTTGCTGTGAAGATTAAATGAGATGATAAACCTCAAATAACACAAAAGTGGATACACACACATAGTAGGAACTAATTAAATGTTACTTCACATTTAAATTCATTGACAGCCTAGGCAGGATGCTCTAAATGAATTGCTCTGAAATTGGTGACAACAACTTCAGAAGGAAATCTTCTTAAATGATTGAGAAGCAATCTTATACTTGTTTTATAGCTTGAGTAATAGCATAAGAGAAACAACAATAAAACTAAGTGGTTGATGTGAAAGTCTTCTGAGTTTCCATGAAAACAAACAGTAAGACTGAATGTGAAGAGGTATCTTTGTGATAAATTCCATTATTTAATTTTTTTGAACTTTCAAAGTGATATTGAGTTGTTATATAGACTTTGTCTCAGGGATGCTTTAATTACTCATGGAAAGTCAACAGCATTTATAAATTAGAAACTTTAGGCAGTGATGTAGGTACACAGTTTTGTTTGTTTGTTTGTTTGTTTGTTTCTAATTCCTTAGGCCCCAATGCAGAGTACCTGAGGAATTACTAGCAGTGAATACATTTCTCACAAGGCAGAGAAGGGAAAGAGATAAGCAGCTCCTAAAACCCTGCTGCTTACCCAAAACTGTGATTTCGAGATCTGGTTCATCTATTTATCCACTTGGTGGGTGGCATTTTATGATAACGCAAGGATGAGAAAAATATTTTGCCTTTCTATTATCAGATGCTGCAGATTGATGCCAATCTCAGAAACACAGAAATCAATTGCAATGGGAAGCAGGATCATGTTAAGCAAAGATTTGTCCCTTAGGGAAAGAAGCCCCATTGATTTCAGGAGATGTTAAAAACCTTTTAAGACTTGAACAAATAGTAAATAATCTATATTAATTTAGATAAAAGGAAATATTTGATTTTATATTTGATTTCAAGGAATGACACCTAATTTAGGAGTTTTACTCCATCATAATGTCATTCCTTAAACTTGACCTTGAAAAGAAGAAAGCTGGCAATTTTAATCTCCTGCTTGTATTCCACTTTTTGAAGTTTTAGCATTTTATTTTCTAAGTTCAATTACTTAACATGTTAAAAAGAGAAGATGAATATCATTATTTTAATTTTTTATATTTGGATACTATATTTCTTTTAAAAATGGGAGTTGGTGGGGAAGGTTGGAACGGGGTGAGCGATAAGAAACTACATATTGGGTACAGTGCACACTCCTCAGGTGACAGGTACAACAAAATCTCAGAAATCACCACTAAAAAACTTACCCATGTAACCAAACACGACTTGTACCCCAAAATCTATTGAAATAAAAATTGGAAATTAAAAAAATCGACCAAAAGACTTAAGTGCAGACCCTGAATCTAAGAAATCGTAAAAGCAAAGAAAAAAGCACCAGAAGAGAAGAGTTCATTCACATCACTGAATAGATATTGCCAGGATGTGATTTGGTCACTGTTATAATAATTCTGGAAGAGTGGACATTTTGTGAGCTTAAAGGGCTTGAAGAATGCCCGATGAGGAAATCATTTTACTCAATTACATTTTTAAAAAAATAACCATAGTCAGTAAATGTGTCTATAGACATAAGGCAGCACGAGACCAGCCTGGCCAACATGGTTGAAACCCTGTGTCTACTAAAAATACAGAATTAGCCGGGCATGGTGGCACATGCCTGTAATCCCAGCTCCTTGGGAGGCTGAGGCAGGAGAATTGCTTGAACCCGGGAGGTGGAGGTTGCAGTGAGCCGAGATCACACCACACTGCACTCCAGCCTGGGTGACAGAGCAAGATTCAGTCTCAAAAAAAAAAAAAAAAAAAATTATTCTCCTTCACCTCAAAATATTCTCACATGTGCACTTCCATATACACATATAGATGCTTTATTTATTTATTTATTTATTTATTTATTTATTTATTTATTTTTTGAGATAGAGTTTTGGTATTTAGCTCAGGCTAGAGTGTAGTGGCATGATCTCCGCTCACTGCAGCCTCCGCCTCCTCGGTTCAAGCGATTCTCTTGCCTCAGCCTCCCAAGTAGCTGGGATTACAGGTGCCCACCACCATGCAGGGCTAATTTTTTGTATTTTTAGTAGAGATGGGGTTTTGGCATGTTAGCTGGGCCGGTCTCGGACTCCTGATCTCAGGTGATCCACCCACCTAGGCCTCCCAAAGTGCCGGATTACAGGTGTGAGCCACCATGCCCCGCCGATGTATGCATTTTGTGCTCCACAAAAGCCTGCCTCCTCTCCTTCAACAGGGAACTGGCCCTGGGGATGAGTCAGGTAGGATGAGAATCAGAGACAGTGAGGATACAGCTCTGCTAATCAACATGACTTTTGCTTGGTTTCCATCTTTAGTATGGCAGCAGACACCAAGTAGGAACCCAGACTAAATATGAGGGGTGTGGGCTATTGGTAATTAGTTCCATTATTTTCATGTAAAGAAAATAGGCCTGACACATATAGGCCTAAGTCCCAAATAAACCTTCTCAAAATTTTGATATCTATTTTGACTGCCTAGAAATTATATGTATTTTTTTAGGAAAATAACTTTGAACTCTTAGAATAAATGTATTGAATGCTTTTTAATCATAAACTGAGCTAGCTGTAGAGTGAGCATATAGTTAGGATTGGTTTCTAGGAAATAGACTAGCAGTTTAACTGCAGCCTAGGCTGCCTGGAGTAGCCAACAAAAAACTACCTGTGTGAATGTTTTCCACTATACGGCTGTCACAGTGGACTCAGGATACTGCTAATACTGAGCAGCAGCAAGCTTTTAGCTTCCCCTTTCCAGTTTACATGTAAGTGTTGTAACCTCTCCTGTAGCTGTAGGTTAACATATATTACAGCAATATGCACACAGTCCTAACTGAGGCTGCTAGCATTTTGGGCCCTTGTTTCTAAGCCACAAGGACCCCAGTAAAAAATGTATGAATTTTTGTAGTTTATATTTTTAGTACATTGCTAATAGAAAAAAACTCCACCATATAATATGTTCTAAAATTTAAAAAATATGTATATGCCTTGAAGCATTTCTATGATTAAATAGAAAAGTGTAGATTGGGTATGCATGATAAAATGGTAAAGTTTGAAGGTTAGAACAAAGGCCACTTATCAAATATCAACAAAGCACATTAAATTATTCTGTGGGAAATGAGCTGAGTTTCCAGAATAAGAGAGAGAAAACAGTCCATTAAGTTCTTAATACAAGTCTTTAAATTGGTGTAATTGAATTCTCATTGACTACAAGAATGATATTTCTATCAGCCTGTGCAATAAGAAGAGTAAACGAGAAAGCAGGGATGTTTTTCCTTTGGTGTAAATAACAGTAGATGACATGAGAATTTATAAGCCATTCTTAATCAGCTGAATGAACCTACTTTATGGTCAAATATGGCTGTACAAATACAATTCTGGGCTTTAAGTGGTAAAATTATTGTTCCAATTCAATTGATAATGGGAAAAGCTATTAGTGTGGAACATTAGCCAACTAGTTGAAAATTGCATTGCTTATCTTATGAGATTTTTGCAGTAGAAATCACAGTAGTTAAAAGGAAGTGGAATTTTCCAGGGAAGATAGAGCTTTGAAAGAAAACAAAAAGAAGGAAGCAAAGAAAAAGTCAACAAATTATAATTAGATAAATACTAGCTCAAGAGTGAAGACACCTATATTTTCCCCAGATTTTGCTAACTCTGGCTGGGATTCCCTTCTCATCTTTAAAAAATTTGAAATTATGCCACGTGATCTCTAAAATTTCTCCCAGCAGGTCAAAACACTTAACCCTTATTAATAGATAAGAAATAAATTTCACATAAACGTTACCATCTCAAACGTTACCTTCTGGAAAACCTGCACGATATTTTATTAATTCATCTGTTTGTTTGTTTTGTCTTTAGGTTTCTGTTTATCTTATGATTTGTTATTTTGTGTGTAAAGAAAGTCATGCGTTCCTAATGGTATATTTAAAGACAAGTTTGAAAAGGAAATCCAAATTGTGAATAGAATAATGGGGAACTGGAGGAACATAAGACACTGAATAAACACTTATGCTAAAGGCTGTTGCTACTATTATATTATTGTTGAAAGCCATATTACACCGACAGCATTGTTAAATATCATACATATTGCTTCAAGTTATATAATTAGAATAGGCTCAAAGTAAAAAAAAAAAAAATAGTTTAGGGTATAGGAAGAAATTTTAAAAAAGAAAAAAAGGAAGAGGAAGAGAAAGATAAGAAAAGAAAAGGAAAGAAGAGGCAAAGAAGTGAGCTACTTGTTACAAATTCCAGTGAGCACCATGTGTACCAACAAAAATATGAACTGTGTCTCTAGCATTTTGCAATGAGGAGGCCCTGGACCAAAATCTCTCTTTTCAGAGCCACTATTAACTCCTAATAGAACTCAGAGAATCGCTTCCTTTGTGGTCTCCTCACCGTTACACCTAACTCTCTCCTTCCTTCATCCATTCTCCAAGAGGAATTTAGAATTTTCCTAAAATAAAAGAATGATCAAGTTGTTCTTTTGCTTAAAGCCCTTAGCCGACTTTCCATTGTACTTGGAAAAAAATCCCAAGATCTCAATCTGTTGTCCAAGGCCCTGTATGATCTAAATCATGCCTGTTTCTTTAGTCTCATCTTGTTCCATTTTCCCTGGCTCAACAGATTCTAGACACATTGGCCTTAAAGTTTTGAAACACAACCAGACTTTGCCCTAGTCAGGGACACAGTGTTCTGTTGGTCTGCAATGCTCCCACTTACTTCCCCATTTTCTACCAGCATCAGCCTTTGATCTCTATTTCTACATTACTTTCTCACAAACCTTTCTCCCCCCTTCTCCTCTCTGCCCTATATCCTGTATGGCATACTAAATTAATTATCCTAGTATGCATGTTGATTTTTTCCACATCACTTTTCTCAATTTGTACTTATTTGTGGCATTCATTGTTTCATTCTTATTTCACTCACTAGCAAATAAACTTTATATCTATTTCAGCCAGCTATTAATCCTATTAATTCAGAGGAGTGTCTAACACATAGGCACTCAGCTTATTTGCTGAATAAATTAATGGGAACTATCCTCAAGTTACAGGGAAAGTGAAATGTGGAATTGTTCAGATTTTCTTATTAGGTCTGAAACCTCTGATTATTAGAACTCTGCAGAAGAGAAGACTGGGGAATGGATGGTGTGACATAAAACCTTTGTGTAATAACAGGGTTGCAGGAGGATTGCCCCATAAGGGATTAACTTGTTGAATTCACAGAATACAGAAAGGCTTTCTCTGATTATGTGCTTATAAGGTAGTAAACACTATACAATGAATGTGCTTCTGGGTTAGAAAAGAAAGCAGGTCTCCTTGATCCAAAATCAAACAAAATAGAAAACTAAAAAGATGGAGGAAAACGTCAAGAAAAAAATGATGCTAAACGAAGAGAGCTTAACTAAGTTAAAGCAAGAAACTGCAGGAGACAGTACTAAGTGAAGAATGAGGAAATAGAAAATGGAATTATCACATCGGGAACTAAATGTGAGTTGAATTCATATGAATTCATTGAATGGTACATGCCATAATAGTTGGAGTCTTCAAAGGAAGGAAACTCTTCAGAGGAATTCCTTGAAAGGACAGCAGGGTGTAGCAAAAACAAAAAAAACACTAGATTCAGAGGCAGGGCAGCTGCCTCTGTTTTTAGATCTGCCTTTGATTTGACATGTAACTTTGGTAGAGTGTGACATCACATGCTTATAGATAAAATGAGAAAATATAAATGAATCTGAGTTTGAGATTCCATTTCTGGCATTTCTAGCTCGAATACCCAGAAAAAAACAAGTAAGTCAAAACAGATTTCAAGACAAAAGCCAGTCTATTCTGGATAAATATGAAGATCTCAGCCACTAAACTTCAGGGTGAAAAGCAAAGCCCAGACTCGCTTGCTCACCTGTGATGCTCTCTACTTATTGACGTATCACATCACTACTCTGACAAATCAAATGTGTGAAGCCTGATGAAACGTTTGTGGTGCTAATAAAAATCTGTGTGTTCAAATACATTTCTAACTTTCTAGAGGGCTATATTATTTTTATTATTGCTGTTAAGAATTTCTATGGAGTCTGACTTAGCAGCTGGCTGAGGATGGCTTTTACTACCCATCACAGCGATTCTAGGATGCAGCCTGAGGTGGTTATCTATATTTTACATTTTACTAGGGTGTCTTGCTTTGCCAAAATTAATACTGCTACTTTCAAGTGAATGGAGGTTGTGCCAGAGGGATAGGATTATTGGACCTTTACAGTGACTTTGAGTTGGTAAGAAGATCACATCTTGAATTTTTACCTTTCTTTCAATTCATACTGCTTAGCTCACAACCATAACATCCTCTGCCCAGATTATTTTAACAGTCTTCGAACTATTCTTCTAGCCTTTAGTTTGTTCTCCCGCCAAATCCAGCAGGCCATTTTCTACCCCCAGTATATGTTGTTAATGATGTACTTGTATCCCTCTTTTGCTTAAGAATCCTTGAGGATGAAGTTCATATTCTTTTGCATGACATGGACAGACCTTCACAATCATGCCAGTCTCTTTTCCAGCCACTTCCCAACAAACCAGATTATTCTTTTCTCTCCTATGTGCCATTTTATATCTCTTCACCTTTGCTCATGTGTTTTGTTTATCCTGATTCATGTTTCTATCTTGTAAACTCTGACTTATCTTTCAAGCTCCAACTCAGCCATACCTTCCTCTCTATAACCTTCCCTGATATTATATATTCCATTGCCCCCATACCAGAATGAGTTGTCTTTTTTTTTCTCTGCTCCCAAAATACTCTATATATACTTCTCTGACAGTTTTTAGCATTTTATGTGGTTTACTGTAATTGAAAGTGTGTTTCTAGAAGGCATATATGTTTGAACCCCTGGAATAGTATATAGTGTCATACAAGCAAGTATGTAACAGATGGTGATTGAGTTACTCTGAACCCAACTGAATTAAATTGAACTTAAAAGTAAGACATAGTCATTACTTCTGAGTATAAAAGATTGGGAGACCTTTTAAAGTCTGAAGTATGATGGCAATGTGCCCCTTTGAGTTTGTGGAGGAATGGAGTTTATGCCTTTTCTCCAGAGCAGATATTCTCTCTTCAGAAGCCAACTTGGTGGCAAAGAGCAGAAGAGCTGCTTCCTCTTCAAAGTGGACATAATCTGGATCCACCAGAAGAAGCTGGATTGATAAGATGACAAGAAGATCTATGACTAGAGCAAGATGTTTTCTGACACTGTTATTTTTCCAACATACCACTCAGTAAAAGTCCATGGCTTAGAAAATCCTACAGGTAAAATTATCTGTGTTGGAATTTTTACAACCTGGAAAAAATAAAGGAAATTAACAAAAATAAAGAGCATACAAACACAAGTATAGACAAGTGAGTATGAGAACCAGTGTCTAATTGCCAACTGTGCTTTACTAAGGACTATCCTTCATTGTGGGAATAAATCCTTTCTGATTTCTTCCTGTTGATTTTTCCTAGTTTAGAAGAAACGATGACAACAATAGTTGTATGTTTATTCTTTGATTGATATATCTTTGTTCATTGATTTCTTTTTTTGTTGTTGTTAGTTTGGATTTCTATTTTTAAGGTTCTTACTTGAACAAATTAAAGTTTAGCAGCACTCCAGTAGAACTTAAAAGGATGTTTGAAATTCAACTGATCCAAAAAAAAGCCAGTCTGGGAACAAGAAAGTGCCCAAGAACACAAAGTAAAACTGTTGATAGGTACTGGGAGAACGATAGATTGAGAGGCCAGAGGCCAGAGTTTAAGTCCTGATTCTGTCACTACTTGAATATATGAATGCCTGAAAACTACTTTGTGTAACTATGGAAACCCAAGCTTCTGCATTTATAAATGAGGTTAGTGTAGCAGGCCTTTGGTTTTGGAGATCTGTTATGAAGTTTCTGGGTGTCACATAGTTACTGCTAGAGCCACAAAAAGAGAGAGGGAGATCTGTTATGAAGTTTCTGGGTGTCACATAGTTACTGCTAGAGCCACAAAAAGAGAGAGGTGACCATAAGTGGAGAGAGTGTTTCTCCACTGACCTCTCTTCATAGTGTCTCATTCATATCTTTTACTTACTGAGTTTCCATAAGATTTCTTTAAAAAAAAAAAAAAAACTGTGTTGTTGACATCTCCACATAGACGTCTAATAGATCATCAAAGTCCAAATCAGAGCTTTCAACTTTATCCCCAATCTGCTGTATCCATAGCCTACTGTGCCTCTGCTGATACTAACGCCATCCATCTAATTGCTCAAACATGAAATCTGACCAGTCATTCTGATTCTTCTCTTTTTCCCACAACCCACATCGCATTTTTCTTTATATCATGTTGGCTATATCTTCAAAATCCATTTGGAATCATACCACGTCTCACCCTCTCCTTGGAGGCTGCCTCCATAGTCCCTAAAATAGATTCTATGAATACCCTCGTCTCTCTAATTTTATCTTTAAGCCCAACAGTCTATTATCCACATAGCAGCCAGATACCTACCTGTAAAACTTAAGTCAAATGATGTCATTTCTTTGGTCACAGCTCTCCAGTGGTTACCTCATCTAACTCAGAATAAAAGATAAAGTCAACACTATGAGATAAAAAAATCCTAGAGATCTGTGCTGCAGGTGGGCTGGGGCACTGCCCCACTGGCTTCTTCTTCCACTTATCTGTCTTCATCATCCACCTCCTGCCACACTCGCCTCCTGGCTGTTCTTTCAGCAAGCTGGACTTCCTCCTGCCTTGGGGACTTTCCATGGCCTTGGATGCTCTCCTATGCTCACGATTAAAATAACTAACTTCTCAACCTCTTTAAAGTCTTTCCTAACATTTTTTTTGTTAACATTTCATTTTTTCAATGCATCCTGCCTTGGCCACTTTATTTAAAGTTCAATCCATCACCTCCTCCAGCTGGTCCTATTCCTCTTATCCTATACCACTTTTTTTTCTTTACCCACCACTCATTTTAATTTCCTACATTTTACTTATTGGCTCTTACTTATTACCCACATATATTTGCTAGAATATAAGCAACATGATGGAGGGCTTCTTTGCCTACTTTTCCTCATTTTTACATCTTAAATATCTAAAACAATGCTTCCAACTAACCAGGTGTTCAATTCATATTTACGAAATGTTAAAAAATCAAGAAGGAATTTGATAACTTAAAAAAAAAAAAAGACTGCGAGACCATATGATCACCAGGATTTCTCCTAGCTCCTCTAAAATACTCTTCTTCTACCAGTCAATAAATAAAATTGATTCTGTGGTTTCCCAGGCATACTATCTTGACTGTGAAGCCTATCTGCTTCTAGGAACTTTAATAAGAAAGCAAGTTTTTTTATGTTTTGGTTGGCCAAACTCATACATTGCTCAAACCATCTTGCACATCACTGGTACTTGATATATTCTCTCAGCTCCCCATGTCCTTGTCAACATCACTCGCAGAGTGATTTTTAAACTCCCTTAGATTTCTCTCTTTTTTATGACTTCTGTGAGGTTCAGACACTGGGAGATATTATTTAGAATTTACACTGCTACCATACTCAGACTGGCTAGCCAACTAGTGACCAAAGAAGAGAGATGATTCAGCAAACACGATTCTTCATCTAGAAGTTTGTCTCCAGCCTGGGTCTTCTGAAAATGATTGCAGCTGAGGCTCGAACAGGCTATAATGACTTCAAAGGAAGCTTTGGAGATGGGAAGCTCTCTCACTGACCTGATCCAGAAGGGACCTTTCTTCAAGGGAAATACGTTTTCTGCTTAGTTTGCACAGGATATTTCTGTTTTACCTCCTTAGATTATTAAATCCGTACCTAGGAAACACGTCTAAGTGCTTTCAGTAAAGACAAATGGTTTGCCAAGGATGCTAAGGAAGCAAGATGTTTAGATATGTGCTCTTCTGTTCCCCCCTCTCATAAATGTGTTCTGCACTCATTCCAACAGTTGACTTTCTTATGTGAGTTCTCCTTTTTGTTTTGCTTAAATGAGCTGTTAGAGATAATTTTCACAATTCCTTTCTGGATAAGAAAATGTGTGATATAATTAGAAAAAAAGATAGGTAAAACAATGTAGTTTTGTGGAAAAAAAATGAAATTGTTTTTGTCTCTGTTTGCCATTATCTATCTTTTTTGTCTTTTTCTTCCTTTTAATTTTTTAAATGACTTTAAATTTTTGTTGCATCCTCCTTTTCTCGGAATTTTTATCACACTATAGAGGAAAAGATTTGGAATAAGAAAAGTGAGCTTAAAGTATCTCAAGCTATTTCTTTAATTTATTGAGTGATTATGTCAGTCAACTTAAATCAGTAGTACATTTCTTATCTTCAAAATATGAGTATTAAGAATGCTGATTAAACAGTTTTGTGTGAAGATGAAACAAGATAGTGTAATGTGCTACATTGCAGATACATGCATACATATGTATGTTAAGTATATACAAAATCAATTGCTTGGCAAGGTGATTAATACCTGGGATAACGAATTCTTCTATTTGTTTTTATTGTTATTGTTCCTCAAATCCTCCCCAACTAGTATGAAGTTTCAAGACTTTAGAATTTTTTCTTGTTCAACAGCCTATTGCCAATGCCCAGGACAGGGCCAGCCCAGTGTAGGGACCTGATACAGGTGAAGAATAAATCAATGAATAAAGGGTCTCTTAGGAATTTCTACCTCTTTTTATATTGTCTTGTGAGTTTGGTTAGAGATGGCAGTTTTGGGAAAATCTCAAGAAACTTTTGAGAAATATATGACAATTACTTTATTACCCCTCTAGGAATTTTCTTAGTCTATCATTTCCCTTTTCTTTATCTCTTGATAGATTTCTAAATGTAATTACTCTGCTCTCTCCCTAAAAGAGAAATAAAACAGGCTTAGAACTATGTAGAATTGTTTTTCAACACACTAAGTTATGCCATATTAAGTGGCATCTATGCCAGTTTTGTTTTCTTGCATATTTTATTTTTCAGGGCCCAAGATGTGAATGACAGAGAGGCAAAGGTCAAAGCCAGGCAGTAAAGGGTGTAATTATATCAAATGAAAGACATTTCTTTATGTGGATAGAATGAAAAGTTCTGACATTTTTCTTTTTTAACCTTGGGGAAGTGAGAGGATATTCATCAAATACTGAAAAATGCTCCTGTTCTTTAGATAGTAGTAGAGAGAATTCAGTTGGCTCTTTAAAAAATTAGTGAAATGACAAACGCTTGAGATAAATTTCTTGTTAAGACTCAACAGCTGTAGAATATGCATTCTTTTCATCAGCATATGGGACATTCTCCAGGATAGACCATAAATTAGGTTATAAAACAAATCTTAACAAATTTTAAAACATTGAAATCACATCAAATATCTTTTCAGACCATGATAAATAAAACTAGAAATCAATAACAGAAGGAAAATTAGAAATAGTACAAACACGTGAAAATTAAACAACATGCTCCTGAGCAACAAATGGGTTAATGAAGACTTTTTAAAAGTTTAACAATACCTTGAAACAAATGAAAATGGAAACACAACATACCAAATCCTATGGGATACAGAAAAAGCAGTCATAAGAGGGAATTTTATAGCAATACCTGCCTACATCAAAAAAACAGAAAGATCTCAAATAAACAACCTAATGTTATACCTCAAGGAATTAATAAACAGGAATGAACTAAACTTAAAATTAACAGGAAAAAAATAACAAAAATCAGAACAAAAATAAACAAAATAGATATTTAGAAAAATACAAAAACAACAAAACAAAGAGTTGGCTTATTGAAAAGATAAACAAAATTGACACATCTTTAGCTTGACTAAGAAAAAAAAGAGAACATTCAAATAAATAAAATGTGAGATGAAAAAAGAGACAATACAACCCATACTACAGAAATTCAAAGGATCATCAGAGACTGTTATGAGACTATTAGGAGCAACTACATGCTAACAAACTGGAAAATCTAGAGAAAATGGATAAATTCTTGGATACATACAAACTACCTAAATTGATCCATGAAGAATGGACACCCTGAACAGACTAATAATAAGTAATGAGATTGAAGTAATAAAAAACTCTCCCAATCAAAAAAGCCCAGCACCTGATGGCTTCACTGTTGAATTCTCCAAACAGTAAATGAACTAACACCAATTGCTCTCAAACTCTGAAAAAATTTAAGAAGAAGGAATACTTCCAAACTATTCCTTGAGTATAGAATTAACCTGATTCCAAAACCCAACAAGAACACAAAACAAAAAGAAAACTCCAGGCCAATGTCTCTGATGGTCATAGATGCAAAAATTCTCAACAAAATACTAGCAAACTGAATTTAGCAACAAATTTAAAAATTATTCATCATGATCAATTATAATTCATCTCATATAATTTGTGTATGATTCAACATACACAAATCAATAAACATGATGCATCACATTAACAGAATCAAAAACAATAACCATATAGTCATTTCAACAGAAATAAAAGCATTTGACAAAATATACCATCTCTTCATGATAAAAACTCTCAAAAAAATTAAGTATAGAAAAAATATACCTCAAAATAATAAGGGCCATATATGGCACATTAAATGAAGAAAAATTTTTCTTTAAGATCTGGACCAAGACATGGACATTCACTTTCACCACCCCATTCAATATAGTATTGGAAGTTCTAGCCAGAGCAATAAGCAATTAGGCAAAAGAAAGAGATAAAGGGCATCCAAATTGGAAATGAGGAAATCAAACTGTCCCTTTCTGCAGATTACATCCTAATATATATGCTACACATATATAATTATATATTTATATCTTAATATGTAGTATATATGTGAATATATAATTATATATATATAATATAATATATATTCATATATATGTGTCCCAAAGAGTGTACCAAAAAGCTGCTAGAATTAAAAAATTCAATAAAGTTATAGGATACAAAATCAATAAACAAAAATCAGTAGTTTTTAAATACACTAATAGTGAACTACCTTAAAAAAAAACAAGAATGAAATCCTATTTACAATAGCTACAAAATAAATATATAGGAATAAATATAACCATGGAGATGAATGATCTTTACTTGAAGATTATAAAACACTGATGAAATAAAGACACAAATATATGGAAAGATATCCTATGTTCATGGATTGAAAGAATAAATATCATTAAAATGTTCATACTACACAAAGTGATCTACAGATTCAACACAGTTCCGATCAAAATACAAATTACATTCTTCACAGAAACAGAAAACAGTCTTATAATGTGTATGATCATAAAAGATCCTAAATAGCCAAAGCAATCTGAAGCCAAAAGACAAAAGATGGAGGCATCACACTACCTGATATGAAAACATACAACAAATCCATAATAACAAAAACAGCATGGCATTGGCAGAAAAACAGACACAGACTAATGGAACAGGCTAGAAAGCACAGAAATAAATCTACACATCTACAGTCAACTGATTTTCAACAAAGTTGCCAGGAATATGCATTGAAGAAAGGACAGTCTCTTGAATAAATGGCTCTGGGGAAAACAGAAATCCATATGCAGAACAATAAAACTAGAGTCCTATATTTCACTATATATAATAATCAACTTAAAATAGATTAAAGACTTAAATGTAAGACCTTAAACTATAAAACTACTAAAAAAATAGGGAAAATGCTTAATGACATTGGTCTGGGCAAAGATTTTTTGAATAGGACCTCAAAAGCACAGGCAACAAAAGCAAAAATAGGGAAATGTAATCACATCAAGCTAAAAAATTTCTGCACAGCAAAGAAAACAAAACAATAGAGTAAAGAAACAGAATGAGAAAAATATTTACAAGCAATGCAACTGACAAGGGGTTAATATCTAGAATATAAAAGAACTCAAACAACTCAACAGGGGATAAACCAAATAATCCCATTAAAATGTGTATGGTGGACATGAATAAGTGTTTCTTCAAATAAGACATACAAATGACCAAAAGATACACAAAAATATGCTCAACACCACTAATCATCAGGGAAGAGCAAATCAAAACACAATAAGATATAACCTTACCCCAATTAGAATGACTGTAATCAAAAAGACAAAAATGAATGTTGGCAGGAATGTGGAGAAAGGGGAACTCTTACGCACTGTTGGTGGGAATGTAAAGTAGTACAGTCATTGTAGAAAACAGTATTAAATTTCCTCAAAAAATTGAAAATGGAACTACCATATGATCCAGCAATTCCATACTGGGTATATATCCAAAGTGGGGGAAAAATCTGTTTGTCAAAAAGATATCTGCACTCCTGTGTTTACTGCATCACTATTAATAACCAAGAGATGTAATCAACTTAAGTATTCATCAAACAATGGATGGATAAAGAAAATGTTATATATATATATGTTATATATATATATATCTCACAATTGAATACTACTCAGCTAAAAATAAAGAATGAAATTCTGTCATTTGTGGCAACATGGATGAACCTGTAAAATGTAACATTAAGCAAAATAAGCTAGGCACAGAAAGACAAACACCATGTGACCTCACTTATATGTAAAATCTAAAACAACATAAAATGTTCTCATAGAAGTAGAGAGTAAAGTAGTGGTTTACCAGAGGCAGGAAATGGGGATCCCTAGATAGCTTCGAGGTTGGGGACGGTTGCCAGAGAGACCAAGCATTTATGAGTAGGTTGGAAGTTTTAGATCCACCTTGGATCTAAAACCCTATCTCTACAAAAACTACAAAAATTAGCTAGGAGTGGTGGCACATGTCTGTAGTCCCAGATACTAGGGAGGCTAAGATGGGAGGATCGCTTGAGCCCAGGCCGTTGAGGCTATAATCACGCACCTACACTCCAGCCCGGGCAGCAGAGTGAGTGATCCCTTGTCTCAAAAGAAAAAAAAAAAGGTGTAATGGCATCCAGAGAGCTGCATTTGTGAACACATTGTGGTGTTAAAACTGTAGCACATCCAGTTAGGGCACGGAAGATCTGTGTGCCTCCATAATAAACCAGTAACAGTAAGTAAAGTACTTTGCTATGTTCTGTGATTTGTTCCGGGAATTAACAAACCTGAGAGGGGTCATGGGAACTCAATTTGTAGTCAGCTGGGGAGAAATGTAGGTGTCCTGCGCACCTCATTTGCAGCTAATGCCTGAGGTAGGAAAGTCTTCTGGGATTTGGCGCTTAAGTTGTGGGGTTTGGGCTTACTCCAAATAGTGTCAGAATTGAATTGAATTGTTACATACCTAGTTGGTGTCAGATAATTGGAAAACTGGTTGTTGAAGTTGGAAAAGATATCACATATTTGGTATGAGGGAGCAACAACAACAACAACTCTCAACTACCTACTTCATGGACCTGGGCAAACCAAAAAACTGTCTGAACTTCAGTTTCCACGACTTTGAAATCTGCATAATATTTGCAAAGTTGCTATAAACACAGAATATATGCATATATAGTTGAGAGGCTGAGGTAGGAGGATCACTTGAGCCTGGAAGGAGGCTGCAGTGACCCACTGCACTCCAGCCTGGGTAACAGAGCCAGACCTTGTCTTAAGAAAAAAAAAAAAAAAGGATGAAAACTTAAAGGCTTAGCATCTAAGAAAAAAAGGAAAGGAATGAGGTAATTCTTTTCACTTCAGGACTGCTTTGAACAACAGTAGGTAGACACATTTGATATGAAATGATTGTTAGTTCCATTGCCAAGTTTGAACACCAAACAAGCCCTTCCTTCAAAATTAAAATGAAATGACCCTACCTTTTGGTCTCAGGCGGGAAGAAGCAGAAACAAATGACCCTACCTTTTGGTCTCAGGCGGGAAGAAGCAGAAACATTCTTTTTTTTTTTTTTTTTTTTTTTTTTTTTTTACTGGGGATGGATTGATTTTATTCAGGTTTTAATCTGTCTGTTACGTGTGAGTACATGTATGTGTATAAACAAAGCAGTGCTTTTTTTTTTTAAACTTCATTTATTTTAACTTTTTTTTTTTTTATACTTTAAGTTTTAGGGTACATGTGCACATTGGGCAGGTTAGTTACATATGTATACATGTGCCATGCTGGTGCGCTGCACCCACTAACTCGTCATCTAGCATTAGGTATATCTCCCAATGCTATCCCTCCCCCCTCCCCCCACCCCACCACAGTCCCCAGAGTGTGATATTCCCCTTCCTGTGTCCATGTGATCTCATTGTTCAATTCCCACCTATGAGTGAGAATATGCGGTGTTTGGTTTTTTGTTCTTGCGATAGTTTACTGAGAATGATGGAAACATTCTTTAGGATAGGTTAGTCTATCAGGATGTGAGAGTCTAGACCGTTTATCCTTTTCTTGGGATTCTCTAAAAGGGATAGCTTTAATCTGAGAAGTGAAAACCTTCACCCCAATTCATGCTCCACCAGGAAAGAGAGAAAGAACAGTCCCAGAAATATCTCAAACCACGATTCTCAAGGGGAATTTTCAGCCCTTCTCCGAGGTCTCACTTTAGTCTTCAGCTATTCTGAAGTATACTGTGCATTCTAATGAGGCCCTGGATTTCAGAACCAAACATGAGCTTGGGTGTACCCTCAATATTCAGGAAATAAACTATGTTAAAAAGTTCCATGCTCCTTACAGATTCAAGGCAGCCACAATGAGGTCTCCCTGCTTGAGAATCAGTGACTTGAGAGAACATAACTCCTTATACATGTGGGTGGGTGAAGAGGCTGGTGAGACCATTAGGCTGTTTATCATCAATGACCAAGCTACCCATGGTCCTCCCTTTTCTGTATCTAGATGGACACACTATAGCCATACTCAGAGGGTTCTACATGATCTGCCTCCCATCTAACCTGCCATTTTGCCTTTCACATCTTGAGTCATGTTCCCATTGTGAAAGCACAATGACTGAAATTCTGGACAAATTTGGAATCTAAGAAAGGATATGACTCATGCCCTTGTCCCTAGACCGCCCCTTGAGTTGTAGCAATCGCCATAAAGTTCCTTAGCCCCAGCAGAGTGTGGTATGTGATGTAAAAACAAAGTGGCATTTATTTACTTGGTAAATGAGGTTTTATACCCATTTTAGAGGTATTTTGTTCTATAAAAATATTGCCTTTCATAAACTGTGTCTATTAGGCTTTATCCTGAGGCAGCAACAAAATATTGAGGAAAGCATGGACATGGGCTTTGGCGTCTGCCACACTTGGATTTAAATTATAGCCCTCTAACTTACTGTCTATGTGAGCTTAGTAAATGGACTGAATATCCCTGGGCCTGTTTTCCATGCAGAAAAGTGGTGAAATAACACCCATATATCATGGAATTTGTTAGAGGCTACCCTGAGATGAGGTAAATGGAAACCCATAGCTCTATATGTCATATGTGATACATTGTGCTTTTGAAACCATTAGCACAGGTGAGGACAGGCTCAGCCCAGGAATGAGTGGATCCTGATAATAACTGGGTCCCAGCATCAGATGATCTCCCATTCTGAATGAGACTGTATTAAGCCACTCTTGCATTGCTACAAAGAACTATTTGAGATGGGGTAATTTATAAAGAGGTTTAGCAGGCTCACATTTCTGCAGGCTTTATGGGAAGCATGGTGTTGGCATCTGCTTGGCTTCTAATGAAGCCCAAGGGAGCTTTTACTCATGGCTGTAGGTGAAGCAGGGCAAGCACATCACATAGCAGAAACAAGAGAGAGTGAGGGAGTGGGGGTGCCATACACTTTTAACAACCAGATCTGGAGAGAACTCACTCACTACCACAAGGACATTGCCCAGGCATGAGGGATCCACCCCTGTGACCCAAACAGCTCCCACCAGGCCCCACCTCCAACACTGGGGATTACATTTCGACATGAGATTTGGGCAAGTATGAATGTCCAAACTATATCAGGACTCTCCAAGTTCCTTTTATGTCCAGAATCAGGAGGAGCAGGGTCTCCTGAGAGAATGACAGAATGACTGGTCATCAGAGCTGTGTGGTGCTCTTCAGAGTGCTCCAGTTCTCCCTCGGGCCCGGCTAGTTCAGCTTCCATGGGGACAGCTTTCTAATCAACCTTATATTCCCATCAATTCTTTTACTAAATCACAGTGGCTTAAGTATCCTATTATTTTAATTCCTTTGCCTCTGAAAAATATGACTAATTAACTGAATGAGTAACTCATTTAATAAAATTTAGGCATTAAATAATTTCCTTGGTTCACCATTTTTATATTACTTACTATGTGACAGTCACTGCACTGGCCTACAAGGATGCAAACATGCACAGAAAAAAGCCCTCAACCTCAAGGAGCTCAAAATATAATACAAAGACAAATACATAAACAATCAATTAGAAGAACGTGTGAAGGGTACAGTAAGAGAAGTGTTTTCAGGATACAATGGGCTTGGCATAAACGTTAGGAAGCAGAGAAAAGATAAAACTACTGATTATTGACCACCTGTGTAATTTTCATACCACCTTTAACAACAGCGATTATTGAATCCATTTCAGAGTTAAGGACACCGAGAATTAGGGGGCTGGTGACATTTTTAAATTCAGTTGTCTAGCCAACAGCAAGGCTAAGAAAAGCCCCCGTGTCAGTCAAAATTCACTGCTTCAAGATCACTTAGTGCCTGCTTGGCAGAAAGAAGCTCAGAACCTTACATCTGAACTCAGCTAAACCTCATGTGTTTCCTCTGCAGTGACTTCTGCATCTGCCACCAGGTAATTCCTGAAAAGTCCATTAACATCCATAGGAAGGGGCATTACATTTTTTTCAAGCACTCTATTATGAGTATTGATATTATATCATATTTATGCCTTCTCTTGCCAAGCGTATTAAATTTGGCACATTTACTGTACATTTTTATTCCTTCTCTAGATCTGATTGAAACAGAGGGGTTTTCTATAATTAGTTTATGTATTAGAATTTATGTACCATTCTGGAACTACCCACAGACCTATCGGTGTTACAGGTAGAGTATAAATGCTAGCCGTTATCATGATAAAACTCCAAGAAACACTTAAGCAACGTAAAGTTATAATTTGAAGAGTTTATAGAAGAATCAAAGATAATTCAAATCATGAAGGATTACACTATTAGCAGCCTCTGGGATGGTCTCAGTAACACATAATGCTTTGTATATTTCTGTCCTAGCTGTCCTTCTACATAACTCTATTTCAACAGGCAAAAGCAATTAAAGTTAGTATTTTGGAACTTAGTTAATCTTTGCCATTCGTCCCTCTTGTCTTCACACTACATCCAATATGTCATTAGCACACACCACTCAATGCCCTGGCCTTGAGCAAGCCTCAGCAGAGCTGAAGAGAGAGAAAGAATTTCTAGGAGGGAGGGCCACCTACCAACAGAGTGTGAAGGACTTTGCACCAAGACGCAAGGATCCAAGAGACTGCCTGTGCTTTCTGGCATTTGAAGGTGTGTATAGTAGCAACTTAGCCACAAACACAAGTGTGCATTCTCTAATAAGAGCCATGATCATCAAAGAAGTAGAAAGCTGGCCCTTGGTTAAAGGAGGGGGCTTTATGAGATGCTAAAACAGACTGCTTTCAGCTCTTTATAAATGCTGAAAGCCTCGGCAGGGCCAGATGGAAAGAAATTACTCTTGTGGCTATATCAGGGCTTTTTCTCATGTTTATGGAATAATATGTTGCACATGCAAACAGAAATAGGCTTCTACAGCAGGAACCCTGTAACGCTGACATGGGTGTTGGAGGCGAGAACTATTTTTTTTGTTGTTGTTGTTGTTTTTTGAGACGGAGTCTCGCTCTGTCGCCCAGGCTGGAGTGCAGTGGCGCAATCTCGGGTCACTGCAAGCTCCGCCTCCCGGGTTCACGCCATTCTCCTACCTCAGCCTCTCCGAGTAGCTGGGACTACAGGCGCCCTCCACCACGCCCGGCTAATTTTTTGTATTTTTAGTAGAGACGGGGTTTCACCATGCTCTCCATCTCCTGACCTCGTGATCCACCCGCCTTGGCCTCCCAAAGTGCTGGGATTACAAGCATGAGCCACCGCGCCCGGCCTTTTTTTTTTTTTTTTTTTTTTTTTTTGAGGCGGAGTCTCGCTCTGTAGCCCAGGCTGGAGCGCAGTGGCGCGATCTCGGCTCACTGCAAGCTCCGCCTCCCGGGTTCGCGCCTTTCTCCTGCCTCAGCCTCTGGCGTAGCTGGGACTACAGGCGCCCGCCACCACGCCGGCTAATTTTTTGTATTTTTAGTAGAGACGGGGTTTCACGGCGTTAGCCAGGATGGTCTCGATCTGCTGACCTCGTGATCCGCCCGTCTCGGCCTCCCAAAGTGCTGAGATTCCAGGCGTGAGCCACCGTGCCCCGGCCGGAGGCGAGAACTATTTTACTTGGTTTAACTTACCTGAGCGCCAGAATCTTGACTGTAATAGGTATGTTCTAACAAGCCAAACTAGCTACATATTTAATTCCTAGAGAGAGTGATCTTGTTTTCACATTATTCTCAAGTGATGTCAAGTATACAAATCTTAAATGTGCAGCTTGGTTCATTTTTCCATATGTATACTGCCACCTTCTTAAAAATACATATTTTCTTAAGCCGCAATGTGTCTCTAGCTCCTCTTTCTGGAGGGATTCTTTACTGTATGATTGCATAAAGTTGATCTTTTTTGGTTAATAATCTCACATTCAAAAATGGTATCTAGAAAGAATAATAAAAAGTAAATATAATCCTGATCTTTTAAAAATTTTGTTTGTTTTAAGTCACTCTACAGATCCTTGTTACCAGGAAACCTCTTAGCCACTCAATTAGGGTTACAAAGGGAAGCATAGTCTGAATTCTCGTCTGTCGGCCTTTCTTTTTTTTTTTTTTATTATACTTTAAGTTCTAGGGTACATGTGCACAACGTGCAGGTTTGTTACATATGTATACATGCGCCATGTTGGTGTGCTGCACCCATTAACTCGTCATTTACATTAGGTATATCTCCTAATGCTTTGCCTCCCCATCCGGCCACCCCATGACAGGCCCCAGTGTATGATGTTCCCCTTCAT
This sequence comes from Homo sapiens, assembly GCF_000001405.40. Lineage (NCBI taxonomy): Eukaryota > Metazoa > Chordata > Mammalia > Primates > Hominidae > Homo > Homo sapiens. The sequence continues at coordinate 34,785,694 of NC_000008.11, forward strand.
GTGTCCAAGTATTCTCATTGATCAATTCCCACATATGAGTGAGAACATGTGGTGTTTGGTTTTTAGTCCTTGGGATAATTTGCTGACCTCTGTACCAGTGAGTCAGTTTCTTGAATCAAGGTCTCTCCCAGTGAGTTTTTATGCATTGGCTCAAGATGAATTTCTTAAGTTCCAAGCCTTTTTTCAGTTGATTTGAATGAAAGGAGTTAGTTTCTTTAATATAACCCCCAAAATACTGGAAATGGCCATGGAGTGTTGTATCCCTCTCCCCCATAACGTGAATAAGCAGTGTCTTTTTTGTGTTCCCTATGACAGTAACATTCTGTCTGTAGGATCAACATAATCAATGCCTCCTGAGGTGATGAGTGGTATTTTATCCTCTTTTGGCAGGTAGCACTCTTCCTGCATGGACCCTCCATCTTCAGAGTGCTACAAGATTCCATGTGTGATCACATTAAATCCACTCCACCCATCCCACAGCAATAACTTCTAATGATAAGCTGGTTATTTGATGTCAAATACCTTGTGAACTCATGAGGCAAAGACGACTGTAACTCATTTAACTGGAGTTTTGTATTTCACAGGTAACTCACCATACATTAATTCACACAATTTTCCTGTGAATAAAGTATTCTCGGTAGCTTCATTTAATACATGAGCTGTAGGAGACTTCAGAAAGTTAAGGAATTCTGCCAACACAAGACAGAGCTAGGTCTGAAGTATTCTAATTCCAAACCCTATTCACATTTCATACATAAATATGCTACTCTATCTCCGTCCAGGATAAATTTTGGAGATGTTGAATCTAGCTGGATGAAATCAGTCTTCTATCTTTATTTCTGTTGGTTGTTGGTAGATATGTTGTGCTGTTGTTTGTTTTCATTTACCTGAGGTTAGAAAGCATGGAACAAAGTTTTCAGCTAAACCAGTAAGTTTCAGAGGTTTAAGGAGAAGCAACAATACATGCAAAAACTCCATGTGACACTGGTCTTTCTGCCCTTGTATTGAAAGTGTCTTACTGAATCACAAAGCTGACATATTAGTCTCTTACTTAGTGCTGCTGTTATCCTCTCGTCTTTAACAGACAAAATTAAAAACTCATAACTAAGCTGAAAGGAGCTTCATGCTCTAACACCTCTCCAGATTCATCTATCCTCTTAATGCACCCACATACATTCTCTCAAAAACTGTAGTCAACCTGATCTTCTTCATTTTTTTTTTCTCCAGCCCCGAGACAGAGTCTTTCTCTGTCGCCCAGGCAGGAGTGCAGTGGCGTGATCTCAGCTCACTGCAACCTCCACCTCCTGAGTTCAAGCAATTCTCCTACCTCAGCCTCCTGAGTAGCTGGGATTACAGGCGTGTGCCACCACGCCCGGCTAATTTTTATATATTTAGTAGACATGGGGTTTCACCATGTTGGCCAGGCTGGTCTCGAACTCCTGACCTCGTGATCCGCCCGCCTTGGCCTCCCAAAGTGCTGGGGGGTTACAGCCATGAGCCACTGCACCCGGCCAACCTGATCTTCTTTTACTTCCTCAGACAGTATGTTCTTTCTCGTTTCCAGGCCACTACGCACACACTTTTCTCTACCCTGTTCATTTCCCTCTACTCTTTGCTTAGTAGGCTTTATCACATCTTAGCTTACAAGGCCTTCCTTTGAGAAATTCTCCCTTCTGATTGGTTGTTTTTGGCTTGTCTAATCATTCCTAGCACATACTAGGCTCTAAGTAAATTTTTGATAAATAAAAGAAAATTGGCAGGTATAGAATGACATGAGAAAGAGAAGTGCAGATAATAAGTCTGGATGTTTTTTAAAATTATTTTTAGAAAGAAGGAATGCTAAGATTGAGAACTTAGCCGATGTAAAAAAGCTTTTTATAGTTTTCATTCTGCTTTTTCAGCTATTTTCTCCCTCTGAGGACCACCCTCTGAACTCCAATAAATCAATACAGTGTCTCATTTCCTCACTATTCAACAAAAGATATGCTATGCATTCCTGTACTTGGCACTGATCTAGAGGTTGGGGATACAGCAGTGAACAAGACAGATGAAACGCACCCCATCATGGAGCTTAGACATGGGGAAAAGGAGAGACAATGACCAAGTGCATAGTTTCAGATAGGGGTAAATGTTATGAAATAAAGCAGTGAGGGCAAGAAAATATGACTGATATGGAGTCACTTGGGTCACTTTTAACAAGGAGATTAAAGAAGGCCCTTCTGAGGAGGGGCCAACTGCTCAAAGACTTGAATCATGTAAGAGCATGAGCTATGCAAATATTTGGAAGAAAGCATTCCAGGAATAGGGAACAGCAAAAGGAAAAGCTGTGAGAGAAGAATGAGGTGTATGGGTGCATCAGAGTGCTATGAGAAACAGAGCAATATTATAAATAGGTTTTATGTATAATAATATATATAAAACCTATGTATAATAGTGTTCTATTTACATATTGCACGTGCTCTCTCTCTCTCTCTCTCTCTCTCTATATATATATATATATACAATGGTGCAAGCCAATTCCTTGAAAGAAATCAATTGCTCTATCATTCACATTTAATACACACACACATGTGTATATATATATGTGTGTGTGTGTGTATATATATATATATATATATATATATACATATATATATGAAGAGATCATAACCACTATGGGAAAGACTAGTGAAGGGTGAGTATGCAGGGACACACACACACATATATGTGTGTGTGTATGAAATGTGAATAGATAGAGATTGATTTCTTGTAAGGAATTGGCTTACACCATTGTACATATATATATATAGAGAGAGAGAGAGAGAGCACAATATGTAAATAGAATATTTTACATAGGTTATGTATATATATAATTATACATAAAACCTATGTATAATATTGCTCTGTTTCTCATAGCACTCTGATTACTAGTTTATATATATAGAGAGAGAGAGACACAGAGAGAGAGAGAGAGAGATTGATTTCTTGCAAGGAATTGGCTTGCACCATTGTACATATGTATATATATATAGAGAGAGAGTGCAATATGTAAATAGAATAATATTTTACATAGGTTTTATGTATATATAATTACACATAAAACCTATGTATAATTTTGCTCTGTTTCTCATAGCACTCTGATTATTAGTTTATATATATGTGTATATATATTTGTGTGTGTATATATATGTGTATACATGTGTGTATATATGTGTATATATGTGTGTATATATGTGTATATATGTGTGTGTATATATAGTGTATATATACATATGTGTGTATATATAGTGTATATATACATATGTGTGTATATATAGTGTATATATACATATGTGTGTATATATAGTGTATATATACATATGTGTGTATATATATAGTGTATATATACGTGTGTGTGTATATATATAGTGTATATATACGTGTGTGTGTATATATAGTGTATATATACATGTGTGTGTATATATATATGTGTGTGTATATATATATATAGAGAGAGAGAGAGAGATTGATTTATTCCAAGGAATTGGCTTGCATTAGGGCTGGGTAGGTGAGTCTGGAATCTGTAAGAAAGACCATCAGGAAACTCTTTGGTGGGAGCTGACTGCAGTTTACAAGTAGAATTTCCTCTTCTTACAGAAACCTCAGCTCTGCCCTTAAAGTGTTTCATCTGATTGAATGAGGCCCACACAGATTATCAAGGCTAATACCCCTTACTTAAACCCAACTGATTGTAGATGTTAATCACATCTACAAAATACCTTCACAACAACACCTGAAATGTTGTTTGAGTAAATGTGTGAAAACTATAGCCTGGCCAAGTTGTCATACAGAATCACAATGGGATGATGTATACCAGGAAGAACAGTAAAAGGACCTGTAATGTCGGTGAAGCAAGCCAGGAAGAATCATGAGATGAGATAGAAAAGGTGTATAGGGGCAAGATTATGCACTGCCTTGAAGGCTATGGTAGGGAGTTCATATATTGGGAAAATGTTGGATTTCAAGTAAGAGGTTTCACAGTCTATTAAATGTTAAATTTTTAGGCCAAGAGCAGTGGCTCATGCCTGTAATCCCAGCACTTTGAGAGGCTGAGGCAAAAAGATCACTTGAGGACAGGAGTTCTAGAACAGCCTGGCCAACATGAAGAAATCCCATCTCTACTAAAAATGCAAAAATTAGCCAGGTGTGGTGGTGTGTGCCTGTAATCTCAGCTACTCAGAAGGCTGAAGCAGGAGAATCGCATGAACCTGGAAGGTGGAAGTTGCAGTGAGCCAAGATTGCACCACTGCACTCCAGCCTGGGTGATAGAATGAGACTCTGTCTCAAAAAAAAAAAAAAAAAAAAAATAGATTTTAAAAAGATTGCTGTGGCTGTAATGAGAAAAATAGCTTCTGACAGACAAAGTACTTAGAAGACTATTGCTTTGGTCTATGGTACAAATGTGGATGGTTTGGATTAGGGTGGTAGAGATGGAGGTAGGAGTATATTATTTCCAGGATATAATTTGAAGGTGGAGACAACAAGATTTACTGATAGATTTGGTGTGCTAAGTAAAGTGGAAAAATAAAGAAGCAAGGATGAAATCCAGATTTTTGGGCCCAAGTAATTAGAATGAAGAGATCATAACCAATACAGGAAAGACTAGTGAAGGATGAGTATGCAGGGACATCAGAGGCTGAGTTTTTGATATATTAATTTGAGATGCCTTTTAAGCACCCAGCTAGTGATGTTAAGTTGGTAGTTTGGTATATGAATATGAAGTTTAGGAAGGGTGTTGGTTGGAAGTGAATTTAGGATTATCGGCAAATTCTAAGCCATGAGACTCTCAAAGAATAGAAGGAGAACCTAGCAAAGGAGGCTGCTAAGGAACAAAGAAGGAGAGAGAAGAGTCAGGAGAGTATGCGTCCAGGAAGCTAAGTGGAGAAATGGTCCATGAAGGAATAACAAACTGTACAAACACCAAGACATTAATAGATTTCTAAACTAGCTGACAACTGTTATGACTCAGACTAAAACAGCTCAAAAGTGTGATAGGCCATGAAAAAACTGGGGTAGGCTGAAGACCTTTAGTGGGTATATCCTTCACACCAAAACATCCCTTTCATCACTATGTCCATTGCCTATTACTTTTCCCTAGCTTGTCTCCTCCCTGCCTAAAACCTCTATTCTTCTTTAAACACTATAAAAATAATAAATAAAATTCAGTTGGGTGCCGTGGCTCATGCCTGTAATCCCAGCACTTTGAGAGGCCACTGGAGGATTGCTTAAGCCTAGGAGTTTGAGATTAGTTTGGGTAACATAGAGAGACCCCCATCTCTACAAAAAATTTTAAAAATTAGCCAGGTGTGGTGGTGTGTACCTGTAGTCCTAGGTATGATTGAGGTGGGAGGATCACTTGAGCCCAGGAAATCAAGGCTGCAGTGAGCTATGATTGTACCATTGCACTTCAGCCTGATATATAGATAGATGATAGATAGAGAGAGAGAGAGAGAGAGAGAGAGAGAGAGAGAGAGATCTACAAGCGGAAAATCCCTTTAAGCCCTATAAGGAAATCAGGCATCTACTCAATTTGTTATTAACTCTACCTCTATCTATGATTTTTATGTATGGAAGAGAAAGCTGGGGAAGCCTGAAATCTGGGCAGATTGAGAATGGACCCATTGATGGTGGTAAGCAAGAAGAATAGAAATGCATGTTGTTATGGGGTGGATAGTGTGAGACACAAGGCAAACTACATAGAAAAGGTGTGTTAAATGTATGTAAGCAGCACGCAAACATAAATCAATGTTGTAATTCTACTACAGTGAGCTCTGCAGCAGATTCTCACCTCCTTGACACAGGGCTACCTAATGATCATATTTACAATGTCTTATATAGTACTTGGCACACTCTATGCTCTCAATGTTTTTCAAATAAATTAGTAAAGGCTTTGGCATGGTAAGAAGCACACCATTTGAGAGCTGCAAGCCCTCTTACAGATGATCTGGTACAACTCCTTTCTTTTATAGTTACAGAAAATTGGTCTTAGAGAAATGACATAATTTGTGCAATGTCATCTAGTAATATTGAAAGAAGACAAACTTTATAAAATTTGACTACAGAAATGGCTTAGTTATTCAACAACAAGTATTTGTGGAAATTAATTATGACATCTGACACCTGAAAAAATGCCTCTTAAAATTTTGAATTGATTAAAAACAATAAACCAGATTGTATAACCTGACTTTCAGATCCAAGACTGAGGCAGTTTGAATTGAAAGAGGCCCACAGGAAATAGTTTTCTGATAAAAAATAAAGATGGGGAAGGGGATTGATTTCTTAAAACTTTAGATAATTAGAAATGAGAATATGATAGAAAAGCCAAAGAGATAGAGGGAAAGAAAAGGTGTTTTTTTTTTTTTTTTTTTCAGCAGTAGTGATTCAAGACAGTGTGAGCTAAGGCCTTTGTCAAAAGTTCCAAAACATTTTTTCCATGTATATGTATATACCTATTATATCTGTCCCTGAGATATGAGCTATGTGTTGTTATTCAGACTATTAAACTTTTAAACTTCAGGGTCTTCCTCTGGAAAGCTGGAAAAAAATAATGGTATCCACTGGTGAGGACTGAATGTGATAATCTAGGTGAAGTACTTTATTTCTGCAGAACTCACTCTAGGTAACATTGTAAACAGCAATAAGCAAAAAGTAGCTGGCTGCAGTGGGAAGAATATGGGCATAGACCCTGGCATCCTACAACCTGGGTTCCCATGCTATCTCTGCTTCTCCAAATAACTGTACATGTGTCATGTTCGGTCTTTGAAGTTCAGTTTTTCATATGAAATATGGGTATGGTAATAACTAAATCCCAGGTTTTCTGCAGGAATTGATAAAATATATGTAAAAGAAACTAGCATTTAGTTATTCTTTATGTCTGTTGTCTCCTCTGTCACCCCATTTGTGTCCCTCCCTGATCCTCCTAGCCCCCTTTGTCCTGGCAGATCACCCATGCCTTATTCCCAAATGGCCTGCCCCTTAAGAGATCATTCAAAAGCTCCTCAAATATATGGTCTAAAAACACTCTAATATGTTATTTCTCCCCTCAGGTTCGCATTTTAATGGCAATCCTTGAAAACCTAAAAGCCTTAGAAACTAGAAGAAATCAATGTTTAATGATGGAACTTGAAACATTATGACAAAGGAGAAGGAGCTGAAAGGAATTTTTAGACATCACTGAGTGCAACCAATTCATCTTCTGCATGAGCAAACATAGAAGGAGAGAGAGAAATGACAGGTGTCACACTACAGCCCCAGGTCAGTAACTCAGGCAGAGATTCAGGTTATCAGACTCATAACAGGATGCTCTGCCTAACATGCCATTTGTTTTGAGGGAAGACTCAGCAGTAGCTACCTTACTATCAGCAGCCAAGATTTGCTGTCCTTTCTACCCAATGCTCATATCCAATAGCAGCTGAATCAGCTCCTGAGCCCAGCATTCTGCTGACCCTCTCATCCTAGAGAGCAGTATACTAAATTGATATTTAGCACCTAAAAATAGCAAGGACACTGGCAATGCCTTACTAGGAGAATACTCACTAATCAATTACTATCAAACAGTTATGCCTTCTTCTGGGGCCATCCTGTTGCAAGAAGGGATTAATTGGTTTTATTTATTTATTTATTTTTGAGATGGAGTCTTGCTGTGTCACCCAGGCTGAAGTGCAGTGGTGCAATCTCAGCTCACTTCAACATCCCCCTCCCAGGTTCAAGCGATTCTCCTGCTTCAGCCTCCCGAGTAGCTGGGATTACAGGCACATGCCACCATGCCTGGCTAATTTTGTAGACGGGGTTTCACTATGTTGACCAGGCTGGTCTCAAACTTCTGACCTCAGATGATCCTCCTGCCTCGGCCTCCCAAAGTGCTGGGATTACAGGCGTGAGCCACCACACCCGGCCCAGCTTTATTTTTATTTTACCCCATTCTGAAGAAGGAGGCAAGCTTTAAAAGCAAATATTTTTGAAAAGGAAAAAAGAGACATGACAAGTGTCTACTATGTTTTTTCCCCATCCCAAGTTAGCTCAGAGGTTGGAAAAGACTGTCTTCACTCTAATTATAGGCCTTATGTTAACTTAGAAATTTGGACTTTAGTTTCTAATGGTGAGAGAGAAAATAAAAGATGCCAGGAACCTGCTGGGTTCTGTGGCATGTGTTTGTAATCTCAGATATTTGGGAGGTTCAGGTAGGAGGGTGGAAGGCTGAGGTGGTAGGATGGCTTGAGGTCAAGAGTTACCAGTCTGGGCAACATAGTGACCTCCTCTGTACAAAGTAGAAAACATTAGCTGGGCTGTAATCCAGCTACTCAGAAGGTTGAGCCCAGGAGTTCGAGGCTGCAGTGAGGTATCATTGCTCCACTGCACTTTAGCCAGAGTGACAGAGCAAGATAAAAATTTTAAAAATGCCAAGAACCTAGAAATCACCTGTATTTTGGAGGGCTTATTTAGAAAACTATGGAATGTATATGGCACATATAACCTACAAAATGATATAATTTTGCCTGAGTTAAACCTCTTCTTTCAAGTCATATAGCTGCCCTTCAGCCCTGACCCTCAATTTGTCATCTCTCAGACCTTGATTTTTGTAAAGCTTTAGGTATTTGGCAATATCGGTTTGGTCCTCCTTTAAACAACTAAGAAAGCCATTCTGGGTAACCAATTCTTTTGTAAAGGACCAATTCCAAACAAAGGAAGGGGGAGAGGCAAAAACATGAGGTAAGATAATGAATTATTTTAAATAATTTTAAGGCTAAGAATGGGAGATGGGACATAGGAGGGTATCATAGAAACAGTAAAAGGAAAGTGGGAAGATCATATTTCAAAGACATAAAAAAGTGTAAAGATGATGAGAGAAACTGTAATAAAATTGTCGAAGGAAGATCAGAGACAAGGCAAGCTAAGCGAGTTAAATAAAAAATAGAATTTGCATAAGAAGGGATTTAAAAGACTTGAAAAAATACAAAGTAAAAGATCTAATAAAGATTATTGGAAAACAAATGAACATGGCAACAAGGTTCTGCAAAGAATAATGAATGCATTACAGATTATAAAAGTACTGTGAGAAAAACATCAGAGAGAAACTGCATGGTGAATTAAAAAAAAAATCAGAGGAATCAAGAAGATGAAGACAAAAAGGATAAAAGTGTTGAGGAAGTGACAGATATTAAGACAATACACAGACGGCATGAGAGCACTACTCAGCATAGAAGAGCAAAAGTGGGTGATGGGTGTAAGGAAAATGTAAACTGCAAATAGGCTGAGTTTTTATTTTGTTTTTAAATCTACTGCAAAAGCATTTGATATTGCTTGAATGAGCATCAACAGGATGATAAAAGTATTCTTAAACTGTGATTAAGAGTTATTTATACATAAAAGCATCTTTTGCAATATTAGAAAAGTTATGTCAGGGACCCTTATATCACCATAAATATCCAACGAGATGATTCTGCCTGCATTCACAATTTAGCTACGTTATCAACCTCCCTGAAGAGGATCAAAAGAAAATGGTTGTGAACTTTTTCTTTACACATATGACATGAGTTTTAGGATATTTGAAAGAACAGGACTGAGTTCTAAGTATATTGCTATCAAAAATATGGTAGCACGTTCTCTTCTACACCACCCTTCCTCCAACTCCAAGACCCAAGCAAAATTATAAAGTCTGAAGAATTGCCTGCTCCACAATGCTCAGACATCCCTGTCTCATGTACCATGAGCGTTGACACCTATTTATCCAGGGTCTTTCTCTGGTACCCTTTACTTTGAACAATGCCCACATCAGTGCAGCATATCAGACGTCAAAATTGTAGGCCATTGCTTCCAGACAGAACATGAATTCTCTCTTCAATTAACAGTGGGTGGAGAACTCTCTCGATTCCACCATCTGATGGCCTTCTCATTATATTTTAAGAATCTTCTAAGTTTATAGTATTATGGAATTCTAGATTGGAAAGAGACTGGGAATATCAAATAATCCACACTATTATTTCACAGATGTGGAGAGATCAAGGCCAACAGTGGTGAAGTGACTTTCTTAATCCAGAAGGTGACACTCATTTATCAGAACCTCTCCTGGGTGCCCTATGAGAAAAAATATATTTTATTTAGATAGATTATACAAAAAAAACTCTTAAAACTGTCATAGGAGAGTAAAGGAATTGACATAAAAATTAAGCAGATATAGACTATTTGGCTTATGGAAAATCAAACATATTTCATTGCACTAAGCAAGTAGCTCCCAAACTTTCTTGATCTTCAGTGCTCACAATGTCTTAATAATTTTTTATAGCATACTTGGGCAAAAATAAAGACCTAACAGTTCAGTTTATTAAAGTAAATCCAAACACCTTAGCAAGTATTTATGTCTTAACAACTTATTAGCACTCTGAAGATATAATACACATAAAATAAAAATATATTCTTATTTCATTCTTATCCCTAAAACTGTAGTCACCTCTTATCCACAGTTACACTTTCTGCAGTTTCAGTTAACGCCCTCAGCTGTGATCTGAAAACATTACAGTATTTTGAGAGAAAGAGGAGAAAACATTCATATAATTTGCATTACAGTATGTTGTTATAATTGTTCTAACTTATCATTAGTTACTGTTTCTAATCTCTTACTGTGCCTAACTTACAAATCAAACTTTATTAGAGATATGTATGTGTAGGAAAAAACACAGTATGTTTATGGTTTCATACTGTCCGCGGTTTCAGGCATCCATCGGGGGTCTTGAAATGTATTTCCTGTGGATAAGGGGGCACTAGTCTATTTGGGGTTGGCATGTGAGCACTGTTAGGCACTGCACGACTTCTCAAACCTTAGAGTCAAATTGCATACAGCCATCTTCACTTCCTGTTCCACCCCAATTTTCATCCCATATTTGCTTTTTATCAAACCTGCTACAAACTAAACTTCACAAATAAAGGAAGGTGCCATGACATGGTATGGAGTACCTCTGCACAGTGTTTGGGAAATACAGGTCAAAATCTTCTCTTTGATCTTAGAGGAGTATTTCTCTTCCTTAATGGTGACAAAGACGAAGGGATTAAACCCTAACGACACATCAAAAGTATTTTTCTATTCTATTCTATTCTATTATGCCAAAAAGCCCTTTGGGGTCTCTATTTTATAAGTTGCATAAGAATTTCCTAACTAGCCTGCTCAGTTGTCTTTAGAATTGGAGTCAGTCAAGGTCTGGAGCAAAACTTTAAAAATCTCCAACTAGAGTCAAACCATTCAGTGTATATTCAGGATTTGTTTGTTTTCTTTGTTTTGATGAAATTCCAAAGCAGGAGGCAAAAAAGCACATCCTATAAAATAAAGAACAATTTCAGCTGAATTTCTGTTAATGACCTAATAGGTCTTCATAATATTAGTGGAGTAATTTCCCCTCTCATACCTGATTTGATCCTCACAACAATCATATAAAAGGCAAAGGCATCATTAGTATTTCTATTTTACCTACCATGGTTTTATAAGAATGATAGTAAGTAATCAGTACATTCATTGATAAATCAAAAGGTTTTATTGAGTACTTTGCCTGTATTCGGCAATATGCCAAAAACTGCAGCATTCAAGAGGAGTATAAAACATGCTTTCACCCCTAAAGAAGACCTTGTACTAGCTGTTGAAAGATGGTCTGTATACATTCAAAAATTAATAAGTTTATAGAAAGCAATAGTGACAATAACTTTATAGAACAATTAATGAATGAAACAACCTGGCAGTTGTGCAGTGCTGACAATAAATACAAAGTGAGTTAAACCACAAAGAGACCAATGTGGCTGCAGTGCTCCTGCAGTACTGAGCTTTATGCTCAGTACTAAGGTCACCAGTAAAGAATCTCAAGGACGCTCCAAGTTCACTTACCTGATTTATGTCTGGAATAACTGGGAGGACTCAAATGAAAGTGAAGAGCATGGTTTTTAATTTCAGTTTTTATATTGCTGCAGTCAACAACAATATAGTGTAGTAGACAAAGTTGCTTGTCACTTTATCAATCTTCATATTGCAATCAAGAAGTTCTAACCCTAAGCAAATAGAAGCAAGTAGATGAATTCTTCCCAGTAATCAACTAAAAATATCTTCAGATTTTATTTAATATAACTATAATGGGGGCAGGAAAATGGGCAAATATATTGGAATGATGAATAAAAAGGAATCCCGGAGTCGTACCTTATTTCAATGAAACTTATTATATCTTAAAGATCAGGGATGAGTAATATAGAACAGACAATAAACAACTGCAGGGTCACTTTCAGACACAATCTGGGTCGGCCTCCAGGTTGAAAGGAAACAGCACATAACTCAGGTATACTTGAGAGAACACATTTTGGCTCACCACCAAGAGGCTGGATGGTTTAAGGTACAGGTGAAAGGTCTTTACCCCCACAATTAGGTCAACAATACAGTCATGGCAAAAACAAAAAACAACAAAAAACAAACAAACAAAAACCCTTCTCAAATACTCTAAGCTGATTGTCTGCTTCTTCTTGCCACTTAAATGTGATATTGTCCACAGTTAGACACTTTGTGCTCCCTTTCCTCCTCTCATTCTACACTGTCTTCCTTGGCCATATCATACACTCCCACATCTTTAGCTACTACCTAAAATTTAGATTCTAAACAAGAAAGATGCCAACTTTGACCTTTAACCCATACATACTCATCTGAATATTTGACATCTCATTTTATTTTTCTCTTTAAACACCCTTCTTTCTTTCCTTCTTTCCTTCCTTCTTTCCTTCCTTCCTTCCTTCCTTTCTTCTTTCATTTCTTCCTTTTTCCTTCCTTCATCCTACCTTCTCTCTCTTTCTTCCTCTCTTTCTCTCCTTCCTTCCTTCCTTTCCCTCTTATTACCAAGATCTCTCTCTATTCTAGCCTCTTCCTTGCTTTACACTCACAATTTTCCCCCTCACTTCCACCATGGTGGTGCTTATTATTATTATTACTATTTTCATTATAAACTATTAAAATATATGTAATATTCATTCATATATTTAATTACAAATGATTATTTTTGCTAGCAAACAAATATAAAAAAAAGTAACATTTAGCCACATTTGCTGCATATCTTTTTTACACAAAAATTAAAGTAGCATAGTTTTTATTATTTGATTTTAAATTTGTATTCTAAAATTTTAATATGATTTGGTTATTCCCCTGACAAAAACTGAAAGATAACATCACAAACTCTTTTTCTTTTTTTTTTTTTGAGACGGAGTCTTGTTCTGTCCCCAGGCTGGAGTGCAGTGGCACAATCTCAGCTCACTGCAACCTCTGCTTCCCGGGTTCAAGCAATTCTCCTGCCTCAGCCTCCCGAGTAGCTGGGACTACAGGCACGTGCCACCAAGCCCAGCTAATTTTTGTATTTTTAGTAGAGATGGGATGTCACCATGTTGGCCAGGATGGTCTTGATCTCTTGACCTTGTGATCCACCTTCTTCGGCCTCCTGAAGTGCTGGAATTACAGCCGTGAGCCACCGCGCCCGGCCAACATCATAAACTCTTTCACATAACTTACCGCCCTATCATGATCTTTCTCCCCTCTACCTCCTCCTCTCTAGCCTCACTTTGGCCCACCTCCAAGGTGCCCTGTCCTCCTACCTACCAAACCGCTAGCAACACCTTTGCATGGGCTGCTCCTTTTACTGGAAATATTCTTTCCCATGGTATTCAGCTTACCTTTCAAAACTTAACTGACACCTACATAACAAAACAAGTGGTATAAAACATATACACACCAAATCTTTCTACCTCTAAACCTCATCTATATTTGTTTTAACATATCCTAGAGTAAGTTTGTGTGATGAGGATGGAGCAGACGCAAAAGGTCATCTGGTGCAATGGATACTAAGAAAAGAAGGTACTTGATCCCGTGCGCATATAAAAAAATCAAGCAGGCAAAAAAAATTCACAAAACTCCTGGGACACCCGGGAACCAAGGACAGAGGTCAGGGGGCTGAAGGGAGACAACACCTATAATAATGATCAAGATAACAATCTCTGAGGTCAGACTTTCAGAATTCAATTCTAACTCCACCACTCTCCTGCCAGGTAAGATTAAGCGAGTTATGCATCCTCTGTGCTTTGGTTTCCTCATCTAAAGAGGACACCTCCTGCATATGATTGTTGTAATGGTTAAATATGATAATCCATATCAAACTGATGGAAAGAAGTTGACACATAGTAAACTTTAAATAAGTATCAGCTAGTATTTTCATTACTCATTACATAGCCAAAGATGAGTAAAACAATGACTTGCTGTGAAACAAGCTAGTCTGATAAAATTCAGATCTTAGACCACAAAAAAAGGAGGAAATCACACAGAAACTTTTTGGAGAAATACAGTTTTCAAAATAATATGCTGGAAATAATTTATTATTATAAAATGGTATATGATAGAAAGGGCACCCCATGAATTAATTTTTTTTTTAAAAAGCTAATGCTGGGTGCAGTGCCTCATGCCTGTAATCCCAGCACTTTGGAAGACCAAGGCAGGGGGATTGCTTGAGCAAAGGAGTTCAAGACCAGCCTGTGCAACAAAGTAAGACCTTGTCTCTACAAAAAAGAATATAATTAGCCAGTAATTGAATTGTTTGTAACACAAAGGATAAATGCTTGGAGAGATGGATACCCTGTTCTCCATGATCTGATTATTTCACATCACATGCCTATATCAAAATATCTCATGTACCCAGTAAATATATACACCTACTGTGTACCCACCAAAATTAGAAATTTAAAAATTTTGAAAAAGTTAGCCAGGCCTAGAGGCACACACCTGTAGTCCCAGCTACTCGAGAGGCTGAAACAGGAGGATAGCTTGAGCTCAGGAGGATAGCTTGAGCTCAGGAGTTTGAGGCTGCTGTGAGCTATGATCAAGCCACTGCATTCCAGCCTGGGCAACAGAGCAAGACCCTATCTCAAAAAATAAAATAAAATAAAATAAAAGTTAAATTCAACTTTAAAAAAAGAGGTTTTGAAAGACATTTTCTAAAGGAAAAGATAACAGACCTTTAGCTTGGTATTGAAGACACAGTGATAATGAATGAAAGCTATCTGGACAAATTTGTCAACCCCTCTTTGGCTTTCAAATAGGATAAACTTCAAGATAGATAGATAGATAGATAGATAGATAGATAGATAGATAGATAGATAGATAGATATAGAAGAAACATCGTTAAGGGGAAATTGAAGTCTAAGAGAAGTAAGGAGCTGAGCTCAAAGTACTGAGATCCCTAAAATATGAGCAGGAAACTTTGAAAATGCAACTTTATGATTGGGAGAGAATGAAATTGAGATAATGCAATTTCAAGGAGTAGAAAAAGGTAAATTGTTGAAATTATTAAAAGTGAGTTTGATACCCATTCCGCTCCACAGTTTAGAACTCACCAATGAAAGAGTGTTCTGTGAGCATTTAGAGAGGAAAGCAGGATTTACTGAGCTATTTGACTGTATCTGTAGAAGAAGACTGTCTAGGACAAGGGAAGAGAGAGAAACACTCCATCCTGGGCCATAAATTCACTTTGGGACACCATCTCTTCAGTGTGATAACCTGGAGGTCATTCAAAATAGAATATCAAAATAGTGGACATGTTCAAAGCAACATTGTAAGAGAAGGAATAGCATAATCAAATTGTTGCTGTTTTGCTATTTTTTACAGTTTATTATTTTTAAAATGTAAATTTCTGTATAATTTTAAATATTAGAACTAAACATTTATGGGAATCAGTGTTAACTCTTCCCCCCTTCTTTGTTAAGTTTTCATTTTATTTTTAATAGCTTCATTCAGATATAATTAACATGCCATACAACTTACCCATGTAAAGTAGATAATTCAATTTTTTTAGTGTACTCACAGAATTATATCACCATTATCTCAATAAAATTTAGAACATTTTTATCATATATCTCTTGTTTTGACAGATATCTCATTGAATAAGTAGGTCAGTATGAGAAGTATTGCCATTTTGACAATATGAAATCTATTTTGACAATATGGAGTCTTTTCATCATGAACATGGAATATTTTCTTTATTTATTTAGAACTTCTTTAATTTCTTTAAAAAATGTTTTGTAGTTTTCAGAGTAAGTTTGCACTTTTTTCATTAAATTTATCCCTAAGCATTTTATTGTATTGTTTTCTCAATTCCATTTCCAGATTGCTCATTGCATGTGTATAAATATACAATTGATTTTCACATACTGATTTTGTACACCAATCTTGATGAACTTGTTTATTAGTTCTAATATATTTGTGATGCATTCCTTAAGATTTTTCTGCATACAAGATTTTGTCATCTGATTTTGGGGAGAAAGCATTCAGTCTTTCACCATGAAGTATGATGCTGTCTATGAGTTTTTCTTAGATGACTTTTATCAGGTTGAGGAAGTTCCCTTTAATTTATAATATGTTGAGTGTTTTGATCATAAAATTGTATTACATATTATTAAATTTATTATTATGTCTATTAAGATGATCATATCATATCTGTTCTTTATTCTGTTGTTATAGTGTATTACATTAATTGATTTTTGAATGTTAAATCTACTTTGCATTCCAGGGATAAATCCCACTTTGTCAGGGTGTATAATTGTTTTATATGTTTCTGGAATTAGTTTGACTATATTTCCTTGAGTATTTTTTGTGTTCATATTTATAAACAATGGTGGTCTGTAGCTTTTTTTTCTTTAGATGTTTGTTTTTCTCTGGTTTTGGTATCAGAGTAATACTGACTTCATAGAATGAGTTGAGAAGTGTTTCTCCTCTTACATTCTTGGAAAAGTTTGTGAAGAATTGATTTTAATTCTTTAAATGTTCACGAATGAAGTCATCTAAGTCCAGAGCTTTTCTTTGTTGGCAGCTTTTGATTACTTGTTCTTGGTCTATCCTACATTCTGTATCATTTATATTCTATATTGTCTACTTCTTCAAAAGTCATTTGGAATCGTTCGTTTATTTTCTGGTACTTGTGTATTTCATGTAAGTCATCTAATTTATTGGCATGCAGGTGTTCAAAATATTGCTTTATTATTCCTTTTGTTTGTGTATAGTTTGTGATAATGTCCCATCTTACATTTATGAATTTATGATTCCATTAGTTTTACATGTTTTGTTATCTCCCCATCTCCCCCTTCTCAAGGTTTGTCCATTTTGTTCATGTCTTCAAAGAACAAGAGTGGAATTCACTGATTTTATCTATTTTATTTTTAATATTCTTCACTTCATTTCCACATTAGTTCTTATTATTTCCTTCTTTTTGCTTGCTGTAGGGTTTGTTTGCTCCTCTTTTTCCAGTGTCTTGAAGTTGAAGATTGTGTTATTAATTTGAAATCTTTCCTGTTTCTTAGGAAAGGCATGTAGAACTGTAAATTTACCTTTAAGCACCTATTTAGCTGCACTCTACACATTTTGATGTGTTGTGTCTTTATTTTCATTCAGAGTATTTTGATTTCCTTTTTGACTTTTTTCTTTGACCCATTGGTTATTTAGGAGTCTGTTGTTTAATTTCCACATATTTGTGAGTTCCCCAAATCTTTTTCTGTTATTGATTTCTAATTTCATTACGTTGTGAATGGAGAACATACTTTGTATTATTACTATTATTTAAAATTTATTGAGCTTTTTCTTTCTTTTGTTCCTTCTTTTCTTTTTCTGATTTTTATTGGGTAGAGTGTTCTAAAGACATCATTAAGTGTAATGAATTTATGTTGCTGTTTTAATCTTCAATTTCCTTGTTGATATTTAGGCCAGCTGTTCTATCCATTAATGAAAGTAATGTATTAAAATCTCTAAATATTATGGTAAATTTCCCCTTTTTCCCTTCACTTTGGTAAGGTATTTTCTTTATGTATTTTGATTATTTGTTCTTCAATACATGCATATTTTCAATTGTTATACCTTCCTGATCAATTTATCCTTTTATCCTTATAAAAGTCCCATTTTTATCTCTAGTGACATTTTGTTTTAAAGTCTATTTTGATTTATACTACTATAGTCGCTATAGCTATCTGTAATTACTTTTTACATGATAAATTTTTTTCTAACCTTTTACTTTTATCTTTGAATCTAAACTGTGTCTCTTGTAAATAGTATATAGTTTTTTTAAATCAAATCTGATGAACTCTGCCTTTTAATTGGATTGTTTAATCCATTCACACTTGTTATTTTTTACATAATTTGATTTACACCTGCCATTTTAATTATTGCTTTACATGTCTCTCATATCTATTTTGTTCCTCTTCCCCCTATTGCTTTCCTTTTCCTTAAGCAAATATTTTCTAATAAGGCACTAAATTTCTTTAGTAATTTGCTCTCTTTTTTTTTTTTTTTAAGGAACTTCTTTGTGGCTATTCTACAGCTTCCCACATACATCCTAACTTATCAGAACCAGCTTCAGGTTTACACTACCTTATTTCCATTAAGACATATAAATATTATTCCTATATATTTCTATTTATTTTTCTTATTTCTGTGGTATTACTGTTACACACATTATATCTAATAATGGTACAGATCCAACAATATATTGTTATAATTATTACTGTGTATAATTTTATGTCTCAAAGAAGCTGAGAGGAGGAAAGAAAGTAAGAAGAAAAACTTAAATAAGAATGTTCACATTCTTATTTAAGATTTCTAATTATCTTCATTACTTCTTGTGGATTTTAAAGTTGCCATCTGGAGTCATTTCCTCAGCCTAATACAACTTTACTCCCACCTATTATATCTTCTTTTATTTGTTCAATAATGGCTTCCTTTAGTTATTTAAACATATTTATAATGGCTACTTTTGTTGTCTTTTTTCTCTTAAATCCAACTTCTGGTCACTCTCATAGGCAGTTTCTGTTGCATATTTTTTTTTGTTCTAGTATATGGGTCATATTTTTATATCTGTGTAGCTCATAATTTTTTGTTTTTGGAAACTGGACTATATATATATATTTCTTGGGTGTGTGTGTGTGTGGTTTTTTTTTTTTTTTTTTTTTTTTTGAGGGAGCCTCGCTCTGTCACCCAGGCTGCAATGCAGTGGTGGATCTTGGCTCACTGCAACCTTCACCTCCTGGGTTGAAGAAATTCTCCCACCTCAGCCTCCCGAGTAGCTGAGATTACAGGTGCCCACCACCATGGCCGGCTAATTTTTGTATTTTTAATAGAGATGGGGTTTCACCATGTTGGTGAGGCTGTTCTCAAACTCCTGACCTCAAATGATCCACCTATGATCTGCCTGCCTCAGCCTCCCAAAGTGCTAGGGTTATAGGAGTGAGCCACCACACCCTGCCTAAAATATATTATTTTGATAACTCTGGGTATTGCCTCTCCCCTGGGGCTTATTATTGTTGTTTGCTTATTTATTTTTTCATGACTCATTATTTTAGTGACATAGCTTTTCCTTCCACAGTGTTAAGCTTCTGATGATGCTCCTCAGTGAGGTGCAGCTTAGGATAGGTCTCAGAGTTTCCAGATAAAAGTATGTCCCAGTCAAACCTTGCTGTCAACCTTGTGGGACCTTAAACAATGAATCCAGCTGATACGGTTTTGTCAGTTTCCCCGCCCAAATCTTATCTTGAATTCCCACTTGTTGTGGGAGGTAATTGAATCATGGGGGCAGATCTTTCCTGTGCTGTTCTCATGATAGTCTCATGAGATCTGATGGTTTTATAAGGTGGAGTTTCCCTGCACAAGTTCTTTTTTTGCCTGCTGCCATCCATGTGAGATGTGACTTGCTCCTCTTTGCCTTCCGCCATGATTGTGAGGCCTCCCCAGCTATGTGGAGCTGTGAGTCCAATTAAACCTCTTTCTTTTGTAAATTGCTCAGTTTTGGGTATATCTTTATTGGCAGCATGAAAACAGACTAATACACCAGCCAAACCCACTGCAGTTTCTTACTTGCAGAACCGTGAGCTAATACGTGGGTTTTGTTTAAGTCCCTTGTGCATTAGTAGTTATTTCTCAACTGTTAACAGAAAATGAATGCAATGATTAAACAGTCTTCAGTACTGTCCTCCTCTAATCTATTCTCCAAGCTGCTTTTAGAGAATTCTTTCTAAAAACAAAATCTGATTGTAATCCTTCCCTGCTTCCCATTAGCTTTAAAATAAAATTTAAACAGTGTAATGTCCAAGGCCTTACCACAAGTCACCTATGCTTAAATCATATGGTAAAGTTAAGCTCTCATTTACCTCCATGTTATTGCACATAAAATATCTTTATCTTGCCTGCTTCAACTGGCTAACTCTTACTTTTTTCTAAAGATTCAGTTCACTCATGACCTCTTCTAAACTTCATGATACCCATAGCATCCTTTACATATCTATATCACAACACAAAATATTGTGTTCAGATTTTCTATTGTTACTACAATCAGACTAAGAACAGATATTTCTGCCTCTGTGTTTTAATTACTAGTATAGTGGCTGACCTCAATAGATGTTCAATAAGTTTCCATTGAATTTTTAATATATATTAATCAAATATTGAAAAAAATTTAATTGTAGCCTCAATCACCCCTTGAGCCCCAAATATGTTTATCAAACAGCTTACTCAGCAACTTTCTTGAGTATATATCTAAAAACAGCATATTAAGCTTAGTATATCTAGAAAATAACTCTTTATTCTACCCATTCAACACCACAAACCTGCTTCTACAGCGGACTTTCCATGTCAGTAAATGACAACAAAGTGTTTTTAGGTGCTTAAGATGAAAACACAGGGTGCTGGGCGCAGTGGTTCATGCCTGTAATCCCAGCACTTTGGGAGGCTGAGGCGGGTGGATCATCTGAGATCAGGAGTTTGAGACTGGCCAACATGCAGAAATCCTGCCTCTACTAAAAATACAAAAATTAGCCGGGTGTGGTGGCACTTGCCTGTTATCCCAGCTACTTGGGAGGTTGAGGCAGGAGAATTGCTTGAACCCAGGAAGTGGAGGTTGTGGTGAGCCGTGATCATGCCATTGCACTCCAGGCTGGGCGACAGAGTGAGACTTGTCTCAAAAAAAAAAAAAAAAAAAAAGAAAGAAAGAAAAAGATAAAAAGATAAAAATACAGGGGTTGGTTTTAATGCCTTACTTTCTTACATATAAAATATCTATCCTATTTGTAGGATATTAGCATATTGTATTGTCTGTACCTTCAAAATATATCCTGACCACAGCCATGAAGAGCATCCTCAACCACACCATCTTTATTTCTCACTTGGAAAACAGAAGCAGCTACTAACTGGTGTCCCTGCTGGGTATCCTCTATTTGACACTCTATAACCAGAGCATCTTTTAAAAAACATCTGTCAGATCATGTCATTCCACTGCTCAAAACACTCCTATCCCTTTATATGGAGTTTAAAATAAAATCTTAACTCTTTACTCTTGTTATTTAGTTACTACACAACCTGCTCTTTATCTCTTTACTTCTATGACTTTATCTAGTATCACTTTTCCTTTATTTACTAAACTCCAGCCACACATGTTCTCTTCATACAGCCTTGGGACATTCTGTTTCTTCTACCTAAAATACTCCTTTCCACAACATTGCTTGGTTGTGTACTTCTTATTGTTCAGATCTTAGCTTAAATGTCACATTTTCAGGAATACAGTTCCTGACCACTTAGTCTAAAAGAGCCCTTGAATCACTTACCCATCATTCCATTTTATTTTATTCATATCACATAAATAACTGATAGATTTTCTTGTTTGTTTATTTACATCCCTCTGACACACATGCACAATACATACACATATGCTGAAATATTTTTGCTATGAAAGCAGACACCTAGGCCATCTGGTTTAATGATGTTCCTATCTTTCAGAAAAAGGGACAAAATAAGCACTTAATGTTTGAATGAAATAATTATTGCCATCAGTGTGGATGCAAGGTCATTACATATGGGAGCACGGTGCAGAACCTGGTCAACCATTCTCAGGAGGCAGCCCCCCAGAAGTAAAGCACACTAAATAAAACCCTTTCTTATAATCATGATTTAACATTCTTAAGAATGCTATAGAGCCATATATAAGGAGTGAGTGGAAAATTTTCATTTTAATTCCTTTTCCGCATATGCTCAAGATTACATTATTTATTACCTTGGCAAAAGTCCTGATCACTCTCATATTAGAACCATGGCAAGTATTATATTTGCAGGAAGGTAGGGTGGGAGATGAGTAGTTGATTTATTCAGGAGTATAATATAATTACACTAATTATTGTCTTATAATAAATTAGTAGCAATCAAGTTTTGTAATGAAGATGTTCAGTCCTTTTAGTCTGGGAACCAGAGGAATGAAATTCATTGAGCAATCTATAAAACAGACATATTCAGTATTTTTTTCTAAAAGCATACCTAGCTAATGTTGGCATAAGAAAAAGCTGGTCATAAACACCACTATGAATCACTCAAATTATACAACCTGAATTTTAACTCTAAAAACACCCTCTAAACTCTAAAACAAATGAAGTGACTACAGTCATAGATATATAGATTGCCAAGAAAATGTGTATTCACACAGAAGGACTATTTAGTGGATTAGGAGTTCCAGAATCATTGGCATAGGAGTGGAAGGTTTTATTAGGGAATATTTTCGTGACAAATGTAAAAAAAATGGAACTTCAGTCATCATGTAGTAATATTGTCTAGAGGAAGACATTAGTGGATCTGGTGTTAGATAATCAGTTCGTGCCTTCATAGTTTTGTACGAGTCTATTAAATTCGGAAAGCCTTAATATCTCCTTCTATAACACAAAAACAAAACAACTACAAAAATGTTCCTTCCTATCCCATGTGAAAGGTGGAGGTGCAAATGAAAAAACATATGATATAATATTGTAAGTTGCAATGCCTTATTAAAGGTGAGCTATGAATTTTGAGTAATAATGATACACCGATTTGTTAGACATTGAGCACCCAAATGCATGGAAATAGTCCAACCCATTTATGACACAGCAGAGATTGCTATGAAAATTCAATAAAAATTACATGGAATAACGGCTATTCTAATATTACATTTGAGCCTGCTAACTTTTACACCTCAGAGACACTGAGGCCCTGAGATCAAAGGCTAGCATGAATGTCAATAGTTAAAACAACAGATTACAAGGTTGTAAACCTTCAGACCCCCATCTTCAGATCTTGAGAGTACTGTATATCTGAAGAGTTCCTCCCTGCTCCTGAATGGGTCTTTAGCCATAAGGTTATACCTGTACTGTAGCCTTTTCTTTGTTCTCTCTCCATTTTCCCTCCATGTGGCATTTCTGTTACAGCATATAAGTCCCTAGAGGCCTAAGCATCAGTAGTCACAGCTGTCATGAGTGATTTCTATAAAGCATTTCAGGGTGAAAGGTGCTTCATCCACCTACAATGCTATCATTATCAGTCATCTCAGAAAAATCAGAGCTGAGCCTCCTTCCTGTGTGATAGCAGCTGAAAACTGCTGATCTCTTCTTGATATGGATTTCTTGATTGTTAACCTAGAATACAATGTATATTGCTTTGATATAAAATGCATGCAGAAAAGCTTCTTATTTGAAGGATTAAAAGTAAAATCTAGTTTTGTTCTCATTTCCTTCTGTTCTATTTGAACAGCAGGAGTACAGACTTATTTTTACTATCCTTCTGCTTAGAGCAATGGGATTTTGATGTTAAACAAAAGAAGGGATTTATTTTAAATATCTAGGCCTAAACCAAGCAAGGAACAAGGGCTACGAGTCAGTGACATGAAAATTGGACTTCGTTACATTAGAAGCAACTCTAGATATTTTTTCCCTAATTGATTCAGCAACTGCAGAAAAGTTCATTTACTATAATCAATATTACTTTACATTGTGCCTCAATCAAAAACTACTTTTCCATGGTCAATAGCAATTAGACAAATGGATAGAAATGACAGCATTGATGGTGATAGACTTCAAGATTTATACCTGCCATTCTTTTAAAAAATAACGCCAGGGAAGAAACAGCTAATTGCATTATATTGAATTGGAAACCTTTTAGAAACAACCTAGAAAGGGCTTTGAAAATAAGTCAGAAATATCCTAGGTCAGGAAGCTGAGAAAAAAAAGATATATCTAAACCTTTCTTGCTAATGTTTTATTAAGTTAATCAAGATCTAACAAATGATAGGAAAAACAAGGAAACAAAACCAAGAAGGACACAAGTGGGATATAAATTGGTACCTCATAGGAATGTTCTAAGAAATGAAACAATTTCACCTGAAAGGCCTTTATAAATAGTAGTCTTTGGTTTTCATGAAGAACCATGGTTTGTGTCCAACGGAAAGTTAGTAAGGAAAAAAGGCAAACTATAGCAGGAGGCATACTAAACATAAGTGTTAAGAAATGAGTGAGCACCTGTAAAGAACCAAATGACTTGTCTGAATGAACAGAGAAAACTATTTACCTTCTGGTGCAGTGCATGTTAATCCAGCTATGTGCATGCATCCCACATCTCACATGCTGGCTGCTTTGTGATGGGCATTCTCATTTTTCTCTTTGATGCATTTCAAAACCTATAGTGGATGCTTTAGACCAATACTTCCAGGAGAACAAAATTGCAGTAGTACAGAGGGAAAGTTCATTAAGCATTGTTAGAATCAAGATGGGGTGAGTTAAACTAAGGACGGTACAGGCAGTGGAAGCCAGAGAAGCACTTGCAGTGGAGCATGAGGAGTTGCAGCAGAAAGAGATGGAGGCTGGGGTGGAGACTTCACTGCCACAAAAAGAGGTCATTAGTGTGTACGCAAGGTCATTAGGTATGGGTGTACAGTGCACAACCTGCTCAACCATCCACAGGAAGCAGCTACCCAGCAGTAAAGCACACTCAATACAACTCTTTCTTACAATAATGATTTAATATTATATCACAGTTTAATTTGATCAAAACACTATGACAGCAAGACTATGTGACCAAATCTAAATTACATAAACTCAGCAGTTGGTAAAGTGGCAAGGTCCTGGAACAGGGTATGCAGATGAAGTCTAATGGATAGTATATCCCAAATTACTATAGGACACTAAGTCTTGGGGAATATTAATATTAGAAGAGCATAACTGTATCACAACCAATGTAACTTTCTTATTTTTCTGGGGATTTCTCTCTTCAAACTAGTAGTCCTTCCAAAAAAAAAAAAACCTGGTGGCTAGTATGAAATATAACATATTATATATATAATATATAATACTATAATAAAGTATATATTAAAATAAAAAATAGTCTGGTAGTTAATATATCCCTGCAACCCAAATTACTAGAGGACACTAAGCCTTGGGGAATACTAATGTTAAAAGGGCATAATTGTATCACAACCAATTTAACTTTCTTATTTTTCCAGGGATTTCTCTCTTCAAAATAGCAGTCCTTAAAAAAAAAAATACCTGGAAACACCAATCTCGTACTTTTGCTTTCTGATTTGTAGAAGTTTTTGGACTGTGTTACAAATGCCTACAAAATACTCACACTTTCTTCTCTCATCTTGCTGAAGCAACCCTTAACTTTCTTTGACCATACACCTTCTAGCATCTATTCTTACCATCCCTCTCCATCCATTATCCTCATAGTGCTCAGAAAAATCCTTCAAACATATAATGAATTGGATAATACTATTGTCCTATCTGAACCATTTCAATAACTTTCAGTTATACTTCAATATGATTCCAGGATCGTACTAATGGGTCTGAAATGGCCTGCAAGATACACTTCTCCCATAGCCTTAGCTCATATTATTCCCCCTAGTTTATGGTTCTCAATGCAGTAAGCACTTCTTTACCTGAGGAACTTATCCTCTCAATCTCCCTTTCCTGCCTTTCTGTTAAGAGCCGTCCCTAGTATCTGGGAAGCTATGAGACAATCTTTCTTAGCGTATGATTTATGGGTATTTGTCCTGGAAAAGAGCAGAATTAGCCAGAAGCCCTGATAATCTCCCATATTTCTTTTATTTGATGTAAATAGTTATCTATGAGCACTGCACTTTGATTCCTAATAGTGTGGTTCATTGATGAGCTTCTGATGAGATTTTAAGAAGCCCCACGAGGCAAGAAAGAAGGGAGACAGATGGAAAACAAGCAATTATAAGTGTAGTGATGAGTAGGAAAAATGAGAAAAGATCCATTTAGAAATAGTAAGTTTTAGAAAGCTAAGGAAAGAGATTGTTATCTATAGCAGGAGAAACCTAAGGAAGTAATGAATATAAAATTCCAAAATTAAAGTACCAGTGGACCTGAAAAGTCAAAGATGAATGACTAAACATGATATAAATACACAGAGAGAGACAGAGAATGCAAGCAAATGAATGAGAGAGTCCAGTGTGAAATACTCTTAATAATATTTTTACTTATATAAGAATAAGAGAATAAAAAAAGCTAATTTTGAATCTTTGTAAAAAGTTGATTCCTAAAATTTTGACCTGTTATAAAATTAGCATTGATTCCAAGTTCTCATTGGTCCAACACTCAGCCACATGAACATTCTCGTTGTGTCTCAAAGGGACAAAATAGATGTTAGTACTTCAGGCAGGTTTGTTTTCCTTCAATTATGCTATTTACTTTCTGCAATGCAATGACTTTCATCAACGATCTTTTGTTAAAAATAAAATGCTGTATGTACAATGCACACACAACTCGTTGAAAACAGGACAGAGCTTTTACTATTTTAACTTCACTTAGGCATCCAGTACAAGTCTGCTCTTATGTTAAGCTATACTGTGTTCCTACCTTCTCATTTAAGAGTGACATGGAGATCCAATTTGTAAGCATCCAGTTGAATGCAGAGGCATTCATGTCTTGTGAGGACATACACAAGTGTAGTAGGCATGAATGGGTTTGCTGTGCTTGTCACAGTTCATTGGAAGCTGAAGATGAATCAACAACAAAGAGGACATTTTAAATTATCATTTTGATTTCAATTTACTGCTACACCCACAAGTCTCTCTAAGTAATAGAGCAAATAAATAATCACTCTACAACAGGAAAACCACTCATCCTTTACACAAACCAAGACGACTGCAGTAATTACTGGGGACTTGAATAGGGCTAAATTGTCAACTAAAAATGATAACAAGCAGTATGAGTATTACGACTCCAAAATTGAGCTTGTAGAATTTTTAATTTTGCTTTATTTTGTTCTTTTCTTCTACTGAGAATTATGAAACAATATGATCAGAACAGAGTTCTGATATAGTTTCTGAAACAATTCACTTGGAAAAAAAACTAGAATATGAAAAAATTCTCTGAACCAGAATAACCTTTTTTATTCCAGTACTTTCAGTTATATTTTATATAATCAGAATATATTGCCAAACATACACATATGGATTTCTGTGGGCTAATGATTATGTGTGTATGTGTTCACCAAAGTTTTGGGATACCTGCTATATAACAGATCTCAAATATTTCATTTACTCTTTACAAAAAAACAGTTAAATGGGTATTACAATTCCTAATTTAGGGAAGAAGGAAGGGAGATTTAGTTAAAATAACTAGACTCAATGAACACAGCTAAAGGGTGATGAAGGTGATATGCAATTTGTACCCAGGAATTTTGGCCCCTGTTATGGGTTAAATTGTGTTTCCCAAAAATAGATGTTGATGTCCTAATCCCCAGTGCCTGAGAATGTGAGCTTATACAGAAATAGGTTTGTTGACAGGGCACAATGGCTCACGCCTATAATCCCAGCTGCTCGGGAGGCTGAGGCAGGAGAATCACTTGAACCTGGGAGGCAGAGGTTGCGGTGAGCTGAGATCGCGCCATTGCACTGCAGCGTGGGCAACAAGAGGAAGACTGTCTCAAAAAAACAAGAAAAGAAAAGAAAAGAAATAAATTCATTGCAAATGAGTTAGATTAATTAATTAAGATGAGGTCATACTGGAGTAGGGTGACCATTAATCCAATATGACTGGTGTCTTTATAAGAAGACACAAGGGACACAGAGACAAAGGACAAAACAAGTGGGAGATTTAAAAAATGTCCATTGTTTTAATCCACTCAGTCTATGATACTTTGTTATTGCAGCTCTAGAAAATGAATATAACCCCCTGAACCAGTGTTCCTTCTCCTGTGGCACACTGCCTCCACTTCTTAGGAATGAAGTGGGACCAAAGGAAGTTTGAAACCATGGAAATGATTTTACTCTAAAGTTTTCTATAACTTCCAAATGCTTGTCTTCTCTCTTCGTTCTCCCTTTTTATCTTCCACTTTATTGGTCAGACATGGAGATAAGCACTATGCACACATTATTTTATTTTATTCTAGCAATAGCAAAAGGATAATTGCTACAATTATTATCTATATATTATAAATGAAGAAACTGAGACTTAGAGATTCAAACTTGCCAAAGCTTATAAATAAAGTAAGTTATGGAACTGGGATTCAAAGCTGAATCTATCTGATTTCAGAGCCCAAATTCAAGCCATCTTCTCCTACTGCATTATTTCAGTCTACTTCAGGCCATGACAGTATACAATTCACTGTTTATACTTTTGAATAAAAGTAAACAAAAGTAAATGGAAGCAACCTCTAAAAAGAATGGCTAAGAAAATTATTTCCTGTGGAACCTTCTGGAATAGGATGCAGAAAGAACAAATATTTGGTGCCAGCTTACACTGTATTAGGTAAAAGGTTAAATTGAATTTACATATTTTCTTATTTAATTCTCAAAATATAATTTAGGTCTATTGTGCAGGCAAAGCATTGAGGCTCAAAGAGACAAAGAAAATGACTCAGGATTATATAGAGTATACGTGAAGGAGGCAAGATTCAAATCTAGTACTTTATGCCTCATACTTTCCAGTTCCCCCTGAAGTAGATGAGAAGTTTATCACTAAAAGCAACTTAGTGCATTGTTTCTTTCATATCTGCCTCTCATTTTCCATACATATCTCTGTAGTATTTATAATTTTAGGTCTTCCAATGAACTCCTTCACTTTCTGGGTTTTTTTTTTTTTCAGAGATTTCTAAAATACCACCGGTTGCTTTTCACAGATGCCACATTCTGAAGAATTCGGGGGAATGCCCATATGTGTAGGGAAAGATGCCCAGCATACAAGGCAGTGGCTGTGCATGTTCTGCCAGGCCATAGGCATCAGTATTCCTTTCCAAAAAGCAATTGGAGAGGATCAACAGAACACCATTTATATAAGGAAACAAGATACGCTGGTTCCTACATTTCTATTCTCCCATCTATCAAAGACTATAGAAATGGTTGCTTGGTTAAGTTAGGAATGGAGGAAAGGCTGAGAAGTAGGAGTAAAATGATTCCGTACCCTAACATATCACTGACTGCTGTGAACTGAATTGTGTTCCCATAACATTCATATATTAAAGCTCTAACCTCCAATGTGAAGGTACTTGGAGATTAGTCTTTTGACGTGTAATTAGCTTGAGATGAGGTTATAAAAGTGGAGCTCTCATGATGAGATTAGTATCTTTATAAGAAGACATACCAGAGAGCTTATTTTCTCTCTGTTTCTCCTCCATGGGAAGACACAAGAAGGCAGCAGTCTTCAAGCCAATAAGAGGAATCTTGCCTCTGGAACTGTGAGAAATAAATTTCTGCTGTTTATGTCACCATTCTATGGTATTTTGTTATGATAGTCCAAGAAGACTAAGTCACCACCCAGTAGAAATTTTTGTGGTGATGACGAAAATGTTATATATCTGTGATGTTCAATATTATTGTCACTAGCCACATTTGAGTAATGTGGATGAAGAACTGAATTGTTAATTTTATTCAATTGTATTTAATTAAAATTTGTCTAGCTGTATTTGGCTAGTGCTTACCTTATTGGACAGTGCAGCTGTACAACAAAACACAGTCTTCTTGCAATTTGTCCCCCAAAGAAGACTGCAGTATAGCTGCCTGGTTGCATCGTTCCCATACATACTCACATCTGCCCCAACAGCTGGTCTTGCAGTGGCTATGTCCCACTGACAGACCACTGCAGAGCCACCCAGCATGAAAGGTGACCCAACAGCAGCCTCATCTCTCCAGAGAGACAGATGCCTGCCTAGCTGTGCCCATACATGTCAAGCTGGTCCTCAGCAGAAGATAACCATAGCACTGTCATCACAAATTTCTCACAGCCTAGGCCACTGAGGCAATTGCAGACATTGCTGACACAAAAGATGCTGACAGGGATTACAGCTAAAGAGACCGCACCATGCTACTGAGTGTACTCAGAACCAAATTGAATGCACCATAACCAAATAAAACCCCAGAATCCATCTACAGGAAAGCGCCTTCTCATAAAAGCTACTCCATAAAGATCACACCACTGCAATACAGCAGAGCAAAATCCCATTTCTAAATTAAATAAATAAGTAAATTTTTAAAAGGTACTGCATAAAATTGTAAAAAGTTTTTATTCCAACAGATATGCAGCTATCAATGTAAGGACACAAGAAATATGAATAATCAAGGAAACATGACACTCTACAAAGAATACAATAAGTCTCCAGTAAAGACCCCAAAGAAAAGAACACTAACAAAATGCCTGAAAATAAATTTAAAATAATGATCTTAAGGAAACTCATCGAGATACAAGGAAATATACGCAAATAATTTAGTGAAATTAATAAAACAATTCGTGGTCTGAATGAAAATCAACAGTCATAATTATAAAAAAGAAACAGAAACCTTGGGGCTAAATAATGCAGTAAATAAAATGAAAAACACAACTGAGTGCTTCAACAGTAGAATAGATCAAGCAGAAGAAAAAAGTGTTTAAATTTGAAGATAGGTATTTTTGAAATAACCCACTCAGAATATTAAAAATAAAAGTAATAAAAACTAAAGGATGCCTACAGGACTCACGGGACACCATAAAACAAACAGCTATTTGCATTATAGGAGTTATATTGGGAGAAGTGAGAGAGAAAGGCCCGGAAACCTATAATAAAATAATAGTTGAAATCTTCCCAAATATGGGGAGAGATGATCATCCAGATTCAGAAAGCTCAAATGTCCCCAATTATATTTAACCCTAAAAGATCTGCTCGAAGGCATATTATGCTCAAACTATCAAATTCAAAACAGAGAGAATTCTAAAAAATGAAAGAGAATAGCACCAAGTTACATATAAGGGAATCTCTATTAGACTACCTGTAGACTTCTCAGCAGAAACCTTGCAGGCCAGGAGAGAATAAAATAATATATTCAAATTCCAAAAGAATAAAAACTGTCAACTAAGAATACTACCTTCAACAAAGCTATACTTCAGAAATAGAGAAGTAAAGACTTCCCCAGACAAACAAAATCTGAGGAAATGTATGACCGTTAAATCAGCCTTACAAGAATTGCTTAAGGGAGTGCTACATCTGGAAACAAAAGGACGATAATCAATACAATAAAATAGAAAACTTGGCAGTTCATAAATTGAACTCAGAATACCCCAGTGATGTAACAGTGTAATGTAAATCTCTCAATCCTTTAGTATGGAAGTTTACAGCCAAAATAGTCAAAAACAGTAAGCTATCATTAGCAGCTAAGGAACACATAATAGATTTTTAAAAAGTAAATTAAGACAACAAAAATATAAATTGTGGAGAGAAGAGAAAATGTCTAGAGTATTTTTGTAGCACCAAAGTTAAATTGCTCTCAGCTTAAAATAGGTTATTACAACCACAAGACTTTTTATGTTACCCTTATGGTAACCACAAAGACAGAAATTGTAGCAGATATAAAAATAATACAAAGAAAGAAACAAGGCTCAACACCACAGAAAACCACCAAACCACAGAGTAAACAACAAACAGAGGAAGAAAGAAACAAAGGATCTACAAAATATTCAGAAAAAAATTAACAAAAAGGAAGGAGTGAATCCTTAAGTTCTTATCTATCAACAATAACCTTTGATGTAAGTGGATCAAATTCTCAAATAAAAATATATAGTGTAGCTGAATGGATAGAAACAGCAACAAAAACAAACAAACAAAAAAACAGAAAACCCAACTATATGATGCCTGTAAGAGATTCATCTCACCATTAAAGACAAACAAACTGAATGTGAAGAAATGAAAAAAGACAACTGTGTGTCAGATACTGCTAAATACCAGGATATAAAAAAGTAAGGTGTGAGTCTTGCAGTTGAGAGACTGTAGTCTCAAAGAAAAGCCAAGTGAATTATAAAATAATGTAATAATTGTTCTGTATTAGGTTGAATGGTGGTCCCCCAAAGATACGATCACCTGTATCTTGGTGACTTTATTTGGAATAAAGGATGTGACTTTATTTGGAATAAGAATGTTTGCAGATGTACTTAAGTTCAGGATCTTCATGTGAGATCATCTTGGTTTTGGCAGTCCCTAAATCCAATGATGAATATACTTTAAAAAGACAGAATAGGGGACACACAAAGACACAGGGAGGAAGGCCACGTGAGGACAGAGGCAGAGACTGGGGCTATGCTTCCCAATCTAAGGAATGCCAGGAATCCCCGGAAGCAAAAAGGAACAATAAAGTATTCCTGCCTAGAGCCTTCAGAGGGAGCGTGGTCCTACCAACACCGATTTTGGACTTCAGGCCTAAAAAGTGTGAGAATAGAAATGTCCTCTGTCTCCAATTACTAAGTGGTGGTTTGTTGTGGCAGCCCAAGGAACTCCCTACCTGCTGTAACAGAGATAGAAGCAAAATATATGGTGAAATGGAGTAGAACCAAGCTCTCTCTGAGGCAATGTGGTTTTCCAATGGCATAATATTAGACCCAGAACTTTAAAAAAGAGTAAGTATTTTCCAGGTAAAGTTAGTTTAGGGCCAATCTACCATTTCATTCCTGTTGGCAGAGCTTAAGTTGGTCGTGCTGGTGATGTTTGGGAATGATAAGCTCACTATGCAGTTGACCTTTGAACAAAACAGATTTGAACTACAAGGGTCCACTTACACAGATTTTCTTCTACCTCTGCCACTTCTGAAACAGCAAGACCATCCCCTCCCCTTCCTCCTCCTCTTCAGCTGACTCAACCTTCATCATGAGGATGAAGACCTTTATGATGATCCAATTCCAGTTAATAAATAGTAAATATATTTCCTCTAGGTTATGATTTTCTTAATAACATTTTTCTTTCCTCTAGCTTACTTTACTGTAATAATTTAGTATATAATACATATATAAAATATGTGTCAATTGACTGTTTATGTAATCAGTAAGGTTTCCAGTCAACAGTAGACTATTAGCAGTTGTGTTTGGGAAGTCAAAAGTTATATGCAGATTTTTGACAGCACAAGATTGGGGGTTCGGCAACGCTGACCCCCATGTTGTTCAAGGATTAACTATGGCTACCTTAAACTATGTAGAGTTTATTTTAAAGATAGACATGTAAATAAGTAAACAAGGATTTCAGCCATATGCATAGATTTCAAGGGAAGTCAGGCAAAGCAAAGCATCCAAGCTAAGAAGGAGCAGAAACAGTAGCAAAACTAAAGTCTCTGAGCTTGGACAAGTCAATCATTTGAATCCTAAGCAGCTCTAGAAATCTCTGCAGCAAAGCTTCACAATTTTTATTCTAACTCTTTACTATGAACTCAAATCTACCTCTTTATCTGTCCACTTACTTTTCTGTTAACAATTTGATGATTTCCTTCCAGATTTCCTAACACAAACTCCAGGAAAAGAATCATATTGACTCACCTAGTAATCTACCAAGCCCTGTCAGAGGCTATGGACCTTCCTATTCCACTTTTCAACGCCTGTCAAAGATGACAAAGATGACAAACAAGTGGTAAGATTCTAGAAAAGTCTACAGTTGTGAAGGGCCTTAAGTGTCTATCTGAACAATTTTAATTTTATTCTTTGTATTCAGGTAATTACAATATTCTTTCGTATGGGGAAACGTCATGATTAACTTTGCTTTTTAGGAAGACATCTGTACAACTGAAAACTAAAATGCAATGAGACTTGTGGTAAAGGTGTTAGTGAGAAGCTTTTCTAGTGTTCAAATCACACAAGGGCTGAGATAGGACTGGAACCCAGTGTTTTTCTGCCATCTACTCCTAAGTAATTTTATGCAGAAAGCTGTCTAAAATATGAAGTGCATGGATCTCTTGAGATTTTCTGCTTTGATCTTTGCTTTTTTATGCAGCTTCATTTAGCACCAATTTATCAGTGGAAAAGGGGATTTGATGACTTCATGTTCGTGGATGGCGATGTACCATGCTTCCACACCGGAGGGAGGCAAAACCTCAAAACCTTGGCATTTCTATGCATGATTTTAACAGCTTGAGTTATATAAATGCTTTTTGCTGTAGGAAAAAAAAAAAAAAAGCCAGGCATCAACAAAAACACCTTCCACAAAATGACTAGGTAATAAAGATTAAGAATAGAGTAAATCCATTTGACTTCAGGTAAAAGACAACCCCAGATATTTATTATTGCTGTCTTTTTTAATGTTTTCCTTTTCTTTCTCTTTCAATTAAGATACAACTTTGAGTTCTAAGCGTTCCAATCATGTCATTATCAAGACACTTTGGAGAGGGGAGGAGGAAGGGTTGGCAAGATTTCTACATATACAGTGCATGCAGATACAATAGGCACAGAGTAGAAAACAAAGGCTCGTGTCAACCAGCCATTTTCCATCTTACATTTCAAACTCATTTTAAACAAGCAAATACAAACATTCCTGAGCAATGAGAAAAAGCAAAGCAGCGTGTTATTTTTTTGGGGGGGGTTTGTTCTTTTTTTTGGCTCCACTTTTTATCTTTCAGTGAGTTTCTTAATAACGCCTTTGACAAGTAACATGCTTTTTCCATTTGCAATAAAACTCACTAAAGAATAGGCAGCTCTCCCTTCCTTTATCAGCTTCCTTTGTTGCTGCTGCACCAGGAGACTTTTTTTTTTTCCAAGTAAGGCCTCAACCAAGACGGAGATGTTTTATAATGAGTAATTACACCAAGATCATTTCATTAACCCTTCATTGTCCTCAAATCTGATTTAACCTGCTGAAAAAAAAAAGAACATAATTGAAAATATAGGAAATCCATAACAATAAATGACAGAGCTGGAAGAGATATGCTTGCATGGTGTGTGATGGAAAAATGCACCTTCAGGGGCACAGCCTGACCTTTTCAGGAAACCAGCAGTCATAAATGTGTCCTAGAAGCACACTCAGTTTTCAAAGATACCAAAGGAAGAAGAGAACAACATATTACAGTTAAATGCACTTATCCTCCATTTACACTGAGTGTTATGTGCAGTTGGGAAGAGCGTGGGCTCTGTAGTCAGATGGAAAGTCAGGATCTAAATTTCCCATCAGACAAGATACCTAGCCCATGGCATATCTTTCTGAGATAATGGAGATTATGTTGGTTCCTAACTCATGGAAGACTGCAAAGAAGAAATGCAACACTGTATTACATAAAGCTCTTAGTATGAGGTCTGCTATATAATAGATCCCTGAAAAATGTTAGCTGTTCAAGATAAGGTAGACAACAGCATCTTTATACTCTATATTAAGTGACTGCCCTTGCACTAAAAGAATTTGTCATCTAATATAGAGCATAAAGATTCCAGAGATACTACTATTTTCTCTGATGAATTTGGTAAGCTGGTTTTAATTCTAGGTCTGTTTGGAAGTGTTCATGTCCTCAATCACTCTTCAATTTGTTGTAATGTCACACAATTATTCTTGGCCTCTGTTGTCTATCTAAAGCAGGAATATTTTATTACTATTGTCTGTACCACAAGTAAGAGATGACATTGAGCCCATCTAATTTTAGAATTAAATAACCAAGGAAAGATTAAGCAGTGTAGTATATTGAAAATACCTGTTGATAGTAGTAGTCAAATAAACTCGGATCCAGCATCTCATTTGTTTAGCAGTCTTAATGTTGGTGATTTCTCTTTGGGTTACAGTTTCTTCATTTATGAAGTGGGGGTAGTAATATCTACACAATAGTGTTAATGAGAGGATGAAGTATAGAATTTTTTAGAATTTTATTTTGAAATAATATTAGACTTACTAGAGAGTTGTAAAAGTAACACAAAGTTTCTTCATCCAGCTTCTCCTGATGTTAACACCTTCCCTAGCCATACTACAATTATCAAAACCAGGAAACTAGCATTGACATCATTCAAATTTAGAGATTGTTAACTAATGTATGTGTATTATACAAATTTCATCAATTTTCTCATTAATGTCCTTTTTTCTGGTCCAAGATCCAATTCAGCATTTGGTAGTGCATTTAGTTTTCAAGTCTGTTAAGTGATTTCCCGTCTGTTGTAGTTTCTCAGTCTTTCTTTGTCATTCATGACCTTAACACTTTTGACTTGTATAGTACTAACAATTTATTTTTTTAGACTCTCCTTCCATTTGGACTTGGCTGATTTATTCTTATAATTAGATTGAGATTACACATTTTTGTCAAGAATGCAGCCCAGTGTGTAGCATTGTGATGATTGTGTGATGAGCCCTCCTCAGTACAACAAAACAGCGAGAACATGATGTTATGGCTTGTTATTAGTGACATTAATTTTGATCACTTGATGAAGATGGGCCTGCCAGATTTTATCACTGTAAGGTGACCATTTTTTCTTTGTAATGAGTGTCTTATGGTGAGATATTTTGTGACCATACAAGTGTCCCTTTTCTCATACTTCTGTCCACTAATTTTATTATCTATCCATGATTCCTGCCTGCAACACTTATGTGTTGACTACCTAATGGTGACTTATTTTTCACTATTCCTGCATATTAATTGTAATTTTACTGTAAGGAAGAACTATCTCTTCTTCCCTATCTATTTATTTAATTATTTACTTACATCAGTGTGGACTCATGTACATCTATTTTATTATATGGGTTATAATCTCTTTCCATCAGTTTATATTCTTTGCTTGAATCTTCCTAGATTTGACCATTGAGAGTTATGTCAAATTAGACTCTGAGTTGTTTGAATGTGGTCCCATCATTTTTCAAGTATTTGTTTACTTTCTGTAACCACAAAAATTCCAGGCTCAACTTGTACTTTTTCTCCTCAACTTTGGAATCAGCTGTTTGTCCAAGGAGTCCTAGTGTCTTTACTGGGAAATTGCATTTAGAAATCAAGATCCATATGCTAGGTGAGCTGATACCTACTAAGATATTATTGCTTCTAGGTGTTTGCAATAAATACTGTTAGGAAATATGTGTATAATACAAACACATACATATACACATGCACATATACACATGGCTATATATATATATATACACACACACACATATATATACACACACATATGGTTATATGATTTCTCTAGCAATGAATTAATTTCATTCATTCATTTTTGGATATGTTCTGCAGATCAGAGCTATAACAAAAGTTGTACTCAGCAAAGTATGACTCCTGCCAATCCTTCTATCCCATTTTCATTTACTCATTCTTTTTACCTTAATGTCATCTTCCCCACCTAGGTAACTTATCTCATTAGTCTCTGGTTTATTCTTATATTTATTTTTGCACATGTTATTAGGTATATATATAGTTTCTTATATTCCTCTGTCTTAAATAAAAGTAGCATACCATAGATATTTATATGTTTTGATTTTTTTTCATTTAACAATACATCCAAGAAATTCATCCATCTTACTTAATAAGATATCTTCTTATTCTTTTTTTATTGCTGCATTGTTCTCTATTTTGTGGCTACACCTTAGTTTATTCAAATGCTCTCCTATTTATGGCATTTGGGTTGTTTCTAATATATTGCATTTACAAAGAATGCTGCAGTGAATAACCTTGCACTTATGTACTTTTGTATTGGTATAAGTATCATAACATTTTTAAAGTGTTGGGTATATAGCAAAAGTAGTCACTAACCCTTCCAAATTTGTAGAGGGCCTAGGCTTATATCCAGAAGTGTTTGAGGTATCAATGTTAGGAGGAGGTTATTATTGGCTGTACCTGTTTGGTATATAAAGAGGAAGAAAAAGAATTGTCTCTGACTGATAAAGCTTGAAAATCAGGAGATGGTTGAAAGCACCAAGTGTATTGGGAAGAAAGATGTAGACTAAACTTGACCTGACATAAGGGATCTGCAAAGTCAGCTAATCAAGAGGTTTTGGGAGAGGAAAATCAGAGTCAAAAGACAGGGCCTGAGGCCACCAGGAGCAGGATTGTTTTCAGTGCATGGAGAACAAACTGGTATTAAAGATGTAACCAGGGAAGCAAATGACTCTCCTTGCAGAAAGCTTGGCAAGTGTGGCTACTTTTTAAAAATATGTCAATTTCTTCAAACTCTTATTAATGAAA
The DNA here is from genome assembly GCF_000001405.40 of Homo sapiens. Taxonomy (NCBI): domain Eukaryota; kingdom Metazoa; phylum Chordata; class Mammalia; order Primates; family Hominidae; genus Homo; species Homo sapiens. Next base: position 34,823,913 of record NC_000008.11, read on the forward strand.
ATGTAGTAGATAGAGGCTATAGGAAGTAAATGACAGTTTGTTCTCAGTCTGACATTTCTTGTAAATGCATGTAGGGTTTCCTGACCCACATCCCTCTGTTTGCAAATTCTTTCCTAAGACCATTTTCTAACTTTCATAACTTCAAATCAACATATATTAAAAAGAACAATTTCTGATTGTGTGACTGTTCCTTTTAATTTTATCCTGGTTTGCCTGAAGTCAAAAAGTTATTAAGAGTCTATTAATGTAGCAAAAGAAAACAGAAAATCATTGAAATTATCTTTATGGTATTGTCTTGGTTCAGTTTGTGTTTCCGTAAAAGAATACCACAGACATTGTTCTTTCGTAATCAGCATTAATCTCTGCATGAGGGTGGATCCCTCAGGACCTAAACAACCATTAGGCCCCACCTCCCAACACTGTTGCATTGGGGATTAAGTTTCCAGTACCTGAACTCTGGAGGACACATTTAAACCACAGCAGGTATCTAAACATTCCATCCACAAGGTGAAAGAGATGTTGTGATACCAATAAATACATCCATCCTCCTTTTCCAAATTCCAAAATCATTGAGAGAAAGATGGAGACACCAGAGATGGAGAACAAAATAGTAGCTTCATTACTACAAAACAGTGCAAATCTGAAGAATGTGATGTAATACCTGTGATATACTGATCTTGTTAATGCTTCATCCCACGACAGGAAAAACAGGAAACTCGAAGTTCCCTTGCGAGGAGCTGTCTGTCAGAAAATAGAAGTTTCTTGTTGACAAGATCAGGCCAAAAGTGGAGAGCAGGAAGAGCAGAACTAAGCACACTCAAGTAGTTCTTCCAAATTCATCAATTAAGAAAGTTCCATCTCTTCCCATTGGGTAGGGGTGATTATAGATAGGAGGAGAGGCTAGAGCTCCTCTGCACACATAAATTGACAGAGGGGAAATAATTGTTTTCTTTTTCTTTCTTTTTTTTTTTCTTTTTTTTTTTTTTTTTGGTAGAGATGGGGTCTTCTTTCTTGCTTTCTCACCCAGGCTGGAGTGTAGGGGCACAATCATAGCTCACTCCTGCCTCAAATTCCTGGCCTCAAGTGATGCTCCCACCTCAGCCTCCCAAAGCACTGGGATTACAGGCATGAGCCACTGTACCCAGCCAGGATATAGTTGACTTTTTTTTTTTTTTTTTTTTTTTTTTTGAGATGGAGTTTCGCTTCTGTTGCCCATGCTGGAGTGCAGTGGTGCAATCTCGGCTCACCACAACCTACACCTCCTGGGTTCAAGCGATTCTCCTGCCTCAGCCTCCTGAGTAGCTGGGATTACAGATATGTGCCACCAAGCTCAGCTAATTTTGTATTTTTAGTAGAGATGGGTTTTCTCCATGTTGGTCAGGCTGGTCTTGAACTCCCGACCTCAGGTGATTCCGGCCTTGGCCTCCTAAAGTGCTGGGATTACAGGCGTGAGCCAACACCCATCCTCACCATAAATAAGATACCTCCCAACCTACACACTTCCAAGGATGAGATTGGAGAGCTACTTTAATACTCTGGGTGCACTCATTTCCAAAGGCGTACTTTCACCTTCTGATGTGGCCCTCTGTTAGGGCCCTCGGGTTTATTGTATATATTTTGGTGGATCAGGACATGCTAAGTCCTGACCTCAGAGGCATGCTTGGTGGCGTGGCCCTCTGTTAGGGCCCTCGGGTTTATTGTATATATTTTGTTGGATCAGGACATGCTAAGTCCTGACCTCAGAGGCATGCTTGGTGGTGTGGCCCTCTGTTAGGGCCCTTGGGTTTATTGTATATATTTTGGTGGATCAGGACATGCTAAGTCCTGACCTCAGAGGCATGCTTGGTGGCGTGACCCTCTGTTAGGGTCCTCGGGTTTATGGTATATATTTTGGTGGATCAGGACATGCTAAGTCCTGACCTCAGAAGCATGCTTGGTGGCAAAATTCTTAGCAAGGGTGCTGTTTAATGAAAATTAAGCACTCCAGACTCCTACCACTTCTGTCTCTTTTTTTAATCTGATGCTGCTTTTACATCTTGAATTAATTATTCTTCCAAAGCTCCATGACTTGTTTGTCTCATGCAGGGAGAGACAGGTGGGAGAGTTAATTAAATATCTTCTTGTCAGACAGCGGATGAAATCTTCAGTACCACTGGTCTTGGAGTGTGTATATGTGTGTTTGCGTGTGGGTGTTCTTAACTTATTTTTCTGTGAAGAGATTGAAAGGCAGTAATGGTCTTCTTATTTATTTTAATGGCTGGGTGGACTTTGCTTTGAAAAATATCAGACTACAGCAGCACAGAAGCAAAGTGGCAGTAGGGGTCTAACTGGGTGATTTATTGGACAGTGCTCATAAGCAACTAGGGCCATGTCATAGTCAAAACCTCTTTCCTGGGCTTTGCACTACATGGTATATACCTTAAGATCTATTTCACTGCGTCCTTCGTGCTGATAGGGATGGACACAGCCCATTGCCTATAAGGATATAGGAGGTTGTTGGAGAGAATTGTGTTGCTGCAAGAAGAACAAGACTATTATAAGAGCAAATATCTGGGTGAGGAATGGGAGTGAGCGATTGGGATGCTGGCCGGGCTTAAATATCATCTGGGAGAAGAAGAGTACCGTTTTTGGTAACAAAGAATAATTTCCAGGCCTTTTGAATCTACAGTCATAGCTATTTTTTTTTTTAATTTTAGACAAGTCAGTTTGTTTATATATTCAAAAATAGTGTGTATCTTGTCGTTGAGGAGACAATAATTGAGAAGAAGAAACACTGCATTTAAGATTCTTTGAGATTATCCCTACTATTATTTAAGCAACAATCTCCTGTCCAAGGGAAGTAAAGCATGGATTATTATAGGTAGCCAAGTATTTGATTATATGATATATATAAGCTATGTGCATATGCTCCTTTTACAGAAGAATGTAATTTCTTTTCCTCTTTTTTTTTTTTTTTTTTGAAGGAGAGTCTCACTCTGTCACCCAGGCTAGAGTACAGTGGCCGGATCTTGGCTCACAGCAACCTCTGCCTCCCAGGTTCAAGCAATTCTCGTTCCTCAACCTCCCAGATAGATGGAATTACAGGTGCCCACCACCATGCCCAGATAATTTTTTTTTTTTTGTATTTTAGTAGAGACAGGGTTTCACCATATTGCCCAAATTATTTTGAACTCCTGAACTCAGGCAATCCACCTACCTCGGCCTCCCAAAGTGCTGGGATTACAGGTGTGAGCCACCGCGCCCTGCCAACGGGTCGTTTTGTTGTTGTTATTGTGTTTGTTGTTGTTGTTTTGAGACAGAGGCTTACTCTATCCCCCAGGCTGGGGTGCAGTGGCGTGATCTCTGCTCACTGCAACCTCTGCCTCTGGGTTCAAGTAATTCTCCCGCCTCAGCGTCCTGAGTAGCTGGGATTAGAGGTGCACACCATCACACCTGGCTAATTTTTGTATTTTTACTAGAGATGGGGTTTCACCATGTTGGCCAGGCTGGTCTTGAACTCCTGACCTCAGGTGATCCACCTGCCTTGGCCTCCCAAAGTGCTGGAATTTCAGGCATGAGCCACCATGCCAGGCAATATAATTCCTTAAAATAAGTTATTTACTGCTTCCAAATCTTTAAGAAAAACTGCCTTGAATTTCTTAGTTTGAATGATGGGAAATATTTTTGCCACATCATGAAAGAAATAATAAAATCCTCTGGAGGGCCTTGGCTGCCTCACCTGGTCTCTGTTCCATCATTCTTGGATGGTAGCTTGGGATTCATTTTCTATATGTCTTGAAAAATATTTGCCTATGCTTTAGCCTGAGTGGAATAGTCCCCCCAAATCATGTCAAACCCAGATCCTTTGTCAATTAAAGGATCACCTCGATCACAATACTTTCCTTATTCATTGTAGGTAGAAGTCGTCTTTCCTTGACCTCTTCTAATCTGTGGCTCACCTTCACTTATAATACTTCTTGCACATTATCTTTCATACCTATTTTGGTGTGTTCCCTATTTTCTTTACTACATATCTTTCTTAAGAGTGGGGTCTATATCTTAAGTGCACTGTCACATAAATGTGAACATTCAACATAGTCTTGTTTTCCTGGAATGCATTTCTAATTGAAGGTGGGGGTAGAGAAAATAAAAAATGAAGAAACAAATAAAATAATAAGATAAACATATTAACACTGTAATCATTCTTAAAAGATATAAAACAGTCATGTTGTAGAGAGTGACCCGGCAGTGGAGGCGGGGTGGATTGTTATGCATGAGGAGGTAGATAGCAGAGGAGTTGAATAATCAGAAGAGGCTTCTGGGATGTTCAAGCTGAGGCCTGAAGGAAAAGAAAGAACTGAAGATGCAAATATCTCTTATTAGAGTGTTTTATGGACAAGCAACAGAGAGCAAGCCTCTTTCTTAGATAGTTATGAACTTGGAAGGCACAGCAAAGAAAAAATGGCTAGTATGTGGGTATGTGCTCTCGGAAACATTAAGGGATGGAGAGAAGTTGGGGAAACCATTAGCTAGCGCTAGTGGGCTGTGAAAAGGAGCATCTTAAGCAGACGGTTAATACAGACTAAGTTTCATTGATAAAGACCCTTTTGAACGTTGTGTAGAACAGGATTATAAGCGTGCCAGAATGACAAGAGGAAGACCAGTTATAAGGAGGATGTGTTAGTCCAGGTGAGAGTGAATGAGTCTTGAACCAAAGCAGATTATATCATTTCACCCTGGGGTTGTTGAGGACTAAATAAGTAGGCAATTAAATGAAACAAAGAGGAAGTCTTCCTGGAATGAACATATGTCTTTATTTTGGCAACCTTTATTTATAAATCAGGAAAATGTGGGGCAACATGAATTCTAATCCTTAACTAACCCAAACTCTAACCCTACCACAAGCTAAAGGGATTAGCAGGGGAAATTATACAGAGAAAGGGCTTTATTCTCCTTTGGAAATTTTGACATAGGTTTGATAAAGTTGTACTTTCAAAAGATGAACCAAAGACTCTAGACTTCCTTCAGAGCAATAAATATAAACTCTGCATCTCAGTTAGTGTTCCTGCAAATAAGAGGCTCACATCCTTCATTTAGATGAAGCAGAACTGAACTGACACATGGGATTCTAAGTGGGCACAGTGGTAAGTAAATTAGGCCAAAATGTATAGGAATCAAGAAAATCTTTGTTTTATTATCCTATAATGTCCTTAATTATATCAGTTGTAGACTCTTAAAACACCCATCTCATCTCAGTACTTCTGTAAAATTGATTCTACTCTGATACCTTGAAATTTTGTGCCACCTTGAAAAATTATTTTCCTGTTTACCTATGAATTTTACCTTCAAAAATGGGGTGATATCCTCAGGAAAGCACAGACTGGCTCTTATGATATCATTATACACTCAGTGCCAACAAAGTCATTCATATAGCTAGAGTTCAATAAGTATTTGGGGTGCTACTGACAAAATTGTTCACCATACCTAGAATGACTCTTCTGTGCCTTGACATAGGGACAGATTACCTGATGAATACATGCTTACTAGGTAACCTCTAGTCACACCCCAGGTGGATAGTTCTTTTTATAGGATTGTAGAAAATGCTTCCTGCTCTTGATTCCGGATCCTTGCTGTTGATCTTATTTACACTGAGGTTTCTTGACAACCCCTGCTCTGTCCAAGGGCAGTGACAGGTTGATATGCTAATAGCTGGTTTCTTCTTGTCCCTGCACTGCTCTTCATTGTAAAGAAGAAAGATGCCATGTCAGTAAAATACATTTTTATATCTTTTGCATTAACCAGTGAGAATAAGATGAGCCAAGCCACTTAACTGCCTCAGAGCTGTGCTGTTCAGTGACCCTGACTGCTCCTTTAGCCTGGGCTAAATGTGAACAGTGACCTCAAGGTGAAAACTTTCATTGGCTCCTCCTAAATGCCTAATACTTCAATTCCCCTAGGATCTTGAATGTTTTGCTTTGCAAATAGAAATGTCAAAAGGTCCATCTATAAATTTATATCTAGTGACCCAGTGAAAAATTCTGGCTAAGGATTTATTTACTTAGGGAATGGTTCTAAGCTGTGAATCAGCTGGAGGGGTGTGGATACCTGTGTGAAAGATGGCACTGGTTTCCTAAAAGGCCCTGCCCTCTGTCTCCTGTCTCACCTTGCTACACATGCTGGGCAGTACCAAGAGCTGCAGGATAAGCAGCCCGGTGTACTCTGCTTTGGGACAGCGTGATGAGAATCAGCCCAGAGATGGAGATTTTAAAAGATGTTTTATTAATGTGTCCCTTGACGGTTCATTTGCTAAGGGTTTACAAATGCTTTATCAATTATTAATGGTCTTTATACCTAGCTTTAAAAAAATCCTTAAAGTTGGGAAGGATATGGGCATTGAATAATTACACTCACTGCTACTTCTACTAAACAAATGCCTTTTAACAGATAAAGCCAGGATAATCTGGATTAAATTTGTTTATCTCTGGGTTTGTTTCCTTTTCATTCCTCAATGAATGAAGATTGCACCTGGAAAAACAGGACACATCATCTAGTTGTTAAAATTGGAACCTAGGAGCCAGGACATTCATGGTTTCAAGCTAATGTTTCTCCTGACCTTGGATAATAGTTGGAAAGTCATTTAATAGGTCTCTCTTCTTGACATTTTCAGATTTCTCAGACTCTATTCTGCTACTCATATCTAAATGAATTATTGAAGATTAATTTAACCAGCCACCCATCAGTTTGCACTTTTCTCACTCTCCATATATCACTTTTGGCCTGGCTTTTTTCTTGTAAAGATGAAAACTATGACTATCTCTGCATCCTGAATCTCAGTAGATGCGTTTACTGATTCCTCAATACTTCACACTTAGATTTTGTTGCTTTTAACCAAATGAGGTTTGAAATCAAAGAGAATTTTGCATTCCCTGTATGTGCGTGTGCACATGTGTATAAATGTGTGGATGTTTCAAGGTCAAGAAGCACAGTGAATTTGCAGACAGGCCAACTTCAAAATAGAAAGCAGTTAGAGTAGCAAACCATTTAGAATGGGCAGCACACAGTGAATCAAGGTGAATCCTGTTGGTCAGAGTCCTTTTCTCTGACTTTTATGACATGGTTCTCAGATAATTAACCTGGCTATAGAGATTGGTCTACACAAGTACAGCTAGAAGGTCCAGTACAATGAGTTTGTTCCTGGAGATTCAATTCTGATGAGAAAACATATGAATCTAAGAAAGAAGGCAAGAATTTACAAAATAAAGCATAATGGTAAATTTTATGTGATAACTTTACTTGAACCAACGTGTACTCAGATTAAATATTTCTGTGTGTGTCTGCGAGGGTGTTTCTGGATTAGATTAATATTTGAATCAGTGATCTCCATAAGTAGATTGCTTTCCCCAATGTGAATGGCCATTATTTAATTCATTGAGGCCCCAAATAGAACAAAAGGCAAAGGAAGAAGGAATTACCCTCTTTTGTTTTTTGCCTGCCTGTTTTAGATTAGACATTGGTCTTCTTCTGCCCTTGAATTAAGATTTACACCGTCAGCACCCTAGGTTTCTAGGCCTTTGGACTCAAAGTGGAATTACACCACTGGATTTTCTGGATCTCTAGCTTCCAGATGAAATCATGGGATCTTCAGCCTTCAAAATCACACAAGTGTTTTCCTAAAAGAGTTTTTCTAAAAGAAAACTCTCTCTCTCTCTCTCTCTCTATATATATATATACACATATGTATATAAATATATATACATATATATTAGATATATATATCCTATTGATTCTATTTCTCAGAAGAACTCTGACTACATAGGAGTTGTTGCATTTTAGCTATTGGATATTGTGATATAATAGAACTCCAACCTGTAGTTAGGAATACAAAGAATGATGACTCAACACAGTGGGGTAGAGAAATAGAAGGGATTGGTGTAGTATTTGGTGGATACTGTGGACTTGGATGGAATTTCTTCCAATGTCCTGAAGGAATCTCTCAAGAAGACAGTTTCAGATATGTATACTTCAGTACCACACCCAAGGCAAGACAGAAGCAGACCTATGGGTTAACTCATAGATCCAGCACAACAGACCTGTGACATTGGATATGAAATTCTTACACTCAGTACCCACTTCTTTCTGTCTCAGCAGCAAAATTGTGCTCTTCTTTCATTCACAGGATCAAATTCCTCCTCATCTGGTGCCTGGCCTAAAACTGAAGTTGATCTATTTGTGTTGAGTCTTGGATTGTCAGTTGTATCTCCGAGAGATTTCATCTCTGCCTTCATTTCTCTGCTACCATGCTAACTTTCTGATAACTCCCTCTCTTCAGAACTTCTTGAGAAACATTTCCCAATGTGCTGTGTGGCCCAAAGACCTGTACAGTCAACATTGACAACTCTTTATTGTAAACTCCAACCTCACATTGCAGGAATAATCAGTAATAAAACAAATGCTAAGGCTCATAAGACATTGATGTTGAGCCTGCTGATGCCAGTTCTGTTCCTGTAGGGTTTATTCTGAGAGACCAAGACTTTGTTAGCCTAGGTCTCAACAGGAAACTGATCAAACACTCAAATTAGGACATGTTAATAATGATTCATTCTCAAAGCATTACCTCCATAGATGTGGGGGTAGGGAATCACAAGAAAGAGTTTGGTCATCCAGAGTTTGTTCCTCATAAGCTCAAAAGTATGAGGTCAAAAAGGAGTGCATAAAACCAAAGAGGAAAAGAGTGCTGTAGTGTGTTGCTCACCTTGAGAAGAATAGTACTTCTGTGGAAGAACACAGCCACCCTGGGGTAGTCACAGGAAGGGAGTTAGAGGACATAGAGAAAGAAGTACCCTGACCTCAATTCTCTTTTTCCTTTGACCTCTAACTGGGATCCCTATTGGATGAATGTAACTGAAAGCTAGAGGTTGTGGAAACCCAGTCATGTAGTCCCCATGGGCTAGCATCCAACCTTACCACTCTCTTCACACCAACTGATGTAACTTCGGTCTGTGTTCCTGCCCAAATCTCATGTAGAATTGTAGTCTTCAATGTTGGAGGAAGGGCCTGGTGGGAGATGACTGGATCATGAGGGTGGATTTCCCCCTTGCTGTTCTCATGACAGTGAATGAGTTTTCATGAGATCTGATTGTTTAAAAGTGTGTAGCAGCTCCCCGTTTGCTGTCTTTCTTCTGCACTGACCATATAAGACGTGACTGCTTCCCCTTCGCCTTCCACCATAATTGTAAGTTTCCTGAGACCTCCCCAGCCATGCTTCCTATACATCCTGTGGAACTGTGAGCCAATTAAATCTCTCTTCTTCATAAATTACTCAGTCTTAGGTATTTCTTTGTAGCAATGTGAGAATAAACTGACACCAAAAATTGATACTAGAAGTGGAGTGTTGCTATAAAGATACCTGAAAATTTGGAAGCAATTTTGGAACTGTGTAACAGACTTGCACAGGGTCTGTATCCCATTTCTTTTGGCCAATTTCTCCCTTTTGGAATGGGAGTATTTACCCAATGCCTGTACCCCTATTGTATCTTGGAAGTAACTAACTTGTTTTTGATTTTGGTTCATAGGTGGAAGGGACTTGCCTTGTCTCAGATGAGACTTTGGACTGTGGACTTTTGAGTAAATGCTGGAAAGAGTTAAGAATTTGGGGCTGGGCGTGGTTGCTCACACCTGTAATCCCAGCACTTTGGGAGGCCGAGGCAGGTGGATCACCTGAGGTCAGGAGTTTAAGACCAGCCTGACCAACATGGAGAAACCCCATCTCTACTAAAAAAAAAACAAAATTAGCTGGGCCTGGTGGTGCATGCCTGTAATCCCAGCTATTAGGGAGGCTGAGGCAGGAGAATTGCTTGAACCTGGGAGGCGGAGGTTGCAGTGAGCAGAGATCATGCCATTTCTCACCATCCTGGGCAACAAGCGTGAAACTCCATCTCAAAAAAACAAAACAAAACAAAACAAAAAAGAACTTGGGAGACTGTTGAGAAGGGATGATTGTGTTTTGTAATGTGAGAAGGACATGAGATTTGGGATGTGCCAGGGGCAGAATGATGTGGTTTGGATTTGTGTCCCTACCCAAATCTCATGTCGAATTGTAATTCCCAATGTTGAAGGAGAGGTCTTGTGGGAGGTGATGAGATCATGGAGTGAACTACCCTCTTGCTGTCCTCATGATTGTGAGTGAGTTCTCATGAGATCTTGTTGTTTAAAAGTGTGTAGCAACTCCTTCTTTGCTTTCTTCCTTCTGCTCTGGCCATGTAAGACATACCTGCTTCCCCTTTGCCTTCCATCATGATTGTAAATTTCCGAGGCCTCCTCACCATGCTTCCTGTACATCCTGTGAAACTGTGAGCCAATTAAACCTCTCTTCTTTATAGATTACTCAGTATCAGGTATTTCTTTATATCATTGTGAGTACAGACTAATACACCAACCCAACAAGATTGTTGAAGTGTGGAGAGTTGATCTGGAGGGCAATAGAAAGGAAGTCAACAAGGGTCCAAATCTATAGTTGGGACTGATAACTTAATCCTTCATGGATAGAGCTAGAAAACTTAGAGGCAGGGAAGAAAGCAGAAGCTAATATTAGTGACCCTTTACTCTGCACCAAATCGTAACATGTGCAGTCAACAGAGTTGCTCAAAACTAAAATCAGTATCTTCGATGCTCTGTGATTCATAGACAGTATTTGTTTTATTTTCAAATAAATACATTACAATGCCAGTCTATACATGTTTGATTCCACACTAGTCCTTCACTTTGCCTTTCTGGGGATTGTTTAAGTAATGAGTAGGTTTGAAGTTGTTATGGTTAAAATAGTATGGTATCCTGGCAGAAGCCTATAACAATAACAACAAAAATAATAATAGCCATAATAAGCACATACAATGTTTCCTGTGTGCTAGGCTGTAGTCTAAACACTTTAACACTTTGGGAGGCCAAAATGGGCAGGTTGCTTGAGCCCAGGAGTTCGAGACCAGCCTGGGCAATGTGGCAAAACCTCATTTCTACAAAAAAAAAAAAAAAAAAAATCTGGATGTGATTGCATACTACTATGGTTCCAGCTACTCAGGAGGCTGAGGGAGAGTATCATTTCAACCTGGAAGGTTAAGGCTTCAGTGAGCCGAGATGGCACTATTGCACAGAGTGAGACCCTGTCTAAAAAAAAAAAAAATAAGTAAATGATTTAATATAGAGAGTAAACTTCTCAAATCTTAAAATAACTTTATGAGTAGGTACTTTCATTGTCATCACGACTATTTTACAAATGATGGAACAGAGGCACAGAAGACTTATGCCATGGGCCCAAGATCCTGAAGCGAGTGAGTGACAGCTGAAATTCAAAGCCAGGTAGTCTGGCTCTAGAGTCTCTGTTTGTAACCCCTACACAATGCTACTTTAATTTTTGAAGTCTATGGAATGGCTATGAAGCAGTATGTTCTGATGATAAACATGCTTCAACAAATGCAAGTAGAATAGAGCAAATGAGAATTACTATTTAAAAAGATCTTCATAATGAAATTAGAACCCAAACTATACCAATTACCTAAATTAATGATTGTAAAGGTATATCTAGAGCTCACAGCTTTTAGTTATAAAAGTGAACTACTGATTTTTTGGCAACATGGCAAGTCCTGCCTAATAAAGGCTTCTAAGAAGGAAAATTGGGGCTTTAACTTAGAGAAGATGAGTAATTTTTTTTGTCATATTCCCTGTATTAATAAAAACATACAGTGGGGTAGAGATGTGTATATATGAACAAATGACTAAACTGGTGATTAACTATATGAAGAGGGATATAGAAACCTCTTCTGGAAATTCACAAGTGTATCCTAAACCAATGCACTGGGCTAGTTCATAACTCAATTTATGCAATATTCCCGACAGTTCCCTTTTGCTCCTAGTCTTATTTAGGTTGAAATAAATGATAGACAAGCATCATTGTCCCAGCAGCATTCTAAAAAATGTCTATTACAATGCAGTTGCCAAACTTTTCTTTTCAGTATCGGATTTTAATTTGTTTGCCTCTTGTCATTGAGAAATCACTTTTGTTTGGAATTTTAAAGCACCTTTTATTCTTTCTCACACAATATAATTAATACGTTTTGTTCTAATGCAAAAGCATAAAATATAACTTTTTTGCTATTCTGAAGTTACTAGTTTAGTAGTGAGAATAAATTATGTAACTTTAAAATGCTTGCAATGGAAAAGAAAATGTTTTCTGGATAAATTGAATTTTCATTTGTTTTTACTTTTGGGTCTTTAACATCCCCATTCCTGTTTCATCAGTGACTTATAAAACAATGCTGGAAACAATTCCCTAAGTAATATTCCAGGCCCTGTCCTGGCATTCAGAAAGCACTTTATCTAAACCATCTTAGAAAGATCCATTCATTCTTTTATTCTTTCAATAAATATTTATTTAATGCTTAACCATAAACTGACTGCCCTGTTCAGCCCAAGTGACACAAAGATGAAAAGACATTGCCTTTTCCCTTGATGCGCTCACTGTATAGAAGGGAAGACAGATTTTTTTTTTAAACAAAATACATTATAATGAGTATTTGTTGAGATAGCTGGGGAAACTCAAAGAACACAGCAATTTATTTGGTCACAGGGAGTCAGGAGCCCCTTCACCAAGGAATCAACATTTAAAGGGGTCCAAATAAGGCCATTATACAGCTTATAATTTTTTGAAAATTATATATTTAAAATAAAGAAATGATTAAAAATTAAATTTTGAATTTTAAAAATCAAAAATATATATTTTAAAAAACATTGACCAAATGAATGGCTCCACATCTGTGACATTCACTAGAGAATAGAACTGAAGATTAAAGAGATCCATTTTAGCTAGCCAAGTACTTACAACTTTTTTTAAATTCTAACAACATTTTTGTAAATGTTGCTAGTTGAAATTAGAGTTTCGCACCAAATTAGCTTTATATTCTTTCTCTAACATGGACACAGAAAGATGTGGATGGGATCTCAGCTCTATTATCTATCCCGCTGCCTAATTTATTTATTCCTAGGCTCACGAACTTGGGCTATTACAATCACTTTATTAAAAGTCCTAAAAGCAAGAATCTTTTTCTACTTCTTTTTGAAAAAAATAGCAAGTTCTTGGCTATCGTTGGCACTTTGCTCTTCAAGATAAATTTAACAATCGTAGAATCCAGTTCATAAAAGTCTTTTGGGAATATTTTAGAATTGGTTTGAATATATAGATAAACTTGGGTAGAGTTTATATTATCACAATATTTTTCTCCATAAAATAATATATATTTTGCATTTATTTTGATCTTTTAAAATATCATTAGTACAGTCTTGTTTGTTTGTTTTTTGTTGTTTTGAGACGGAGTCTCACTCTTGTTGCCCAAGCTGGAGTGCAATGGCACAATCTCAGCTCACTGCAACCTCCGCCTCCCAGTATCAAGTGGTTTTCCTGCCTCAGACTCCCAAGTAGCTGGGATTACAGGCACTTGCCAACACGCCTGGCTAATTTTTGTATTTTTAGTAGAGATGAGGTTTCACCATTTTGGTCAGGCTGGGCTTGAACTCCAGACCTCAAGTGATCCACCCGCCTCAGCCTCCCAAATCCCTCTCCTGGGATTACAGGTGTGAGCCACCGCTCCCGGCCCTTAGTACAGTTTCATAATTCTCTTCTCTTCCCTACTCTCTGTTCAGAATTTTTAAAGTAATCTCAAGACAGCAGAGATTCTGCAACCACAGCTACACACCTGATCTTCCAGAGCCCAGCTTCCTGCAAATGCCTGAATTCAGTTTGATTTTAACATCTTTGGTTTTCTTCCGAAGCCTTTCCTGATATATTCTATCTCACTATGATCACTTCCTTGCTCTTTTTCCCTTCATTTTTTTGCTTGACTCTAGTGTGCATTTGTTATGAGGCCTTTTCACCACTCTTGAGTCATTTCCTGTAACATGTTTTGTCTCTCCCTAAGAGCCTATGCGGTTTTCCACTTTGTTACTCCTCCACTGTACTTAGTAAAGGCCTTGACATTAAATTAGGCTTGTATTCAAAATTATTTATTAAAGGAATAAAAGGCTTGAACAAATGATTCTTTTATACAAACAGTGTCTCATTTTCAGAGTCAGTCCCTCTTCCTGATGGATCATGAGGACAGAAATTTCTCCCCTCCTACTGTTAGTCCCTCTTCTGGGCTTGTCAACATGGGTTTCTTCACACTGAAGAAAAATAATCTATCACTTGGTATCAAACTATTTGCTTTTCAAACTGAATACCTCAGAATAATAAATTATAAAAGAAAGGCCATGAATCAAAAATGCCACCTGAATACATCCTGTATTTTTTCTCAGTATAGCCCAAAATGATGGTTGCATTAGAATGAATCATCAGATAATCAACACAAAAGGCCTCATTTAAGTTCATTATTCATAGTGAGAGCCTGGCTTTGAGCCCTGATACACTTCAGAACTTTGGTTTACAAAGATAATAAAAACATTCAAAGATATGTCAAACTAACCTGAATGTTCCCATCTCTGTTTAAATGAGATGATCCCTCCGGAAACCAGCTTCCACCTCACCAGGGAGTCACCCCCTCAGGACACATCCCCTACCATAAACAACCTATTTTTCTTGGCTGGGCCACCATTTAAGGGGGCTCACTCTGTGCCTCTGATGGAGCAACACTGCTTCTCACTCAGATGTTCTTTATTTACCCCTCTGTCAAACCAAATATTACACATTATTAAAAATTCCTATCCCACCCTACCTAAGGAGAAAAAGTAGGATTATTTGGCCATGTGTTCATCCAGCAAACACTATTGAAGGTCCAATCTGTCTGCAATAGTGTGCTTAGTGCTGAGGGAATGCAGAGTGAACCAGATCATATCTCTGCCCATAGGCAACTTACACTGAAGATGACATGTAAGAGGAAGGGCAACTTTTATACACAGGGATGCTTAAATGGAGGGACAAAAGATGTCACCAATCAGCACAAGGGATGGCTGCCTCCCCTGTTCTTGAACAGATACTCAGAGCAGTTTGTACTTAGAGGGTAACAGAAAATACCATGGAAGCGAAGCATTGGGAGAGCACGGTCTCTGTGGATAGGAGAACTGTTCTAGTTTCATCCCTACTACTAACTAGCTCAGTGACCGATGACAAGACCCTGCTGTGCTCAAGAACTCATGTGCTCAAGTTTTCTCATGTAAAATGAGAGGATTTTAGACAACGATTTCTAACTTTATCTCCAGCTTCGATTTTTTTATGGTTCTGGGAAACTGCATTTTACCATCGACCACTTTAATGATAATGGAACCATTGGATGTTGCACTCCTTGCCATTCATTCTGTATTACATACATCAAGGCTAGAAAGAATAACCTAGCAAATGCAAACTCTAAACCTTAGTAATCATTTAAATTATAATCAGAGTCCAATAACTGAAATGTGAAGGTACAGCATCCATGGACTATGCAAAAGAACCAAAAATAATATGAAAGGTACAGACTTTGAATACATTTAATTACTTTTTAACAAAAGCATTAATCTCTACATGCATTACATATTTAATATACAATATTTTCCCTGTTCTTTAAAAGATAATTGCTTGGAAAGATGAAAATACCAGTGATTAAAAATTTCTTCTTGATGCATACCTATATTTTATAAAATATATATTAATTTAGACATAAAACTAAACATTTTAAATTTTTTTTAAAATAAGTATTTTAGCAGGCAATGATTTGAGTGGGTCTAATATCAGCCCACTGATAGTGAGTGATGCCTCCAAGTTCCTGGAATCACCATGATCCAAAACAACTAACCAGCGAGCCTCCAGCTATGATTCTCTCTTCATCTAGTCTCTGATGCATGTGGAGTCTCTGCCTTCTCGGTCTGCCATCACCTCACAAGAGTGAGAAGTTCCCAGGCCATTACGCCCAGGGTCCATCCAAGTCAAGGTGGCTGTAGAAACAAAATGTCCCTTCCCTTGCTCCCTGTTTTCCTACAATTCCCATTCATCCTTTTCCCCATGATCAACTCCATATTTCTCTGAAACCCTCCCTCATCCTGGCCTCTCTGACTTCCTAAACTTTCTCTCTATGAAATTGCAGCTCATGGACCAACAAATATTTCTCAGTCTTTAATTTCTTTTCTCATTACCTTAACTGACACCTGCTGATCTTCAGAGGGTATTGATTCCTCTAGACTGTCTGAGATGGCGGCAGTTTATTTTCCCAAATCTTATATCTTCAAACTAGAAATTGGTCTAGATTTATCTTTGCTACTTATTGCTGCTTTCAGATCATCACCCCACCAATATAATCTTAAAAGTCTATCTCTCCAAAGCTCATGATAGTTAGCCATATCCTTCTCTCCCGTCCTCTACTATTATAATTTGCCATGCCTCTGATAACTTCTAATTCATGAACAACTTCAGTACCTGAGACGTGCTTTCTCCCTGCTCCAAACTCTGCTCTCATTTGGAACAGCATTAACATGAATTTCTGAGACTCAATCGCAGGGGTCTCGGCTTCTCACCTCATGTCCATGGGCATCCTCTGGCATGCCTTGGCTACTTCATTATTTATCATTGCCTCACCTATCAAATTCCAGTCTAAGCATCTCACTTCAGCCACAGCCTTTGTGTTATCCAGGTGCTTCTTTTGCAACTACTACCACCACCCACCTTGACAAATTTTTTTTCCTGGATTATCCCAACTCTAAGAGAGACTTCAAGGTTCCATCTATAGCTAATCTTCCCTTCATACTCAGTAACAGAAAATTTGAATGTTGTTTTGGCACATGGAAGTCTGGAATAAACACCGAAGATGTCGACATCTCTTTCAGCTAGTGGTGACCATGTGACTACGTTTTGCAATTTCAGGAAGTATCACTGGAGAAAGAGTACAAGCTCTGCTCACTCCTTCCCCTTTCGAGCTTGTTAAAATTTAGACATAACAACTGGAATTCAGAAACTCTTTTGCTTCATGATGTAAATGTGGAAAAAAAGCCTCACACAGCAAATGAACTAGATGGAACACTGGAGCATGACCAACATTCAAAGATAGAACATCCCCAAAGTTAGTGAATGTTCAGGGAGATAAAACTTCTCTTTTTCTTAAGCTACTGTTATTGTTATCATCAATTGTTGTTGTGGTTTGGTTTGGTTTTTTTTTTTTTTTTTTGGTTACTCACAGTTGAACCTTATGATAGCCAATATAGCCAATATACCAATTATCCACTCCTCCATGCCTATCTCTTAGTAGCTCATTGATCTTGCTAGTAAGAGACAGACAACACAGAAGATGGCATCCATTGTACATTTATGATTCAATCTCAAATGATCCTTCAATACTACTCAAAGGTCCTACCACATTTCTGTTTACTCACTATGCCACCCACTACCTCTTAGACTATTTCTCCTCAAACTCTCCATTTGGTTTTCTCATCTTCCTATTTTACCAATAAAATATAATCCGTTAAACAGCAACTTCTTCATTTTCAAGATACCAAAAAAATAAATCCACGTTCTCTGTCACTCTTCTGTACAAGCCTAACTTCTTCAGTTGATTTCTCAAGAACAATTGCAAAATTACTGCTTCTCTATTTTGTAGTCAGCCTCTCGATCTCTAATAGATTTTTTTCCAATGTTTGTGTTGTTGTTGTTTTGGATATGATAACTGTTGCTGTTGGTTTACTCATTCAGATTTTTCTCCTTTTAGAAAAGAAAACATGCTCACTCAACTTCTCATCTGTGTATCTATTCCTTTTTCGCTCTTCTCCTCTACATATTTCCTTCAGTTTGGTGTAAAGTTTCTCAAAGGAGCTGTCTATTTATTCTTACATTCTTTTATTTCTCACCTTTCTCTCACATATCTACACAATAAAAAAAGAATCTAATCTACCATGCCTCTGAATGAGCTCTTACTACTGATACCATGGGCTGTGTCTCACTACAATCAACAAATAGTCTTGAGTCCTCATTTTACTTGACTTCCTGGTAGCACTAGGTGTTGATAACCACTTTGCCCTTTTTGAAGCATTCTTTTCCCTTAGTTTTTCTAAAATAACAGTGTCCTGTTTTTATTTCTACATTTTTGGCAACTCGTCTTCACTGTCCTTGTTTTTTAAATTCATCTATGAGGCATTAAAAATTGGAGTTGCTCAAGACTCAATCCTAATCTTTCTCTTTTCATTCCATATTTTCTTTCTAGGTAATATTATACAAAATCTTAGATAAATTTACCATCTAAATGCAGGTAGTTCATACAGTTGTACATCTAGCTAAGCTCTCCTTGGATTTCCAGAACACATTTGAGTTGATATATTCAATCACTTGAACCTAGAACATGTTAAATGCTTTATAAGTTTAGCAATTATTTTTATTGTATGTACAACTGCATGGTTGATGCCTTCTTTCAGATGTATCAGAGGTATCTCAAACTGTATGTTCAAAACAAGTCACCTGTATGTTGTCTGCCACCAATATGGTTTTTCTCCAGTGTTTCTGTTTCAGTGAGAGCTACCACCTACCATCTAGCTATAAAAGCCAAAAACCTGGTAGTCTTCTTTGATAATTGCTGTTTATTAATTTACCCACAAAAAATATCACGAATCCCTCTATCTCTATATCAATCTTTAATTCCCCCATCTCTTGCCTAAATTATGGCAACAATGTCCTAAACTTTTACCCCAAAAGCTCTTCTTTTTGCAACTTTGCAGCTGGAGTGATCTTTTGAAAATTAAAATTAATTTGTGTCACTCTTCCTTATGTCTTACCCAATTAAAAATAGCTCCATGATCTTGGGATAAGAGCAAGTGCCTCCTCATGGTCAGGAAGGCTTGTCATTGGCATTGACTTCTCCAGGTTCCTTTTGCCCTTTGCTCTTCTTCACAATCATTCTCACCTAAGCCACTGACTTTCTTTTGGTTCATTGTAATTTTCACGTTTCATCATAGCATAGACCTTTGCACATGTGATTTTCTCTACCTAGAAAATCTCCACTTCCTTACCTAGGTAATTACTATTTTGTTTAAGAAAGCTTTCTATGTGCTTCCTTTCTAGAACAAAGTCCTTCTATTAGGGCTATCATAGTGCTGGGCACCTTTTACAGCTCTTGACATTATCACAATTTCATGTTTTTGTTTTTGTTTTGAGACGGCGTCTTACTCTGTCACCTAGACTGGAGTGCAATGGCACGATCTCGGCTCACTGCAACCTCCGTCTCCCGGGTTCAAGTGATTCTCCTGCCTCAGCCTCCTGAGTAGCTGGGATTACAAGTGTCCACCACCACACCTAGCTCATTTTTGTATTTTTAGTAGATATAGGGTTTCACCATGTTGGCCAGGCTGTCTCAAACTCCTGACCTCAGGTGATCCGCCCACCTCAGCCTCCCAAAGTGCTGGGATTACAGGCATGAGCCACCGTGCCTGGCCAATTTCATGTTTTTTAATAAGATAAGTTGGTTAACATGTATCTTTCCTAATAGCCAGGAAGCAAATGGGTTATTCATCTTTGTGCCTAGGTTGGAGCAAAGTTGCTTTGCATCTAGTTCGTGTTCAGTAAATATATATTGCATGGATAAATGAATAACTGCCTAAGTTAATTTATCTCCTGTAAAGATCATCCACAGAAATTTCAGCTATCCTCTTTTCTTTCATTTTTATGTTTTCCTTCAGGAAATCTTCTATAACATGCTGAGGCTTTTAGATTTATTTTATTTGCTTTAAAACTAAACTTAAAATTGGATAATATTATTTTATAAAAGGCATAGAAGTTTGAAAATATTTGATGGTTCATTACTTGAATTATGTGTATATGGACAGATGCTTTCTCTCTTTTCCTTTATTCTACTTTTTTCTTTTCATTCTCAACATTAAAACCACTTTTTCTTGAAAGAAAAAGTAAGTCACAAGGGAGAGTCAAAGAATATTTGTGTAAGGAGAATGAGAAGGGCCATGAGGATCCTTGAAATGTTGGCAGGTGCCAGATATTTATGAGATTCCATGGAAAGGATCTTCAGGTACTTAAATGAACGAAGTACACCAACCAGTATTGCTCCTGTCCAGTGCCTTATCCAAGTCTAGTTCCAGAAAGTAGTATAGTACTAAGTAAAGTCTAGCAAAGGAGAGCATAATTCCTAGTTATCTAGCAGTGAATGAACCAAGAATTAACACTGTTGGGGAGCATTGCAGATGGCAATTCTTATGTAAGATTAATTGCCAAATGAGGGGTAAAAACAATAAGTGCTGATTTTGGATGAGAAACATTCATTAAGGGCTCAGGGACACCATAAGGCTTTGTGGATGAAAGACACCACTAGATGTGGGCCTTGATGGAGAGAACTTTGTTAGGTCGAGAGAATTAGGAAGAACATTCTAAACAGAAGCAGCGGAAAGAAACACTAGTCTGAAGAAGCACATTTTTAAGCAGCAATTAAGTGGCCAAGTCTGACTTAGAATTTGATAATTTACATAAGAGATAGTTGGAGATCTAAATCTAGAGATTATGTTGTTGATAAAGAAAATCTATTAAACATTTGACTAAGGGTATTTTAGGGATATGAACTTACTCAAAGTTATTGTCGAAAGAATAAAGCAGACAGAGAATGCAGACAGAACAGGGAGATTTCACCACGTATGTTTCTAATCTATGTTCATTAAATTGTGAAAGGAAAAAGAAACTCATATTTTTTGAGTACCTACTATATACTCAATCACACTAGATATTTTACATGCATGCCATTTTACTTTTAAAAAACACTTAAAAATTATCAGGTATTAACACTATTTTACAAAAAGCAAATCAGTACTTAGATTTAAGTTGTAAAATATTACTTATGTAGTAAGTAGTAGACTGAAGATTTAAAACTAGGTGTGTAGGATTATAAAACCTGTATTCTTCTGATTTATGACATTTTGCAATAGAAATGTAAAAAGTGAGGCAGGAAATGTATTATAAAATGTAATATAGAAAAATATGTTAAATGCTGAGTAATCTGAAATGAAAGTAGAGTTGACAGACAATTTTTAAGTGATGTTTTGAGTCTTCAGAGAAAGAGATACTGAATTAAAGAGTTATATCTAATAGTATTCATAGCTTTGGTCATATATCCCTCCAATGTCCAGCTCTTTGATAAGAACTGAATTACCAGCTATTGACTTAGCCCTGTCTTGGGTTAGAGGTCTCTTAAGCTGTCTCTTGACTGGAATCACAATTGGTACTCCTAAAATTTAACATTGAGCTGGAAATTTTGCTGCTATTGCTCTGATCTTTTGCCTCTAAACTTGTGCTTTGTTTCTAAAACAAGTTTTTGCTTCGTGTCCCAGTTCCAGTAACTTGAGTCTTTTCTTACGATGTGAGCCCAACTCCTTGCTCTAATTTCTTGCAGGAGTCTCATATTTTCCTAAATGAGCAATTTTACTTCTTTCTCCTTTTGCCTTTTCAGGACCAGATATCCTGCACTAAACCCAGACAAGTAGGCTCTCATCTTGCGATGTGCTGCCAGTCCTTGCTGCCCACCTTACTGATAGCAGTTTTGTTTTCCTAAGGAAGCTCATCTACTGGATTATTTCCATTAGCATCTTGCATATTTAACTAGCTCCATCTTAAACAACATTAAACAAACAAAAACCCCTCAACTCCACCTCATATATCACTCTTTTTTTTAACTTCTCTTTGCAGCAAAAAGTTTTTAGACATAATAAAAATTTACAACTCAAATTTTGATATAAAGCAATTGGCACTTTGATCCAGTTCTCTGACCAACCCACAGTCTCAAGAGAGGGTAGGCTAAAGTTCTTTACCTTGGAATGAAGAATAAGTAGAGTGTCTAGGCTGAAGAATGGCAGGATTGAATTAAGATGGCATGGAGTAGACATTAAATCCCTAGTATTTTTCCAGCACAATTTCAATCACTCTAATATCAGGAGACATCACAATCACTGCAGATGTCATGGGAGTCCAGATAGTCACAGGATCCAGAATCATCCCTGTCTATATTTGAACAGGAGTGGGCAACTGTTATGTGGTTGCGAACTATAGCCAGAACTTGCATGAATGTGGATCACACGGCTGGACCCTTAGAACTACCAGCATGATTGCTGCACAGGTCATTTTATTAACCTTGAAATAACGGCCCTCCACATTTTATACAATTGAAATTTTTGGACTCAGTTCATTGGATTATAGTAGGGTTTCTTGAAACCATGCTCTGTTTCCATTACTCTTTCCATTACTCCAAACCAGTAAAAATCTTGTTTTACTCTCTCTCACTTCACTGAAACTGCTTTTGTTAAGGTCACTGATGATAACCATAGTGCTAAATTGAATGTACAAATTATTTGTCTTTATTTTACTTGACCTGCATTCAATATACTTGACCACATTCTCTTATTTCTAACACACTCTTCTCTTGGCTTCCATGACAACATGTTCTGTTTGTTTTCTTCTTTCCTCTAGGGCCATTCTTTCTTAAGTTTCTTTGATTTCTCAGCCTCTTTCATCTGACCTCTAAATGCTAGAGCCTTCCAGGGTTCCATTCTAAATACTTTTCTATGACTACATGATCTCATTTACTTCTTTGAATTTAAATAGCATATCTATGCTAATTATTCTTAGGTTTATTTTTCTATTACATAATTCTTTTTTGAGTCTTAAGGTTGTATAGCCAGTAGCCAGTTACACTTAATTTTTCTCATAGACACCTCAAGTTTTATTAAAACAAAATTTTATTATAATCAATCTTGTTTTCCCAGTCTTTCCCCTACCTAATCCTATAAATATCCCCTATTTCTAAATTTTTCATCTGAGCATTCTCAAGGGTGTTAGATCTAGAAACTAAGGGTCAACTTTGATTCTTTTATCTCCCTTTGCCCTCTATTTAACACATGTGCATATCCTGTTAATTATATGTGTATGTAATATTTCAGAATCATCCACGTCCTTTATTTCCAAAATCATCCCCTTAGACTACCATCATCTCTTATTCGAAGTAGTGTAATAGACAACAGACTGGTCTTTCAGGGACTCATTCCCCTCCAATCTTTTCTTCACATGTTAGCAAAAGAGAGCCTCTTAAGAAATAAATTAAATAACAATGTCACTCCCCTGCATGAAACCCCTCAGTGGCTTCCCTTTCAACTCAGAAGATAACCCAGTTTCTTGAGCCCTCCCTGCAGGATACCGACTGAGAACTGGGCCACTAGCCTCATTTCTCACTGAATGCTAGCTCCATGGGTCTTCTCTAAAGTCCTCTGAAATGCAAGATCTTTGTCATCTCAGAAACTTTGAATTTGTCATTCTTTCTCTATAGGACCATTTTCCTCTCTTCACTTTGCTGTAGGTGTCAGCATAAATGTCAGCTCTACAAAAAAAAAAAAGGTTTTGATAATCTTAATTAAAATTGTTTTGTTTTTCAGCTGGTCCTGGTGAAGTTAAAAAATAAATAAACAATAAAATTAGTTTCTGCACAGATTTTATATCTCATGCCTTTATGTTTCCTTCTTAACATTAATCATTATATCTAAGTATTTATATGGCTTATTTATTTTGAAGGCATAGACTAAAACTGCTGTCCATAACTGTGTCCTTAACATTACTACTGTGGCTGATACACAGTAGATATTCAATAAATACCTCTCATATCAATGAATTGCAAAAAAGAGCTATTATAGAGGGAAAAAATTTAGGAAGGTATACTATCACAGAGAAAGAAGGAGGAGATCCTTTAAACGAGGAAATTTTGATGTATGGTGTTTTCTTTAGAGCATATAAGAAGAATCAGACCTACAGTTAAGAGACAATCTAGAAAAGTTAGAAAGTTACAATCACGTTTAAGAGGCTGTGTCTAACATTTTTTCTCCATATAACTAAACAAGAGCAAGGATTATGTAATCTCACTGGTCTGTAGAGGACTTGATCATTACATACCAAATCTTTGCTTATTTCTTTCTGGGAGATACTATGGTGACAATGGTCAGATAAAATGGTTTTAAGTGTTAGGTGTCAGTAGTCGTGTGACTTTACCAAAGTTATGTAACATCTTCAACCCTGAAAAAGGTCTCATTTATTGTTTAGGGGCGATAATAGCATCTGTTTCATGGTCATATTGTAAAAAATTAATGAAGTAGTATGTATATTTAACACAGTGTCTGGCATGTGTTAAGCACTCAGTAAGTGTTACATGTTAGCCACTATTATTCTATTTATAATGTAAACCACACTTATGAATTAATCTAGCTTTTCCCTAGGTGACAGTCACCACCTCAGCTAAGGCCTACTCCATCTCAACTCTCTCTTTGTCAGACTACAGGAACATCAAACTGTAGTGTGTGTCAGAGTCGTCACATGGGGAGATCGTTTAAAATGAGCATTCTTGGCTGGGCCCGGTGGCTCATTCCTGTAATCCCAGCACTTTGGGAGGTTGAAGTGGGTGGATCACCTGAGGTCAGGAGTTCCAGACCATTCTGACCAATATGGCGAAACCCCATCTCTACTAAAAATACAAAAATTAACCAGGTGTGGTGGTGAGTGCCTGTAATCCCAGCTATTCGGGAGGCTGAGGCAGAAGGATTGCTTGAAACTGGGAGATGGAGGTTGCAGTGAGCCAGGATCGTACCACCTGCACTCCAGCCTGAGAGACAGAGCAAGACTCCATCTCAAAAAAAAAAAAAAGTACATTCATGAGATGCACCCCAGAGATTCTTTCATAAATTTGGGGTAAGATCCAGAAATAAGTGCTTATACTAAATATTCCAGGCTATTCTTTATGAAGAAGCAGTTCTGGAACTTCATTTGGGGATAAGCTGACATGGAATAGATAGTTGTATTTTCTCCTTTTAGAGGGCTAGTATTGTGGAGTTCAAAAGGTACATTGTTTGCCAGTTGAAGTTGAAAGCAAACAAATAGGGAGGAGATTTGTTAAAGAAAAACTTTAAATGTATGAAAAGAGGACTTGAGAGGGCCATGAGATAGGGAAGTCCACTAGGGAAACTCACTGAACATCTGAGCATTAGAGCTTTCTCAAAACAAACCTTAATACTTTTTTTTCCACTTCAGTTTTTGGTTACGCATTGGTTTTTTTACTGATATTTTTGTTTAGTGGGAAATAAGTATTTAATATACCAGTAGCATCACCTTGAACAGAAAGAACAATCTCTCGATGTTGAAAGGCAGCCCAAGGGATCCTTAGTTCATTTGTTGAGGCTGAGAGTGTTTGTAGGGTTCTTCATCGTAGTGGGAGGAGCAGTTACATGAATCATGAATATGCTGTGCTGCAAATGAATCTTGAAAACATGAGAGATGTCTATGTAATTGCACTAGCATTACTATCTATATTTTGCCCTTTCTTTTTCTGTACTATTGGGTAGTTACAGCCAAGTAAATGAGAATGGTAAACATAACAATTATATATTAAACATAACATTAACAATGTTAAAAATATCTCATAGAGATATACCAATTTTTAAAAATATAAAACATAACATTCATTACACAAAAGCATTTAAATCATGCCTTTTGAGGTATGAATCAGTGTATTCTCTCCTCAAATT
Organism: Homo sapiens; assembly: GCF_000001405.40. Taxonomy (NCBI): domain Eukaryota; kingdom Metazoa; phylum Chordata; class Mammalia; order Primates; family Hominidae; genus Homo; species Homo sapiens. Next base: position 34,849,434 of record NC_000008.11, read on the forward strand.
CATTTACTTCTAATTTATTCACAGACAGACTTTCTTTTATCTTATGGGTTGAATGACTTTTTTTTTCCCAATCGACTTTATTTAACAACAACAACAAAGATCAGATTTGGTGAGCATTTCTCCATGTGTTTAGATGTCATATACCACACCCTTAATTTGAAAGCAAAGTAAGATAGGAAGCTCTTTGTTCTCCAGCTTTCTTAAGAAAGGAGATGTGCCTGTTGATACTTCTTCAGTTGTCTATGATCACAAAGATGATTGAGGGTGACACAAACAACCCATCAAATTTTAACCTTCCACTTTTAATATGAATTTCTGCCACCTCTTTTGTGTATGAGAGTAATGAATACTTTCTTTTTAAGTGCAATGGAATATGCGTCTTCAATAAAGATCAAAGTTTCTTTGTTCTATTTACATCAAATCTTCCCTCAATTTTTGCCATTTAGCTGCCAGCGTAATTGCAGATGATATGCTGTGTCTGGATACCATAGAATCAAAAATGATTAGAAGTAATTGCTAGCTATCCTAACTTTCCTTGCTATAAAGTTGCCAATAAACTGACCAGAGGGCACTCAGGTGAAGTTACCTCAGGAAAGGAGGTATCCCCTTATTGCCTACAGCAACTACAGTAGGATTCAAGTCTCTCAAATACATATCCTCAAATTATCTTCCTTGCTTCCTCACTACTGATGTTTCCTATGGACCTGATGACTCAAAATCAATCAGCCTAACCTGTCCTAGAAGGTACTGAGTCACTGAGTCTATGGAGATACATCTAACCAAGGCTATAATAAAGTAATTGCTTATTTGATGAATAGTTTTTTGTTCCGTCATATTCCAAGTATTATGCTAAGCACTGGAGATAGCGGGATGAATAAGACATCTGTGATAACTACTGCATGAACTTTCAGTCTAGTAGGAATGAGACACAATTAAACAATCAATGATAATAAATTCTGATAACTACTACTTAGCAAGTATATAAGGAACAATTAGAAAAGTTAAAAAGGGCAACTACTCTTATCTAGTGATTAGAAATGGCATTCTGAGGGCAGTGAGACTTAGGTTGAAGCTGGCTTGAGGAACTGAGAAAAGAAAAAAGTAACTTCGGGGTAAGAAAAAAAAACACATGTTCAGTTGCCATGAAATAAGGAAGTACAGAACATTTGAATGTCCAAAACAAATACAACATGATAAATTATAAAATGTAACAGTTCATGGAGCTTGATAAGAGACTATAGAGTTAGGTATAACATAGATTATGGGAGAAACACTCCCAAAAAGTTTCAGTTGCATTCCAAGAGCAATGGAAGGCTATAGGAGGGTTTTAAACAGGAAAAATCAAATCATATTCTAACTGTTAAAAGGTTCACCCTGAAAACAACATACTGGGTGAACTGTAACAGAACAAGACTAAATCTGAGAGGCTTGCTAGGGATTGATGCCATTAACCAAACAAGAGCCAAGGGATCTCTGAAAAGGATGATAGCAAGTGAGCACTAGAGAAAATGAATGTATTTGAATGAGAGTTTGTCACTGAAAGCAACAAAATGACAATTTCATGTAAAACAATAAAGGTTCTGTGTCTAATAAATGAATGGCTCAGTCCATTAAAGTTAGAATGGCCATAGAATCTTCAGCCAACTAGGCATTGTGTCAGGGAGGTAAGTGCCATCCCTGCTTGCACTTCTACTTCCACTCCTCTACCCCCACTTCTTTCTCCTCTTCTCTCTGCCATTGCCTCAAAGTGGCCTAGACTGGTGCATGCCCCATCTGCATTAGAGGCAATGAGACAACAAATTTATTAGGACAAAATGAAAGGGTGATGAGAATTTAGGGTACTTTTAAAAGACTTGTTGAATTAGTTGACTCAAAATTGAATAAGGAAAGGAGAAATACAGGAGGAGTCTGAGAGACAAGGGGTAGAAGCATTTAGTGAGTTTAAAATCCTGCTATGACTAATGAACAGGTAGACTGACAGCAGTAACTAAGCAAGACAGAAAATGGCTAACTCCATAAGTTCAAAGACAGCTCTTCATAAGAAGACATGAAGAGCAACATTCAATTTTGAGTCAACTAATTCAACAAGTCTTTTAAAAGTACCCTAAATTCTCACGACCCTTTCATTTTGTCCTAATAAATTTGTTGTCTCATTGCCTCTAATGCAGATGTACAAGACATGACCAGGAAAAGAAAGGCAAAAAGGACTAAAGAGAAACACCAGCCAGGCAGGCTGGTTCATGCTTTAAAACAGTTAAAAAGAGAAAAGCATAACAAATTATTTTACTCAAAGTTTTATGTGACATGGGAGCCCCAAAAAATGAAAATCCAAAACCCAGAGAAAACTTTCTATTTTTAGGCTTAAGTTTGATGAAGAATGCACAGCCATGTAGAAACATGATTGGACAAAAGGGTATTATGGAAGTCTATATCAGTCACTTAGCTTCAGTTTGTGGGGCTTCAGGAAGAAGGCAGTCTTAATGTCAATGGCCAAGCTAGAAGGGTGAGAGAAAAATTATAAATATTAGTGTAAAGAATCATAGCCAGATATAAGAGGAAACTGGAAGAATTTAAGATCCAGTCCAGATTTCAGGTGGATAACAAATCCCCAGAAACAGTGAGCTAGAATCTAATAATCGGTGTACTGTAGTTTTTTTAATGTAATTTTTCTCTCTAAAATTACCTCCATTTCTGCCAAAGATAATCAAAGTGACACTAATTTGTTCATAAAATAAGTCTAAACTCATTAAACTTGGTCTGATTATTTATATAAGTACAGCAAGAATAGTGACTGACCACACAGGATCTCTTTAAGTTTGCTTTGATGAAAATTTTCATAAGGAACTTCAGATTAAACTTTTAAGAAGCCTCTCAAGGATAGGAAGCCAAGCCAAAAACTGATCATCAAACTATTTCGTACTGCAGCTGACTGAATGCTTTTTAAAAAGAATGAAAACAATAACTGAATTACAAATATTTAGAATGACTTTGGTTGAAAATCTGATGAGTTTCTCAAGTTAATGGTGCAACTCATGAGGAAATTTGGTTATTTTCATGGCATATAACATTTTAACATAATAACCAAAATTATGATTGATAACATATCAGATTCCTAGGAATTTTACATAAACTTTGAAATACTCATATCAATGGCAGGCATCACTTATTTGGCAATGTTTCTCACATAATTTAACATATAAATAAGCCAAATTCATTTACTATTGCTCTTGTACAAGGTGAGACAGACATCCTTTCAGCTTTTCAGTGGCAAAACTGGGAAATTCCAAAGATAATTCAAGGTCAAAAGACTAAGTTTAGAATAGGATTAAGGGAAGTTTGTCAAAAATATAAGTAGGTTTAAACAATTAGATAGGGTCTTCTTGTTCACCTATTTAATCAAAGCAACAGCAAAATATTTTAAAGGCAAAAACAGAAGGTCACATAGTTGCAAAAAGCAACTTACCTCTTTTAACATTAAGAAGACTCACTTTTCTTAAGTAATCAAAGGCCTGACAAAAGATAACAATAATTACAAAAAAATTAATAAAACACATATTTGTTTCCTAAGCAACAGCTTGTAAAAAAAGAAAACTAAATTTTCAGACCAATACTCCATTTTAACACACTAAGTTTGACTTCTGCATCTGTGTAATATTAATACTAAAGGCTAATTTTTAATGAAATCTTTTAAATAAATTCATTCAATCTCAGTAAGCTTTAATCACACAATATAAGATTTACACAAACCTTTTATAACCTTTTTTCATATAATCAGCTCTGTTTTTTGAAGAAAACTCATTCCTCATACTTTTCCTTATCAAATACACCTTACTTTTCTCATATACATAATTGTTTCCCTTGTAATTTCTAGTAATGTAGTCACATTAATTAATTGTAATACTTAACTCTTAGTTATCTTTACTTCTAGTGAAAGCTAGCACGGATTGTGAACTGTATTACATCAGCATTCACTATTTTATAATTTTTAGAAACTCACTTTATCTCAATTTTTATTAATAGAACCAAATATATTTAGCTTCCATATACCATATGAAAACAAGGGATGCCAACATATATAAACTTAAATTTATGCTTAGCAATTTATGTTTCAGTATTTTAACTTACTTAGAAATGACCCCGATAATGACTATCTGTTAATTTCACTTTAAGGTTGTAAGTTACCAAATATATTTTTGAAACAATTTTTAAATAGATATTTTGTAAAATATTGTCCTCTACCTGGTAGAAATCAGAGTGTGTTCTCACTGGTCACAACGCCAAACTCTCAGGACACAAAATGAGACAAACAAGAAAGAAAAAGCTGTCCCTGAGAGGGAAAGGACCAACAAGAAATGGGTATCCCCAAACCAAAACCAGATTTACAAAAGACTCACAATCCAAACAAATGATTTTCTCCAGCTAACCTGAATTTAGAAAGGGAGGGATAAAGAGAAATGTTTACTTTCCATTCTCAATCAGGCACTCAGTCTGAGATCCAGGAGAGCTGACCTTAGTAAAAAGTTCTTACCTTTTCTTGCCTGGCTTTTCGTCAGTTGTTCCAGATTCTCATCTGCAGGCTCTGGAGCAAGTCACGTGTCTCAGCCACCCTGAGTTGTGTGCCAAAACTGCAGGGTTAGAAAGATGTGATCCCTTTCCTCACCCATCATAAGCGTCACAGCCAACAGGTATATTACAAAAGACAGGCTCTCAAGAGAAAAGCTTAACAAATTCATTTAAGCAAAATTTTATGTGACACAAGAGCCTTCAGAAATGAATACCCATAGGCCCAAGCAAAACTGCCTGGCAGTGATGTAAAAATGTGATTGGAAAAATCAATATGACCTAATGGTAATAGATGGAGGTAGTGGGGAACCCCACCAAGGCCTGTCTGTTCAGATTCTTCTTGGCTGCTGTGTGTAGCGTTCTTTCCTCCTGGGTAGAGGGCAGGACCTCTCTAGAATGAGAGATTCAAGGGAGAAGGGAGAAGGAAGAGAATGGCCTTTCTAGGTTTATGATTTCCTTTGGAGGAAAGGGTTCTAGTCTCTATGACCCACCTTGGGGAAGAGGGATTCTGGTTTCTATAATTGGCTTCGGGAGAGAATGAGGGGTCAGAGACAGGAGAGCAAGAGAAAGTCAGAGAGGTCTCAGGCCCTTCTAATCTCTTTTCATTTTAACTATTTAGCAGGCCAGAGCACCAAACTTTGAGTATTATGTCATGAGCCCCAACATATTAATATCTCTTGATAGATTTTCTGCCAAGATCAAGGGAAACACAGATTTTGGCTCGCATGCCAGCTTTTATCAATTGATTGTCACTCCCTAGAGTACTCCTTTAACAAGGATTGTTGAGATTTCTTCCAGGCACTGCAGAAAAGAGCATCTTAATAGCCTTAGGACCCATGTCATTGGTTCAGGATTTTGGCATGATGGTAATTGTCAAACATACTTGCCCTTTAGAGCTTTTAAACCTATGTTAAAGTGACAATCCTTGTGTCCTCAGTAGAGACATTATCTGTATCTACATTCCAATTCTCAGTAATCTTTCATCTGTGGAAATTCTAAGAGATCCTATTGTCTAAAATGTACAATTTAGATTATCAATTACTGTCTATTGCTCTGGGTTTATCTTCCTTTACTGACTAGATTGTTAAGCAATGTGAAAGCAAGAATCCTCTTTCCCCAGTTATTAGCTATGTGGCTTCGGCCAACATAATTGTATCTGTCAGCTATTGCTACATTAAAAACACCCCAAAACTCAGTGGTATGCACCAATCAAAGCTGGTTATTATGCTCAAAAGTCTTTTGGTAAATTGGGGTGAATCTGTTTCAAATTGCAGGTCTTCAGATTGGTTAGATTGTCTCAGTTACCAAGGATTCCAGGAACAGGCACCTAAGGTAGCTATGTTCAAAATGTCTACAATTATTTGTGGACAAATGGGCTGCCAAGGTCACATTGTTTTTTTAGCAATGGCAAAAACCCAGAGAGATGGCTCTAATGGAGAAGCACATTTCAAGTCTCAGATTGAATCATGTTTTACCACACCTTTTGGCCAAATCAAGTCCATGGCCCAGCCCACTCTCATCAATGAAGTAGGAAAATGTACTCCACCCACAGTAGGACAGAGAAAGGGTGACTATTTGCTGAATCCAAACCCCAATATGATTCTTTTTCTGCAAACTAAAAGTAGTGATAACATGCAGAACTCTGAGGTTGCTTTGTGACAAGTGGAAAGAAAATGCTTGACATACATTGGCATTCAATAAACATTTGTTGACTTATTGAATTCCTCTCTCTACCCTCACACTATATACAACGTGTGATACGCAGCTGGATTTTAGTGATTTACTAGACTTTGATCCAGAAATGATTTCCAGATTTTAGCTCTGTTTCAGGTTGTAACCTTAGGCAAATTCAGAAATGCTTCACTTGATTTCATCTGGCATTTAAGTTCTATATCTCTGACATACTGTTATCAGAGAATACTTCGGGTTTCTGGAAAATATATGTTTTACCAAGTATTCAAATATCATAGCTTCTAATCAGACCTTAGCAATAATTGGGTGGAAAATGTCACCTATTAAATTACTAATTTTTTTATTTTAAGTACAAACTACTTTCCACTAGTGAAATTAACCTTTCCATCGTTCAGACACCAATTCTTGTACTACATAAAAGTCTCAAACTCAAAACCTTTGGCTTTGAAGCTTTATAAATAAGTTCTCATGAAGTATTAATACATCCTCTCCAGGCCACAAGGAAATAAGTCATAATAAATAAAAATATAATATCTTTAAATCCATAAAAGAATACATTTTAAAAGGAATAATCAGAAAACTAAGTTACCAGTAATTTATCACTTAATAGTTTCCAAAAAAAAAAATGCTTTGCCTGACATCTTAGTCACCTATGATAAAGGAGAGTGCAATGTGATAGATATCAGTTTCTTTAAGCAAAAAGCACCTTCCAGGAGACTTTATTTAGAGAAGTACCAAGAAGGCAAGAATTTTCACTCTGTGGAATGCCTGCTGTTTACAACAGAATCTGTCAATTTTTTTTTTAATGTTGCATTTCCTAAAACCTGGGACAGGTTTGTTGACTGTATTAGGATATTAATAAATATTTGTTCTCTCATCCCACTGTATTTTCACATTTTTCTCAGTATATATCTATACACTTTGTATGAGGGAAAATAATAGTAAATAGTAATATTTATAATGTATACATCAGACACTCTTCTAAATGTTTTACTTTTAATTTCTAACTACTGTAAGGGAGATATACTATTATTATCTTCATTTTACAGATGAGAGCATTCAGATACACAGAGGGTAAGTAGACCACTGAAGTCACAAAACTAGTAAGTGTCAATAACCAGGATTAAAACTCAGGCTTTCTGGCTTTCTGGATTCCAATCTATGCTCCTAACCATTATGTTATCAAGCTAACTTGGAAAATGCATGTATTTTTAGAATGGCACCATGGCATATTGAGTAAGAACATAAGTTTTAGAATGAAAAGGTCTCCATTAAAATCCAATTTCTTCTCTTTATTAGCCCTGCAACCTTGGGCAATATTCTTAACATCTCTAAAACTCTGTTTTTTTTTTTCTCTGTGTCGATGAAAGTATATTTACTTCAAAGGGTTATTAATGGTATAAGAATGTATTTAGCAGAGTATTGGCATATAGTAAACTGGAATTATTAATACTATTTAGTCTAAGTATCCTGGGAAATTAAATGGCTTGCCCAAGGTCATACATCTAGTTATGGAAGAGTGAAGTCTAAACTATGGATTTCTTCATTCAAAGTTCAGTGCTTTACACTTGCATTGGCCACCCCACAGGGATTTCTTACATTCCATGACAAGGCGAGATGATACAGAAAGGAAACACACTGCCTTAAAATGTGGTGATAAATCATAAAGTGTGGTTAAGTTTACAAATGCATTGCAACACTTCGATCACTGTTTGCATTTATCATGGTCTATTCCTCAATAGACCAGAAAGGGTAATTAACAGAATATTTACAACAAAGCCAGATTTCTCCATGGGGGGGTTTCCATTCAAATTTGAGGCCTCAGTTAAATTTACATCATCAATACCTACATCTTTTAGTAAATGCTTATTCATTTCCAGCTCTAAATCCTAACCTTTATCATTAATCACTTAAGAATTCCAGGCATCTGGCCGGGCGCGGTGGCTCACGCCTGTAACCCCAGCACTTTGAGAGGCAGGCGGGTGGATCACTAGGTCAGAAGATCGAGACCATCCTGGCTAACACGGTGAAACCCCGTCTCTACTAAAAATACAAAAAATTAGCCGGGCGTGGTGGCAGGCGTCTGTAGTCCCAGCTACTCCGGAGGCTGAGGCATGAGAATGGCGTGAACCCGGGAGGCGGAGCTTGCAGTGAGCAGAGATCACGTCATTGCACTCCAGCCTGGGCGACAGAGTGAGACTCCATCTCCAGAAAAAAGAATTCCATGCATCTTTAGATTTTTGTATCTCAGCATTTATCTGCCAGTTTCTTGCTTAGCATAGTTTATCAAGCATTTTTAAAAATCTACTCGTTACCAAACCATGACGTTATTTTTTTATTCTCCCTAGTTTAATAGGAGTCAATATATGTATAAGGGGCATATTTTATTTGCCTGGCATTTGGGATTATTTTTAAAGCTATATACAGGCATTAGAGCACACAACCTATTTTGTGTCCTTGTTATATTTTGCATTACTAAAATTATCTATTTTGCATTTAATTTTTAGGAAGTCAATTCGGCACACTCAAAGTGGCTTTAGACATCTCTGTGGTTTGCCCGGCATTATTCCAGAAACTCCCTAAACACTGCTTTTTAAAGTCATATTTTTGACGACGCCCCCGCCCCCACCGATGCTTTCTGCAAATATTTTCTGTACATTCTCCAAGTCAGATTTGATTTAGCCCCACAGCTTTATAAATGTCCCTGAAACACATGGGGTAAACTGTAATTGATGACTCAGCACGTTTCCATCACATAAGAATCCAATTTCCAGTGGCACCACTTACTGTTTATTGTGCTGAGATCAATAGTTGAAAGAACCCTTAACCCAGCCGCGTGCCCCACTACCCAACACGTATTCATAATACCAGTCTATAAATTCAATAGAAATATTAGGTTACAGGGGCATCCATGCTCGGAATAGCAAGATTTCTTGAGTTTTTGGAGTATGCTTCAAACAAGTTGCTCTTCTGACTCACCAAAGTCTTTCAGAATGAAAGTGCACCACAAAGCGGGACTCTCTGAACCACTAGAATTGTGCGTAGCTGAGTACATGGGCAAGGTGAGTTCTGAGGTATTTTTAGGACAAAAAAGCTCCTGCTTTCCCATCTGTTAGGTTGGTGCAAAAGTGTGGATTTTGCCATTTGAAAGTAATAGCAAAAACCACAATTCCTTTTTTTTTTTTTTTTTTTTTTGAGACGGAATCTCGCTGTCACCCAGGCTGGACTGCAGTGGCGCCATCTGGGCTCACTGCAAGCTCCGCCTCCCGGGTTCGCGCCATTCTCCTGTCTCAGCCTCTCGAGTAGCTGGAACTACAGGAGCCCGCCACCACGCCAGGCTAATTTTTTTTGTATTTTTAGTAGAGATGGGGTTTCACCGTGTTCGCCAGGATGGTCTCCATCTCCTGACCTCGTGATCCGCCCGCCTCGGCCCCCCAGAGTGCTGGGATTACAGGCATGCGCCACCGCGCCCAGCCTACTTTTGCACCAACCTAATACTTAGTTGACTGTAAGAACTGACATTCTTGTATGTGTGAATGTTTCCTATTTGCCCAACCTTTTCAAATCAGTTGTTGAGATTCCCTCTTCTGGGTCTTAATGGGATTTTGCAGCACAGCTGTCCAGGGGATTGCCCCGAACTGAATGTAGATTCAGAGCTACTGATCTGCTTGAAACCGCTTTTCTTTTCTTCTTCGTGTGTGTGTGTGTGTGTGTGTGTGTGTGTGTGTGTGTATGTGTTTGTTTTTAAAGAGACAGAGTAGTCTTGCTCTGTCACCCACACTGGACTGCAGTGGCACAATCTTGGCCCACTGCAGCCTCAAATTCCTGGGCTCCAGCAATCCTCCTGCCTCAGCCTCTCAAAGTGCTGGGATTACAAGCTTGAACCACCACGCCCTGCCATTGTTCTTGTATTCCTTATATATTCGTGACAAATGTAGCTGCAAATATTTTTTTGGACACATGTCACATCAAAACCCTAGAAAAACGTTAAATTGGACAAGATGTATTTCATGGAAACTTTCAAAACACACAAAGCTTGGAAGCAAGCACTTTATTTTTTTCTTTTTTCTTTTTTTGAAATGAAGTCTCACTCTGTCGCCCAGGCTGGAGTGCAGTGGCACAATCTCAGCTCACTGCAAGCTCTGCCTCCTGGGTTCAAGCAATTCTCCTGCCTCAGCCTCCCGAGTAGCTGGGACTAAAGGTGTGTGTCAGCACGCCCGGCTAATTTTTGTATTTTTGGTAGAGATGGGGTTTCACCATGTTGGCCAGGCTGGTCTCAAACTACTGACCTCATGATCCACCTGCTTCGGCCTCTCAAAGTGCTGGGATTACAGGCATGAGCCACTTGCCTGGCCTGGAAGTACTTTTGAACCTTTGGTTCTTACAATAAGAGAAGCAAATTTACATAAATTTCCCCAGTAGATTTTAATGTTTTCTGACTTAAATTGTTTTAAAAAAATAAAATAAAGTAGGCAATATTTTCTTTGTATGCTTTGTTTCATGCGCGTCCCTGTGAAGAGACCACCAAACAGGCTCTGTGTGAGCAATAAAGCTTTTAATCACCTGGGTGCAGGCGGGCAGGCTGAGTCCGAAAAGAGAGTCAGCGAAGGGAGATAAGGGTGGGGCCGTTTTATAGGATTTGGGTAGGTAAAGGAAAATTACAGTCAAAGGGGGTTTGTTCTCTGGCGGGCAGGAGTGGGGGTCGCAAGGTGCTCAGTGGGGGTGCTTTTTGAGCCAGGATGAGCCGGGAGAAGGAATTTCACAAGGTAATCTCATCACTTAAGGCAAGGACTGGCCATTTACACTTCTTTTGTGGTGGAATGTCATCAGTTAAGGTGGGGCAGGGCATATTCATTTCTGTTGTGATTTTTCAGTTACTTCAGGCCATCTGGTCGTATACGTGCAAGTCACAGGGGATGCGATGGCTTGGCTTGGGCTCAGAGGCCTGACAGTTTGCTTAGGCTAGTTCACTGGTTACTGAGCTAAATCCAATGTGTTACCCCTCAACCCCACAGGCTGTGAAGAGATTTTTACTGAATTTTATCCCAACTAAGATTTTACCTGAAGACTTTATTGTTTTAAGGCAGGAAAATTAGTTTGAGGAGAGAGCAATCTTTTGTTTACCAAAAAGATTCAATGAGCCATTTTGATTTTAGATTTTGGTAACTAGACAAGGGAAATAAGACCAAGGGAAAGATAAAGAGCATTGCATAATAAAATAAAGGAAAAAATGAGTTTCTAGGCATTGCTGGAAAGAGAGGATGAAAAGATCCATAAATGGGGAGAAGACACAAAAACCAGCGAGAGGAGGCCAGGGGTAGCCCTGCACAAAGACCAGGAATCTGAAGGGCTAAGACAGCCAGGAGATGGAGGTGAGGATGCCTGAGGATTTCATGACAAAAGGCACGGTAATGCTCGATTTCAAGTTGTTGACTCTATGATGACTGCGTGCAGTCCCATTCATTACTCTTGATCTTCATCAAAAAGTCTGCTAGACACAGCTGGTTGTGTGAGTGACATTTTTAAAAGTTAACAGACTTTAAGCACCTGGCCGGGCACGGTGCCTCACACCTGTAATCCCAGCACTTTGGGAGGCCGAGGCAGGTGGATCCAGAGGTCAGGAGTTCGCGACCAGCCTGGCCAAGATGGTGAAACCCCGTCTCTACTAAAAATACAAAAAAATTAGCCTGGCGTAGTGGTACACGCCTGTAATACCAGCTACTCGGGAGGCTGAGGCAGGAGAATCTCACTTGTACCCAGGTGGCGGAGGTTGCAGTGAGCCAAGATTGCGCCACTACACCCTACTGTAGCCTGGGCGACAGAGCAAGACTCCATCTCAAAAAAAAAAAAAGAAAAAAGAAACTTTAAGCACTCAAAATGTAGCTTTGAGAAGAGCTAAGGGGTGTGGAACAGAGAAAATGAGTCAAAATTAAACAAAGATGAATCAGAAACAAGAGATGAGAGAAAAAAATGGTAAAGAAACTGTAAACCCTCCCAAAATACCTGGCATCCCAAAGGAAAAAGAGATAAGATCGTAGGTTTTCTTCCATAGACGATAGCATAAGAGTCCAAACCAACTTATTTGCTTTATATCAAAACAAAGGTTGCATAGGCTAATGAGCCTGGGGACACGTGGGCCATCACATGATCATACAAGGATGTTTACAGAGGAGAGACAGAATTTAAGGATAAAAATACAACAAACAGAATGACTTTTGGCCAGGTGTGGTGGCTCACTTTGGGAGATCGAGGCAGCAGGGACACTTGAGGCCAGGAGTTTGAGGCCAGCCTGGGCAACAAAGCAAGACATTGTCTCTATGAAAAATTAAAATATTAGACGGTCATGGTGGTGCATGCCTGTATTCCCAGCTATTTAGAGGGCCAAGGCAGGAGGATCACTTGAGCTCAAGAATTAGAGATTGTAGTGAGTATGATAGCACCACTGCACTCCAGCCTGGGTGACAGAGGGAGGCCCTGACGCAAAAAAAAAAAAAAAAAAAAAAAAAAAAGAATGACTTTCCTTTCTCTTTCCTTACTGCTTCTTATGTTCCGCCTGTGCCACCAAATTTTTGGCTTCTCTTAACCCTGATATTTCTGAGCTTCAGGTCCTGGAAATGAAGGGAAGAGGAAGAGTCTTAATGGGGGCTGGCAGATTAGATTAAGCTTGCAGCTGCAATTGCCCTTCCCTCAGCCTTGCATCGCCTGCCCATATCACTACATATACATCCACATCACACATCTACAGACTTCTACATCTTCTAATTCAATTTTTTTAACTTAAAGAATTTTATGTATCAGACTTGAAATGGGTCTTGCCATGGTATTCAGACAATTGAAGCAAATTTAATGATCAATGCCCTGAGACAGAATAGAAACAATTCCAGAATGGCAAGGCAGGATGCTGATCAGTGTCTTGAGAGTCTAAAGGCAGTTCCTGCTCTTCTGGAGAATGGGGTAGGATTATGAGACTGAAGAAGGTGACAACCTTCTGCTTTACTTACATGAGTCCATGGCTTGCCTTTGTTTTCTCAAATTTGAGAAGTGATCAATTTTACTAATAATGTTCCAGGGAAATGTACACATGAACTGAAAGATGCTTCTGTAAAACCATCTCTAAAGCACAGTCAGAGTTACTCGTTTAAATCAATGTTATGACCAGGAAGGTTGAGTAATGCATTTTGGTTTACTTCTGTTTGGAAAACATATGGTTCAAGTTATAATTCTGCCCACAACAACCACCTTACTTGGCATGTAGAAAGATGTTTTAGAATGTATACAGAGAATGTGGTGACCAAACAGAGTCCACTATTGACTTATTGTGAAATTTTGGGCAAATTTACCTAACCTGTCTGAAACTCCTTTTCCTCAATTGAAAAACAACAGATTAATCATAATCAAGAATGATTTGTGATAGTTCAAATATATTATTTTTAAAGTGCCTTTTAACAAACAAACGCATAAATGGTTTAGCATGCCAGTTAGATTTCTTTCTAGATAGCATTCTGGCTAGATTCCTCATGCTGCTGCCTCTCCCGTCATAGCAAACCATGGCTTCTGCCATTTGAAATCAGTGGCTATGCCAAACAGCTTCATAGGCTAAATGCATTTTGAATGCTCAGAGTCAGGAGTCTTGCTTCTGACTGCATTGAGAGAGATTTTTGGCTCTGCTTGATTGTGGAAATTATACTTGGAAGAATGGAAAGACTCAAAGCCAGTGTATCCACCAAGCAAATGACCATCTATTTTAAAAACAGTTAAAAGCTGTATTTTCTAAGGAAATACACACACGCATACACACATAGCACCACCATCATCGATCACCACCACAAAGCATTAGCCATTTGCTTCCCAAAGCCAAATTAAACTATTTACATTTTACTCATATTGTTGCTTTCTTATCATGTTTTTCTACAGGAGCCAAATACATCTAATTTCCTTCCTAACCCACACAGACTCTCACCTCTTCTTTAATGACTCTGAAAGGATAGCAGCTAACCTCACTGAGTACTTCCTATGTGGCGGGGGCTTTGCTAAGTATTGGACTCTGTGGGTCCTCAAAACCACATTGTGATACTTTACAATGATTGGTAATTTATAAGTACAGAGAAGTTAAGTAACACTGGCAAGGTTCTATGGGTGGTAAGTGATAAATACTTCCCCAGTCTGTCTGACACCAGAGTCCATGCCATTAATCATCATTCCATCTTGCCTTCCATGTTCTTTACCACCAAAATATATTGACAGTAGTTAACATTATTTAGTATACTTCTGATACTGGTAAGCTAGGGAAGGTCCCCACACACCAGTAGGACCTTCACACCAGCCAGTGTCCAGGCTCTTGACACCGTAGTGAGAAGGCATTCAAGGACAAATTGGAAAATAGTGAAAGTACAGAGATTTATTGCAAAACAAAAAGTACATACTCAAGAAAGGGGAGTGTAGGTGTGCTCAAGAGAGAGTTGGGCAATGGGGCCTGGGGCTTCTAGATTTATGGGTTTCTTTAACCAAGGGGTGAAATACTCATGGAGATTCCTGGAAAAAGGTGCAGATTTCTCAGAACTGTTTTGCCACCCATTTTTACACCAAATATGGGTGTTCCCAGAACTGTCATGGCACGGGTGGTGTGTGATCTAGGATGTTAATGAGTGGATAATGAGGTCCTGGGAGAAAATCTAGGTTAAGTCCAGGGCCATGTTGCATCCAGTGTTTTTAGCCAGATTGGTCCACACCCTGGTTTTCATGGTTTTATCAGCCTCTAGCTTGTGCAGTTATTTGAACAGTTTTTTTTTTCTTCTTTTTTTCTAATCATGTAAAACTGTTGCCTGGATTTGTCTGTTATTTTGCGACCACCATATATTATTTCTGTCTCACTTCTAGGTGACAGGCCCTGTTCTAAATTCTTCATTTCACTCTCTCTTTAAAACCATGCCATGAGTTTGAAATTGTTTTTATCTCTCTCAATTTTCAGATGAGGACACTGAGGCACAATTAAAGAATAACTTGTCAAAGATCACAGTGTTATTAGCAGTGAGAAAGAATGCAGATAAAATCTTCCAACTCTGCATCCCCCATGTGCCCCACACCTTGCCCCGGGGTTACTGAAGACAGAGAACCACTGCAAACTGGTCGCAGGCTACCTTTTCAACCCTCACTGTCACCACACTAGATGCTGGGCTGCTACTTCTGGAATGCTCTACTCACTCCGTGCTTTCTCCATTGCTGAGGTTTTCCTCTCCCTCCCTCTCTTCTCTGTGCTCACCTGGAGAAACTCCTTCATCCTTCAAGGTCTCCAATGTCACTCACTCCCTGTGGACTTCCCTTCCCACCTCCCTTCCCTTCCCTAGACAACGTTTAATTATTTCCACAGCACTAGGATCAGGCTTCTGTCATGCAGTTCGCATGTTATGTCACAGCTAATTGTTTACTATTCTGTCTCTTCTTTCAGATTAAGAGCTCCTCAAAGAAGAAATATCATTTTATTCATCTGTGTTCTCTAATGTCAAACAAAGTGACTAGCATATAATAGATAGGCATTTAATTATATATTGAATTGAATTGGATACAACTGCTTTAGCTGTCCATTTGATTTTGACCCAATAAGGGTTACAACAAAATAAAATCAGAAACCCTTTCACCTAGTGTAGGACTAATATAATAAAAGATTTTAGTCAATGAATTCACAGCTTTGGTCTTGATTCGGAATACCTTATTTTATGATTTTTTTTTTCTGTGAGGGCATTCTAATTTAGTAAAAATACCTGTTTGGTTTGTCAGGTTACTATGGGCGAATGTAGAAGGCTTGAACCTGTGATTTGGTTGGGTTCTGTTCTCTGACATTCCTCTATCTCTCATTTCCTTTCCTTTAATGGTTGATTTCTAAACCTTTTATAAATTACTTTTGGCTATTAGTAAAATTTACCAATTTTCCTTGAAAGAATCATGTGTTCTGATTAAGGTACCAATTTTAGAACCATCTACTATAAAATCTTATTTTACGCTTTTCTGTACAATGTTAATGTTATTTTCTTCATCTGTTCCAAATTTTCACTCTTAATATTGTTTAGTTGTATTGTAAGATGTAAACAGAGATCAAACGTGATGTTTGATGTGTGAAAATCTAACTCAATATACAGATCCTGTAGCAATCTCTCAAATTGAGATCAGAAGCTGTACCAGTCCCTTTAAAGAATAGGGGGTGGGGATAGGGAAGGGGTCCTGCCCTAGCAACAAGCACTTATGCAGGTCAGATGGAGCAACAGTGCTGGTTTTATGGAATTTTGCTGTAAGGGTATTGCTTGCATATATTGATCTGAACACCTTGATATTCCCTGTAGCATTTTGTGCCTCACAGTTACCTTGACTTCTACCTCTCTGTCTACTCTCCTTGGATGTTAACTTACTCTTCACCATCTAATCCGTGTTCCCATTAGGGCTGTGATTATATATGCTACTTGCACCACATTAGATTGTACCAATTAAATCCTTTGACTCCCCAACGCTGTCCAAATCTGTGCATGGGTCTTTATCTTTGACTTAATATTTCATCCTGAGGGTATAACAACACAGGAGTGATGATACAGTCACAATTTTTCCTTCAGTAACAATAGAAATATTACTGGAATATAATATACCTGGCTTCCATTCTATAAGTTGTTCATAGTAAGTGCTATAAACTTAGGCAAATGATCAATATGATCAATGAAGTATGTGAATCAGTATAACTTGTGCAACTCTTTTAATATGCAAACTCTTGTGCTCAATCTTTGACTTACTGAATGGGAATCTCTGGAAACAGAATCCCAAGAGTGTGTATTTTTCATATAGTAGGTGATACTAATGACCACTGTTGGGTTAGAACAACAATTCAGTTTTGATATCTCAAATGTTCCTTCCAGGGGTAGAACGTTTCCCTATCCAAGGTGTTTATCTTCTAAGAATTTTGGAGAATCAGACAGAAATATTAAAAACCAGAATTCATATTAATCTAAAACAAATTAATTTTTTTCTAGAATGTACATGCTCCTTAACCCTGTTTCAGCATATTGTTTCAGGAAATTAAAATGACCAAGTTTGAATTTTTATTAAAAAAAAAAAAAGAAATGCAGAATTTGAGTAATCTGGAAGAGTAACAACAAAAAAATATATCCCTTATCCTGACTAATTGTTGCATAGCTTTCTCAAAATCCTCAGAACCCAATGTCAATTGTCATTAATGGTAATTAATGGCACATTTTATGACTTCTGAGTAACTTATTTTACCTAAAAGACCAATGGGATTGCACCTCACATCATGCCTTATACATGAAATCACTGTTGTCCCAAGGCAAGATAATCCACAATTTGAGGCATAAAAATTCTGAACAGAAAAACCACTGGTGCCAACAGAGCTGCTTACTGGAAGGTGGAGAGGAAATGTGTAAAAGGGAAGGAGAAGAATTAATTTGCAATTTAGCAATTTAGGAGGGAAAGTTGCATCAAGTCATTGACTTCTGCTTAATGGTGGTTTTTTTTCTTCAATTAATACTCAAGTCGAAAATTATTTTCCGCCTGTAAAAAGACAAGGAAGTTTGTATAATGTCTTCAACCGTCACATCACAGAGCAAAGCAGAGACAGAGTTGTCATTTAATGATAACGAGCACCTGCAACAGTCATTTTGTAGTGAGGGCATTGAAAGAAACAAAGCTTCTGGCACAAAATAAGAAATCAGAAGAGAGGTAAGTAGGGCTATGAGTTTACAATTGATGAAGCATAGCTATCCTGAAATTCTGATTTTTTTCAATTGCAGATTGAGAATTCTCTGCATTTATTTTAAAAGCCACAATCATGGAAATGGTGCATTTTAGCAAAAATAAAGACAGCACAGATAATTGACAAATGAAACTGAACCAGAATAAGGTCTGGAATGGACTAAAACAAAGATAATTCATTACAAATGCCCCGACTATAAATTTCATCAGTCATTAATAAGCAAGATTTCAGGCCAGGCGTGGTGGCTCACTCCTGTAATCCCAACACTTTGGGAGGCCGAGGCGGGCGGATCACTTGAGGTCAGGAGTTTGAGACAAGCCTAGCCAACATGATGAAACCCCATCTCTACCAAAAATACAAAAATTAGCTGGGTATGGTGGTGCATGCCTGTAATCTCAGCTATTCAGGAGGCCAAGGCAGAAGAATCACTTGAACCCAAGAGGCAGAGGTTGCAGTGAGCTGAGATCATGCCACTGCACTCCATCCAGCCTAGGTGACAGAGCAAGACTCTGTCTCAAAAAATAATAATAAAATAAAATAAAATAAAAAGCAAGATTTCACATTAATGCTGCTCATTATATATAGTTTGTATTTATGTTCTTTTTATGTGTTTAATTTTAAGTAAACTGAATATAACTAATTTCATGATGTGATTTCAATCATATTTTCTTATCAATTTTGTCATTATCTATGTACATTTTGAGTAAAGGAAACACTTTCCAGAATCGTGCTGAAGCACTCCCTTGTGTCGCTTTGTTTTTTGTGTTGTGTTTTCTTTCTGGGAGGTTAAGTTCTCTAAGAAGGTAAAATCTTAAATGAAGAATAAAGTCAGGTTTCTTGCTGTAAATTTGTTCTGGTTTTCCCTCCTTTCCCTTTCCTCTTTCCCTCTTTAATTCTCTCCTCTCTTTTCTTCCTTCCTTCATGGTTTCTTTCTTCTCTTCCCTCCTTTACCACTTTCTATGTCCTTCCATTTCTAACATAAACATCTCTTGAGTAGCAAACACAGTGTGCATTTTACTGCTTTAGTTTCCTCTATGCCTAATGAAAAATGCCAAAAAGTGAGTGGGTTCCTGCTACCGAGCCCTGTCTCCCAAGCCTGAATGATGTTCTACGGTGCATAACTTCACTGAGTTGGACACACAGGGAAGCTCTAAGATAACAGGATATGGAGACGATGCTGTCTGGTGAACTGAAGTGAGTCAGCTGCAAGTAAGAAGGGTGAAAAAACACTTTAAGGATGTACCGAAGCGTGGAGATAAGCAATCCACCCAGCAGGAGCTCCTAGGTAAGAGCAGAAGCAGAGAGAATGGCCTGATGTTCACAAGTTACAAACTAACTAAATGTGGGCTGAATATGAGTCTATGAGTTTTATAAGTCTGATACTGAAACTCCATAGGACCCACATTTTTGTTCCTAAGATGGAATGCTCTCCTAATTGTCACCCTCTCCAGCAATAACTGCATCCTGATAAGTCCTGTAAGTATTTAAAAGAAAGGTCAGTTTGAAAGATAGCTACACAGCTAACTATATATTACCAAAGGTCTTAAGGAGATGTATGAATGTAATGTTTCAGAAACATCAAGACATGGCAGATTAATCCTATTAAAAGTGACCTATTTCTTATTTGTCATGTAGGATACATCAGGCTATACTTGACCATGAAGCTGTTGTATATATGTATTACATACACACACGCGTGCACACACACACACACCCCTACATTCTTTCTTTCTTTTTGGTGCCAAAACCCAGAAGTGAAGTATGGGAGGAACTTACATAGAAGATTGGCAATCATGGCCAAGTACTCTGAAATGCAGACAGAATAGTGGACTCTCCGTTGCCATATACCTGGAGAATACCATTGTAGGAGATGAGAAAGACTCTGGCAAAGGCTAGCCATAAGGGATAGAAACACAGGCTTTAGCCGTTAGTTTTCAGCTTCAAACTCATAATGCCACATTTTCAAGTACATTGAAAACCCAGCAGTTAAAGTAGCTACTTTAAAGGAAAAAAAGTGATGCATTGGAAGTTAAGATCATTATCACTGCACATTAATTTTTTTTTATAAATCTCTTTCTTCAAGACATTGAGAACTCAGTTTTCATAATGATTCAATAAATATAAACTGAAGAAAAAATTCCACCAGAATCCCAGAAGCGGAAATAACATTACAATGCTAATACAGTCAGTAGGAGGCCACAGTAATCCAGATTATCATACATAACTGTCTCATGGAAACTAATTTGACTTTTATTGTGCTGCTAAATGAAATTATTACATGATCTATAGTTTATTGAGCCCTGTGGCAATGCCAGGGAGTGAAGCACTGAGCTGCATCTTTTACTTTGATGGTTGCAAGATTTTTAAAGCACTTTACACATTAAGAGTGAGTAAAGAAGACTATAATACTCAGAAACAACACAGCTACTAAATAAATTACTTGCCAGAAACCATAATGATGGCAGGACGAATGCAGCAAGCAAAGCATTTCCTCATTAACCATGTGCATCCAATGAAGACAAGGTATTGAAAAGAACTTTCATGTGAGGGTTAGATAATGATGAAGACACAGTTTTCCCTCTGACAGGTATGCCTTGAACAATGCCCCCAGCTGTTCCCTAAGCAATCCTCCTAATAGACACTGAATATTCTGGGAGCTTTGTTTTTTGTTTATTTGTTTGCTTGCTTGTTTTTATTTGTTTTTTGTTTGTTTGTTGAGACAGAAGGAGTACCGCTCTATCACCAGGCTGGAGTGCAGTAGCATGATCTCAGCTCACAGCAACCTCCGCCTCCTGGGTTCAAACGATTCTCATCCCTCAGCCTCCCACCTGAGTAGCTGGGATTGCAGGTGCCTGCCACCACATCTGGCTAATTTTTTGTATTTTTAGTACAGACAAGGTTTCGCCATGTTGGCCAAGCTGGTCTCGAACTCATGACCTCAAGTGATCCGCCCGCCTCAACCTCCCAAAGTGCTGGGATTAACGGTGTGAGCCACCATGCCCAGCCCTTCTGGGAGCTTCGCTATCTTACTTCATGGTGTTGGAAATAATGCACTGAACATCCAAATCCTAAGGCTTTGAAACTATTAGAAGTGGTGCAATATGGTTAAAGATGTGGTTCATTTAAGACACAGTCCAGGCTGGGTGCAGTGGCTCATGCCTGTAATCTCAGCATTTTGAGAGGCCACGGCAGAAGGCTCACTTGAGCCCAGGAGTTTGAGACCAGCCTGAGCAACATAGTGAAATCCTATTTCTACAAAACATAAAAATTAAAAACCTGGGTGTGGTAGTGCATGCCTATAGTCCTAGCTACATGAGAGGATGAGGTGAATCACTTGAGCCCAGGAGGTCAAGGCTACAGTGAAATGTGTTCACACCACTGCACTCCAGGCTGGGTGACAGTGTGATGAGACCTTGTCTCAGAAAAAGAAAGAAAAAGAAAAATTCCAGGGCCAAAAGGAGGACATATGTTTGGAGATAATTAAGTGTTTTCATTACAGGAATTAGATTTAAACATTATAAGGAACACACTTCTTGTTATAGAAATTGGCATTTGAATCATAATTAATATGTTAACAGCAATGGTTCATATTAGTAGTAACAGCTAAAATTTCATGTCATTTTGGAGTTCCTCTTTAGAGTTCCCACCTGCCAAGTAGAGTTAACTCCCTCCTTTCCGCTGTAATACCCACTGTGCTTTCAGTCATTACTGGAACATTTGTCACCCTTACTACAGATCAGTATGCATGTCTTTCTCCCATGTTGAAAGCTCTGGTATTTTGGGGTCTGTGCTATTGGATTATGCTGCTCTATCTTCCAGCTGGGTACACCAACCTACCAGTCACTCAGGCCTATTTATCGAAGATTTTATTACTTGATCACAATCCTCCTCACTACTCCAAGCTGTGAAATCATCCAGAGTGGCTTCAATATCATTGCATATCCTGGCTGTATCAGTCTTTGGTGATCTCATCTTCAATGACTTTTTCTTTCACTCCAGTTTTGCTATCTGCTCCCATAGACACACCCAGGACCTGGTCACTCCCTGAAATTGTTCCTTGTCAAAAATTTCAAATTCAAAAGTATTAAACTATAACTACATCTTTCCCTCCTTCTAGCTATTTTTTCAGTTCTTCCTGGTGTTTTTCAGATCACAAGTTTTCTTGTACATTAAACCCTTTATCTTCTCCTAGACCTCCAGTTTCTACTTTTTCACTTTCCCCATCATCCAGCTGAGGTCCTAGGGTCCGTTTGGCAAGATCCTTTGCTCACTGCTGTTCATCACTTTTTTCAGCCAAACACCAACCCTGAAAGACCCCTGTTATCTTCTTTCTCCACAACTACTCCCTATAGCCAATTACTACTTGGTACAGAAAGGCAAACTGCTTCCATGATGACATAATCATCAACTTCAAATGGGCTCCCCATATGTCTCAACTTAACTCATTCTCCCACTTTCACAACAACTATTTCACACTTTCTTCACTGTCCTCAGAATTCCAAGCCACCCCCTCTTCTCTCATGCTGTTAGTTGATAATTGTTTTCTATTTTATCAGAGCAATAGAAACAACCAGACAAAAGTCTTTACCTTCACAATAACAAATATTGCATTGTCTGTTTCTGAACTATTCCATCTTTTTTTCTGATAAGAGATATTATTTATTTACTTGCCTAAGGCTAGACATTTCATTTACCTGTTCATTGGATCCCACCTGCTCACCACTTCTTAAAACCCCTGAAACTCTGAATATTAATATTTTTTTATCTTCTGGATATTTCATTGCTTCCTTAAGTCAAATCTTCCCTCTGATATTTAAACATGTTGATGTATTCCTTATATTCATAAAAACTCTCCCTGAATTCTAATAACACTCAATCAAGCCTCATCCTCCATTTCCTCTCTGTCAAAGCCAAACTTTTAATCTCAATGTCTCCATCCTTAACCTTTTACTCAGGCAAAAATCTAGTGTCTTTCATGATCACTGCAAGGAAAAGGCTATTATTAGAGTATTCAATGAAATCATGTTGATTGACTGCTCAGCAGCATTTGATAGAGTTAACCACTTTCTTCTTCTTGATATGTTCTTCTATTGGCCTCTGGAACTCTTTCATCCTAGTTTTCTTCCTGCCTCCCTGGTCAATCTCTCTATGCTTCTTGGAAAACTCCTTCTCTAAACAGGCATTAAATATTTTCTTTTCTTAAAGTTCAGATTCTCACCCTCCTTTCCCTCCACAATATTGGTTAGGGATTTTATTCCAATCCATACTTTTAGCATTATTGACATGCCAATGATTCAGCACAGGCCTCTCTTCTTGAGTTCCAGATCTATGTGTATAATTGTCCACCAAAACTTCTACCTACTTCCTCAAATATCTTCAAACACAACTAAACCAAAACCAATTGTATGATTCTCTATCCATATACAGGAGAAAACAACTCAGTTCTCTTCCAGTGCCTTTTATCTAGTAGAATAGCGTCATCATTCACCCAGTTATATAAACCAGAAACTCTCTTCCTCAGCCTACATTTCTCATTCATTCCCGAGGCCCATCAAAGCCTTTTAACTGTGAATATTGTCGAATTTCATCCCTTCTTTCCATCTTCATGGTTGCTAACCTAGCCCAAGCGGCCAACCTGTCCTACCTGAAGACCTGTAGTAGTTCATTACGAGGTCTCCCCCAATCTACTATAATTCATTCTCCAAAATGATGGTAAATTGATTATTTCAAAATACAAATATGATTGTGTCCTCCCTACCTCACCCCTATCTAAAACTCTTTAGTGTTCTCTATTCCTTTAAAGATAAGAAAACAGAAAGTACTTGTATTAGTTCATTTTCACGCTGCTGATAAAGACATACCTGAGACTGGGCAATTTACAAAATAAAGAGATTTAATTGGACTTATAGTTCCACGTGGCTGGGGAAGCCTCACAATCATGGCTGAAGGCAAGGAGGAGCAAGTCACATCTTACGTGGATGGCGGCAGGCAAAAAGAGAGCTTGTGCAGAAAACTCTCATTTTTAAAACCGTCGGATGTCTTGAGAGTTATTTACTATCACAAGAACAACATGAGAAAGATCTGCCCCCATGATTCAATTACCTCCCACCAGGTCCCTCCCACAACACGTGGGAATTCAAGATGAGATTTGGGTGGGGACACAGCCATACCATATCAGTACTCAAGGGATTCTTTGGTCAAAGCTCCTGCCTGCCTTGGAAGCCCCACTTGACATCTTCTTTGCCTCACTCTCTGGAATCCTGTCACTCACTCTGCTGCAGTTCCCCAAATGTGCCATGTCTCCTTCTGTAACAGGATCTTGACAGATGCAGTTCCCTGTGTCTGTATATTCGTCCTCTCTTTGTTGTTGAATAAACTCATAATCACCCTGATCTCTACTCATGTCACTTCCTGAGATGAACTTTTCTTCCCCCAGAATATTTCTTTTCTTCCAAGCCCCAATCTCATTTCCACATATACATAGTATCATTACTTAATTTGATCTATTCCTATCTCATAGGACTGAATATTCCATGAGACCTGGGGAGAGTATATTTAGTACTTGCCCTTTATAAGAACTCAATAAATATTTCTGGTTGAATAGACATATGGAAGTATGGATGGATAGGAAAATTTAAAGTGCATGACATGTTCAAAATGTGAGCAATAAACTAAGATACAGCCTTTTGGCTGGAACCGCCATCTTCCAGTAATTCTCCAAAATGATGAACACAAAGGGAAAGAGGAGAGGCACCCGATATATGTTCTCTAGGCCTTTTAGAAAACATGGAGTTGTTCCTTTGGCCACATATATGTGAATCTATAAGAAAGGTGATATTGTAGACGTCAAGGGAATGGGCACTGTTCAAAAAGGAATGCCCCACAAGTGTTACCACGGCAAAACTGGAAGAGTTTTACCCAGCATGCTGTTGGCATTGTTGTAAACAAACAAGTTAAGGGCAAGATTCTTGCCAAGAGAATTAATGTGCGTATTGAGCACATTAAGCACTCTAAGAGCCGAGATAGCTTCCTGAAATGTGTGAAGGAAAATGATCAGAAAAAGAAAGAAGCCAAAGAGAAAGGTACCTGGGTTCAACTAAAGTGCCAGCCTGCTCCACCCAGAGAAGCACACTTTGTGAGAACCAATGGGAAGGAGCCTGAGCTGCTGGAACCTATTCCCTATGAATTCATGGCATAATAGGTGTTAAAAAAAAAATAAATAAAGGACCTCTGGGCTACAAAATAAATAAATAAATAAATAAATAAATAAATAAATAAACAAACAAACTAAGATACACTATCTATCTATTTATTTTTCATGTTTATTGTATTTTAATCAAGCAAAATCTATTACTGAACTTCTAATCTCTTAATTTTTTCTAATTAAGAAAAAAATTGAATTCTTTAAGTTTTTTTATGAGAGTCCTAGGCTTTTTATATTAAATCCATTATTTTAGAATAACCTCCCATCTCCCAAACCACCTACTTTACAATTCAAAATTCTCATAATATTCTATAGCAGGCAAGAAATATTATTTGGTCTAATGAAAATAACTTCTTTTTACTCAAATATTTGGTATTCAATAATAACCATACTGTTAAAAAGGGAATTGAGATAATCTATTTTAATTCACTTTAATACATATTTATCACACATCTACAATTTGTCACAGTGTTTGTGAGAATATGAAAACGAACAGGGCAAGGCCAGGTGCAGTGGCTCATGCTTGTAATCCCAGAACTTTGGGAGGTCAACGGGGGCAGATCACTTGAGCCCAGGAGTTCAAGACTAGCCTGGTCAACATGACGAAACCCTGTCTCTACTAAAAAAAGAAAATGAACAGGACTGATATTTACCCTGCTGGTATGAAGTTGCTAACAGAAAAGCTGGTAGTTTAATCATTTTATTGTAACATTTAATTATTTATTGTTTGAGTTTCCAGGCCTTT
Source organism: Homo sapiens (assembly GCF_000001405.40). NCBI lineage: Eukaryota > Metazoa > Chordata > Mammalia > Primates > Hominidae > Homo > Homo sapiens. The sequence goes on from NC_000008.11 coordinate 34,875,387, forward strand.
TGAAACACTTTACTGAATAACTGAATAATATTGACCAAGAGTGGTCCTTTAATAGGACAATCTACACTCACAATAATGATTTTAATAAATTAGGGAGCACTCTACCAAAGGAGACATATGGTAATATATGACCAGAGGAAGATAAACATGATTTTAATGAATATTTTTAATCATCATTCAATCTTCGTAATAATCTTTAGCTTAAAGACTGTATAAGAGTCACAAAATGAAATAAAATAATAGTTAATATCATAATGAACCCCAGGGGAAAAGACAGAAAATATAGATAATATCCATAATACCCTAGGCATGGGTATTGTTTAAAATTTAATATGTTTAAGCATATTAAATTCTGGCAAGAGTAATAAATTAAGAAATGAATGCTTTTAAAAATATCGATATCAGAAAATTCAAAATAAATACAATTCCTATTGAATGAGAGTCTCTCTCGTGACACCTGCTTCTTGAACACCACATTCCTTGAAGGAGTGATTACCCATCCCCCAGTTGGCTTCCATTATTACTTTAAATATTAATTGATAATTTGCTATGAGCTAGAAAGGCATTGGGCTAAGAACTTTCTACAGATAATTTCATGTAACCCTATAGGAAAATTATGAGCTAGGCACAGTTTCTATTCCATTTCACTGATGAAGGAAACTGTGGTGCAGATAAATTAAATAACTTTTTCAGGATGACACGGTTAGTAAGTGGTAGAGCAGGGATTTAAAACCGTATTGTGTGACCCCAGTGCTCTTACCTGACTATATATTGGTATACTGTTGTCCCTCAGTATTTGTAGAGGATTGGTTCTAGGACTCCCCTTGGATACCAAAATCCACGAATGCACAAGTCCCTGATATAAAATAGTGTAATATTTACATATAACTTATGCACATCCTTTCATATACTTTAAATCATCCCTAGATTACTTATAATACCTAATACAATGTAAATGCTAGCTAAATAGATGTTGCACTGTATTGTTTAGGGGTAATGATAAGAAACAATATCTGTACATATTAAGTCCAAATGCAACTATCTATTTTTTTTTCTTTTTCAATCCACTCTTGGTTGAATCCATGGATGCACACCCATGAATACGAAGGAATGACTGCGCTCTCCTCCAATAAAATCTCCTAATAAGTGAGTTTAAATTCACATAAGTGAAACAGGCACCAATTTTAGAAGAGCAGTGTGTAATTTAGAAATCAAACACTGATCAATATACAACTCCAAAATATTGGAGGAATCATCACTTTTCTGCCTTGCAGTGAAAAGAGAAAAGTCATTTAGATAAGGTCAAAATTGACCATCTGTGCTTTGTTTCGTTTATTTTATTTTACTTTATTTTATTTTGAGAAAAGGTGTCTCTCTGTCACCCAGGCCAGAGTGCAGTGGTGCAATCATGGTTCACTGCAGCCTCTAACTCCTAGGCTTAAGCAATCCTCCCACTTCACCTTCCTGAATAGCTGGGACCACAGGCACACACCATCATGCCCATCTAATTTTAAAACTTTTGTACAAATAGGGTCCCACTATGTTGTCCAGGCTGGTTTTGAACTCCTGGGCTCAAGTGATCCTCCCACCTTGGCTTCCCAAAGTGCTGGGATTGCAGGCATGAGATAGGGCCAGGAACAGTGTCTCCTGCCTATGATCTGTGGATCACATGCCTCTAATTGGGTTTTAGTAATTTTTTTTTTTGCTTTTTCCTTTCCAAAAGTTGTAACTGAATTTGTGGGGAGACTTGAAACTTTCTAGGCCTTCACTGTTTTGTTTTGTTTTGTTTTTTATAAAAAGTATTGTTGCCTTTTACCGTAAATCTGAAATTGATCTCTCAAGCTAGGGCAGGGAAAGAATGTTGAGTAGGGGGAGCCACACAGGACTGAGAACTATAAAACAGAGCAAATTACAGCCAAGAGAGCATGACCTGTAACTACTTGGTCATAGCTGCATTAAAGGGCAAATTCACATGTTCACAGAAAGTGCTTTCATCACTCAAAGGGGCACTTCTGAAAATGACAACTCGCTGGAAATGAGAATGAGGGAGGTGAGGCCGAGGTCATCTGCTACAGTTACCTGCTTACTCATTTTAGCTACAGTGGGAAATGCTGAGGTTTTCAAAACAAACAACCTTGTCTTTCCCTTTATATTTCTCTTTGGTCAACAACGAACTTTGCTTTGTATGTGTCAGGCATGAAGGAGAATGTTAACTCAAGATTAATCTACCTAAAATACTGAGACATCTGAGTGTGCTCTTGTTAACTACTTGCTCATTTTTGACAAAACAAAACACACAAACACATACACAGATACATACACATATACAAATACACAGAGTGTTCACAGCTGTGCTTTTTACTTCTGTCATCTGGGTGTGGTAGTTGGAAACTGCAGCATGAGGGAGAAGGGGAGAGGGGAACACGTATGGGGTTTACAATGCAGCATGTGTACAGCTTCATTGTAGACATTCAACCTCCTCCTTCTCAACATTTACTATCAAATGTCCTTCATTTACCTCCCTTCGGGGTACTTTGATAACACGCAAGTCCCAGACTGATCCCATCGCAACATTCTTCTCTTCCCATTATCTTCACTTCACTCTGTTCTTTTGGCTTTTCCTTCCCTTCGCAGGGGCAAAACACTAAAACAAACAAAAACAGGAAGGAAGGAAGAAAGGAAAGAAGGAAGGAAGGGAGGGAGGGAGAAAAGAAGGGAGGGAGGAAGGAAGAGAGAAAGGGAGAGTGGGAGCAAAGAAAGAGAGGATGGAGGGAAGAAAAGAAAAAAGTCTGAGAGAGAGAAAGAAAGAAAAGAAAAAGGAGGGAGGGAGGAAGGAAAGAAAGGGAGAGAGAAAGAAAGAAAGAGAGAAAGAAAAAAGGAAGGAATGAAAGAAGGAAAGAAAAAGCTAGTAAGCATGCAGGAGAAAGAAAGGAAGTGAGAGGCCAAATAGATAGACAATGGCCAGATCATACATGAAAATAGAATTTTCACCCACAACCTACAGAAGTCAGAAATCTGCTAAGAAAACTCACCCCCATACCTACAACAACCAGCCCAAGAAGCCAGCCTGCTACAGGTCAGACTTGTAGGAATCCAAAGTGCTATCTCTAATAACGATCCAGGAAGCTAAACAATAACTTCCAGAACAACAGACCCAAAATGGCCTGGGCTTGATTAATAGCTGACCCCTCCCTCAATTTTTATCCCTACTTCAAATTTAGGATCAACCAGGAAAAGCCAAATATTCCCCCCTAACTAATCCCATAGGATGCCTTTTATCTAGTCAGCCCACCCACAGGCTTCCCATGCCAACAGCCTCCAATATGGGCACACCTGAAGCCTTCCCTCCTTTCCACTATGAAGCTTCCCCATTCCTCTGCCTGCCTTTGAGTATCTGCCAAAATGCAAGTGATAGTGACTGACTTCCTTAGCTACAGCAAGCTCAGAATACATAGCCTTTGTTTGTTCTCATTTGGTTGATCTTCATTTATTTCCACAGAAGAAAGGAAGAAAGAAAACAAGAAAGAGAAAGAAAAGAAAAAAAAATCTTATGGCTAATTGGTATCTTTGTACTCTGTTTCATTTTCTACATATCCAATAAATAGTATTAATAATTTCTTGAGGGCATGGATTCTTATGTATGTACATACATATATTTGCATTCCCAGATATTCCTAGCTAAAGGTCATTAATATAGTAGATAATGAATAATACTTTATTAATTATTAATTACACTATGGTGTTTTGTTTCATTTAATAATTCTTTTGACTTACATATCAAAAGAACCTTATATGAATTTAATGCAACATCCATCTCAAATTGGGGAGCTAAATTGCACGAATATAAAATTGCATCTTATAAATGCATAACTATGGGAGACCATAATATGCCACCGCAAAATGTTCTTGAGCTGAAAACAATTAAGAAGATGCAGATGCTGGAAGCTCTCTGCCTTCCCTCTAACTACTTAAAATCAGAATATAAATTTATTTTCAAAAAAAAAAATTCCTGCCTCCCCTCTACCAGGGAGAATAAATGTTAACAACTTTAGACCCCTATCATGTGGAGATTATACCAGAGGAAGCTACATTAACCAGATTTACTAACCAGCTTTTATCTGCCAGTTATTTGCCTTCCCCCAAGTTCCACCCTCAGAGACTCGAAGTCCTTTTTCTTTTTTCTTGTCATTTCTCTAACCATTTACTGCTCTTTGTTGAAGATGCTGTATAAATAAGCTGAAATTCAAAGTCACCTCTTTGAGAACTTCTCGTTCCCTAGGTCTCTCCCATGTATATATGAAATATATGTGTTAATTGACTTCTTTTGGGTTTTTTTTCTTGTTAATCTGTCTTTTGTAACAGGAGTCCATTCCAACCAAGAATCTATGGGATTATTCTTTCTTTAGCTAATCAGCAACCTTACAAGACTTCTGACTGCTGCTTGTTTCCCTACCACATTATGCTGTTTTTCATACTTAAAACAAGTTCTGAATGTACATATAAATTATATTAATGCATGTATCTATCTCTCATATATATGTATCAATAAATTATTTTATAAATTTGGAAAAATTATACTCTTGTGTATACATTTGATATGGAAAGTAATATAGTGGATAGTATTGTTATGAGGTCTTTGGGGTGTTGCTTTTCTGGCCAGAAACCTCTGTGGCCAATGGTGCCTTTGTCTGAGTTCTTATCCTTCGTTCAGGAAGAATGAGGTATGCAGACAAGTGGAGAGTGAGCAAGACAAAAAGGAGCTTTATTGAGAGTTACAACAGCTCAGAGGAGGCCCGCAGTGGGTAGTGGGTAGCTCCTCTCCATAGGCAGGTTGTCCGTTTGAGTGTTCAGCTCTCAGCAGAGAGGAGACCCTGGAGTGGGGGCCTCCCCTCCAGGCAGGTCATCCTGCAGAGTGTTTAGCTTTCAGAAGAGAGGGTAGCTCCTCTCTGCAGCTGGTCAACCCAACCGTCTGCAGCTTTCAGCAGAAAGGAAGCCCTGGAGAAGTCTGCTTTTCCCTGGCTGAGTCCTGGGATTTTCTTCCTTCAGAGGGAAGTACATGCTGATTAGTCCATGAGCAAACATGAGTGGGCCAAGGATAAAGCACCATGAGTTCCTCCTCTGGTAGGCAGGACTGGAAGCCCAGCCCCCAGGCTTCAGGCCCTCCCTGGCCTGAAGGTGGGGCTTCACCACGGCAGCCCCCTTCCACCTAGGAGCCAGTCTTCTTCCCACAGCTTCATGGCACCCAGGCTGTTTGTGACAAGGGGAGCCTACAGGCTGCACCCCCTCGGCTTCTCTCCCATGCTCCCAGGGGTCAAAGTCCGGAGGTGGCAGGAAGCTGGTGTGTCACCACTGCCCTGAGCATGCCCACTACGACAGTACCCAGGCACAGCCCCAAACTTGCTCCACAATCAGAGCAGGTCCTGGGGACAGGGAAAGGCCCGGCAGTGGGAGCAGGCACTTCTGAGCCTGTGGAGAGCAAGGGAAACTTCCTGGGCCCCGAGAGCACAGAGATGTCTGGGTCCCCACCTAGGATGGGTGCCTGCAGTTGCAACCAGGGAGCTCCTGCCCAACCAATTCAGAAGGGGCGGGGCTCCCCCTTGCCTACTCTTGCCAGTTCCTGGAGCATGCAGCCCTGATCATGCCTCTGAGATTGGAGAGGGCACCAACAGCAAGTAGAAACCAGACACTGGGAGCAAGAAAAAGTCTGCAAAATATCCAAATCTATTTAATCTTCTTGAGTCTGTTGCTATTGCAGAAAAGTGACAAGAGGTAAAGGGTGGTTTTAAGACCACTGTCTTTCTCCTATGATACTGAGATGCTAAGAAGCACTTCCTAAAGTTGGTAGAACAAGAAACAGGAGTTCAGGAATATCATTTATATTTGTACACATAACTATAAGTAAAATTAAACACTAAAACTAAACCTGGTTTTTTTTGGGGTTTTTTTTTTGTGAGACAGGGTCTTGGTCTCACCATTGCCTAAGCTAGTCTTGGACTCCTGGGCTTAAGGAATCCTCCTGCCTCAGCATCCTGAGAAGCTGAGACTACAGGCATGTACCACCTTACCTAGCTATTGGACATATTTTTTAAAATCGGGCAGAGCAAAGAGAAAAAATAGGTAAGAATTCCTATCTGTTACAATAGAGCTGTGTGGTCTAAATTTGGTGCATCCAGAAATGAAGTTATTATTGTTATTTAAGTTATTTTGATTTAAGGTGACCATCAACTATAGAAGTGAAAACAGAAACAGCCAAAATCAGTAAGGCTAGTAATGGGGGCAGGAGCAAGAAACTTTAGTTATTAATGTAATTCTATTATATACTGCTTGCTTTAAAATAAAAAGTTCAAGCTTTTCCAATATGATGTATGGTGTAATAGTTTGGTTTTATGAAATGGTGTGTGGTCTAATTTGAAACTGTATATTATTATAAAAATATTGAATTATAATATTTAATGTTATAAAATTAAGTGATTGTAATATTTAAATATTTAATTCATATGAATAACACTTTATATAAATTATAATATTAAATATAATGGAGGTAATAAATGGGTAATTATAAAAGTCTGAAATTGAGACACCTTTTGTGGATCTTACATGCTGGATTCTTTATAAAGCTTTCTTGCAAACAGAATTGTAAGTTAACAAAACAAGCAAACTGATAACGTGTGCTGAAGTGGTTTGTGGTAAAAAGTAGTTGATTCTGAGAGGTGAAGCCAGCTGGACTTCCTGCGTGGAGTGGGGATTTGGAGAACTCTTCTGTTTTAGAAGAAGATTGTAAAATGCACCAATCAGTGCTCTGTAGCTAGCTAGAGGTTTGTAAAATGGACCAACCAGCACTCTGTAAAATGGACCAATCAGCAGGACATAGGTGGGGACAAGTAAGGGAATAAAAGCTGGCCACCCCAGCCAGCAGGGGCAACCCACTTGGGTCACCTTCCACCCTGTGGAAGCTTTGTGCTTTCACTCTTCACAATAAATCTTGCTGCTGCTCACTCTTTGGGTCCATGCCATCTTTGAGAGCTGTAACACTCACCGCAAAGTTCTGTGGCTTCATTCTTTTTTTTCTTTCTTTTTTTTTTTTTTTTTTTTGAGACGGAGTCTCGCTCTGTCACCTAAGCTGGAGTGCGTGCAGTGGCGTGATCTCAGCTCACTGCAAGCTCTGCCTCCCGGGTTCACGCCATTCTCCTGCCTCAGCTTCCCTCGTAGCTGGGACTACAGGCTCCTGCCACCATGCCTGGCTAATTTTTTGTATTTTTTAGTAGAGACGGGGTTTCACCGTGTTAGCCAGGATGGTCTGGATCTCCTGACCTCGTGATCCACCCGCCTCAGCCTCCCAAAGTGCTGGGATTACAGGCATGAGCCACCGTGCCTGGCTGGCGGCTTCATTCGAGAACTCAGCAAGACCACAAACCAACCAGAAGAAAGAAACTCTGGACACATCTGAAGGAACAAACTCCGGACAAACCACCTTTAAGAGCTGTAACACTCGCCACGAAGTTCCGCAGCTTCATTCTTGAAGTCAGCGAGACCACGAACCCACTGGAAGGAACAAACTCTGGACACAATTCTATACTTTGATTCTATAGTATGAAATGCATCAAAGAAATGAGATGGATTGATGGATAATTAGAAGAAGGACTGGTGGGTAGTATTAAATAAAACAATTAGAATAAAAGATTAATTTTAAAACCTAAGTAGAAAGTATGTGTATATTTGCCCTACTGTCTTTTTAATTTCTCTTCTACTTAAAAATTTTCATAAAATGGGATTTTTTTTGAAAAATTGCAAACAAAACAAAGTCAAGTAAAAAACACATAAAAAACCTCTATGCTTTCCTGTCCTTGCTTTTGATAGATCCTGAGTTTATGTCAGCCATGAGGTCTCTTTTCAACAGAAGGTTCAAAATCTGTCCTTGTTAGTATGACAAAGAAGAAATTCTAATTCTGAGCAGAGATGTGAGAGGAAGGAAAATTGTGCTTGCAGACTTGCCTTTCCTGTGGCCAGTTCGATACAGACACTTATGGAAGTGTTCCATTTTAGCAATTTGCCTTAGCAGTTCTTACAATTTGTCTCCAAAATTGATTTTAGGACTAAATACTATAAAATTATTGGCCTCGAGAATAAATACTTAATTTTTCTATAAAATGCGAACATACCTATTTGATCTTTATTGTTATTATTGTTGTTTTTGTGAGAAACTTTAAAATTTAAGACTTGCCTATGAGAGGATTACCAAGAGACATCTCAGGGTCTCAGGATTGGAGGTGGGAGTGGGGATTAACATAAATGAAAAAGTTGGTTTCATCAACAAAAAATAGATTATTCAGAAATGCTGAAGAGCATCACACAGATTCACCTTGTGAATCCCCTCTGGTTTCAATTCCTGTTCTTCACCATCAATGCTGAGACCTTGCAAAGACCATTTCATCAAGAATAAGTACAACTCCCCCATCTGCTGTCTCTAATATTTCTGAAACACTAAATGAGAAGAAAGGAATGAAGGTATTATAATAATTTCCAAGTACTATCTTCCATATTTTAGGTTCTAATATTCAGCGGTTCTTGCTTAGAAGCATACTATACCTGCCTAAGAACTTTCTATATCTTTTCTTTTATCCTACTTAATCTGACCATCTATTATTACAAAACAAGAAGAGAAATGCAGGTTCCATGTGTACCACAGTTTTATTAAGTTCAGCATTCTTTTCAACCACTGAGCAAGACCACAGTAGAAACTCTAGCAAAACATCTGCATTTTTTCAGGCAATTGGGTTCAGAGATATTTGGTGTTGCTTTTTTTTTCTCTTTTTTTTTTTAAATAAAAAGTTTCTTACTCATTATGAACTATGTTGTTACTTTTGTTTTGTAACAGATATAACGTTAGAAAACATCTTAGAAGCTCTTCACCTTTGCCCTTAGTATTCTCTATTTAGAAATGGAGACATAGAAGTTTTATCTCCTAAGTTAAAAATAACAACTTAGGAAATGCAAGGGTGAATTCAGCAGCAAGAACCTGCTAATTGGCAAGTTTGAGTTTGCTTAGGCAGTGTTAAGGGAGAAGATACATATTTTGAGTAACATAAGAGAGACTCTTTGCAAACACTTCACTTCACTTCAGATTTTGTGTTGTTAAAGCAGAGTGACTCAGTGTCAGGACTAAAGGATCTTAGAAGCTAATAGCTTGCCAGTACCCAAAGCACCCTACAAGCCTGTGTAAATCTCCTCAATTAACCTCCATTTAAAAAAAAATAGATAAGTAAACAAAAGTAATCCACTGAGCAGAATCTCCAGAGCATTAAGGAAACAAATGCAATACGTCATTTTTCTTTCATAAGAGCAGAGGAGGGAGAGCAAGGGGGAGATGGAGAGGGTTTACACATGAGTGTGGACAGGGGGGTGTCTGAGGGTGTTGAGTCAATAAGTCACATTAACCCACATTGATGACCTTATTTATGATTCAATCATAGACCTAACCAATCACACAACTTCATAATCTAAGTCCATCACATCCCTGTTGAAGGTATAATGCCTGGTGTTTACTTTTAATCCTGTTATGGGATAGGTTGGATTGAATATCCAGGGAGCAAAATTTTCTTGTAGATTTTGTCTTACATTCTAACTAATGAAGCCACCCTCACAAGGTTAATAAGAATTCTGGACAGGAATATAATTATAATTAAGCAGTCCTTCGACCCACTTCCTTGTAACCAAAAGTCACCTAACACTATTTACTGATCATTTGCATCTCCATTGCTTCTACAGATAGGATTTCTCATGTTAGGATCATAAGGCTTTGGTTTAAGAGTTGCTTAAGCAGATCCTGACTTCCAGTAGAATAGCTGACACCAACCAATTTGAAGACCCCTTTAGAGAAACCAAATCAGCATGAGAATTGTGTTTCTTTGTCTCCCTGTCTCACGACTTCAGTATAGCCTCTTGACAAATCAACAATCTCCACACTTTAGTCCATTCCAAAACCCTTAAGAACCCTAACTCCAAGCTCCCCCAAGGAGACTGATGTGAGGTTTCCTCCTGTCTCCTCATTCAACAGCCCTATTATTAAATTTCTTTCTCTTCTGCAACTTGTTACCATGTATTGACTTGCCATGAGCACAAATCTATTACATTTACACTAAAATCATTTTATTTCACATAGTTTCTCAGATTTTGGTAGCTAGCAGATGGAAGAAACCAGATTCTCTGAGATTTAATGCATAACTCCAGCACATTTTGAAAGTCCTAACTTTCTGAACAGGAACTCAGGAGACCAGGGTTGTACTCTTACCTGTGACTCTTACTATCCCATTTGTCTTGAGTAGGGTTTTTAACCTTCCTAGAGTCTTAGTTCCAACATTGGTAAGATATGAAACTCACTAGTGGACTACAAAGTTCTATCTTGTACCTTCAGGAAGGGTGTTATAAGGAGCTGGAGGGAAGATGATGGTGATGATGGTGATTGCTAACATTGATCAGTCATTTGCTACATTTGAGGAACATGTTAAATACTTTCAAATAACATTTTACTTTATTCTCACAAATCCCCTATAATGAGTGATCTAAGATTTATCTTACATTGTGGGGGGAGAGAGTATATTTCAGCATGTTTACTAATTCTTACAAAGCAAATATTTTTTACCTACCTTCCTCCCCCAAGATCTGTTGAGATGTCAAAAGAGGTTGGTGTATGTAAAAATTCTTTAGAAATTGTAAAGCAAATGCAAATGTGAATTACTATTTGGATCACCGGTCAGCACTGTCGGCAAAATTTCAGGCAAGTTACCTTCCTTTTTCCCTGGTACATTTTAATCTCAATTTCAATCACTCTATAGTCATTTCTATTGTTTAACTATCTTTTTAAGTTTCATTTTTACTTTCATTTTATTGTAATAGAAATTTAGCCATTGTTTAGCCTACTATTCAAACTTTAGTGTCTTTATTTTCAAAGTATAACTAAATGTCACAGATTATTTTTCATTATAATAGTGTTGGTTTTTTAACAATAAAAATAATTATCCTTTCAAGTGGTCATGTTGTGTTCCCATGCATGAGGTGCCCTTAGGGTTAATAGCCATGGAAGGAATGAATGGGGAATAGAATTGTTTGGGGAAGTTGAACTGCCATGTAGTTTTTGTGGGAGTGCTAGTCAATACTACAGATAATCTGAAGCTGGAATGAAAATTCAGAGATATTCCAAGTCACTGTAAGACAGCCAGGTCTTTCTATTCCCACACAGTTCAGTCATTAATGTGGGCAATTCCCCTGGAAGGGATATGACCTCAGCTCTCTTCAGCAGATGTAAGCCCAAAGGGAGATAACTCCTGATAGCTGGTCTCCTGCAACTTCCCAGCAACTGCCGTCTAGTTTTTCATTCCTGAAGAGGAATCTTGATGTGTCACATATCACAAGGTATACCACCTAGGCTTAGAGAAATACAAAAATTTACTTTGAACAAATCTTTGTTTAAAGAGCAGCCTTTGAGTAACCCCCTTTGGTTATGTAAATATTAGTTTAGTAGTCACCCAAGCTTAACCTTGGAGGATAAGCAGGAAGACCTTTTGTGACCTAAAGACATCTTTTCCAAATATATCCTGGTATGCAAAACTGGTCACTGGATAAATTTGCCAAAAGACCATCCTGGAAGAAAAAGATGGAGAATCTGACCTCTTCCCTTTTGAGATTTAATTCTGCACCAAATCTCATCTATCTGCAGAAAGCCTCCTAATTGAGATCTGCTGGTAGGAAAGGACCAAGACTGTCCAAGGGGAACTGTAAAGAACAGAAATGGAAAAGCATCCTGATAACACAGGCTTTTCATGAGAACTGAAAGGTTTTACTGAAGATACTTGGTGCTGATTCCTGTATCTGCTTGAGGTTGGAAAGTCTCCTGGATCCAGCAACCCTGACATGATAACCTTGCTTTAAGAGCAAAAGCTGAGAATGTGATTAGGAAATACAAATGGTTGCTGCTTAGCAAACTTCAGTGTGAGGTACCATTGCAGATGGTATCAAGAACTAGAGTAATAAAGGTAACACAGCAGTGAGCAAGAATGCTTAGAACTGGATAAGACTTATTTTCATTAGTGACATCTTACAGCCCTGTTCAAAGCAATTCAAACATTCATTCACTAAATATTTGAGTGACTACAATGTAATGAGATTTCATCTAGGGATCTGGGAAGACAGCAGCAAACAAAAGCAACACAATCTTTCCTCTTAAAGAGTGTAGGACAGGGGCAGTGGCTCAAGCCTATGATCTCAGCACTTTGGGAGGCTGAGTCAGGAGGATCATTTGAGCCTGGGAATTTGAGACCAGCCTGGGCAATATGATGAAACCCCATATTTGCAAAAATCAGCCAGGGGTGGTGGTGTGCACCTGCAGTTCCTGGTACTCAGAAGGCTGAGATGGGAGAATCACTTGAACCCTGGGAGGTTGAGGCTGCAGTGAGCTGTGATGGCACCACTGTACTCCAGCCTAGATTAGAGTGAGACCCCATCTTTAACAAATACAAAATAAAGAGATTAAATTCTGGCAGCAGAGACACAAAATTTAAAAGTAACTTAGTAACTAAAGATAATAAGATAATTTAAGATAGGTTATCCACAGTAAAGGAAAGTATCAGGGGAACCCACCCCCAATATTTCAACGTAGGTTCTTTCTATTTTCCGTAAGTGTTGGCCGGCTGAGAAATAAAAAGAAAGAGTACAAAGAGAGGAATTTTACAGCTGGGCAGCCAGGGGTGACATCACATATCAGTAGGACCATGAGGCCCACCTGAGCCTTAAAGCCAGCAAGTTTTATTAAGGATTTCAAAAGGGCAAGGGGTGCAAGAACAGGGAGTAGGTCACAAAGATCAATGCTTCACAGGGCAAAAAGGAGAACAAAGATCACATGCTTCAAAGGGCAAAAAGGAGAACAAAGAACACATGCTTCTGAGGAAACAGGACAAGGGCAAAATCAAAAACTCCTGAGAAGGGTCCAACAAGGTCACAAGGCAAAGGGCAAAGATCACAAGGCAAAGAGCAAAAGCAAAATTACTGATAAGGGTCTATGTTCAGCAGTGCATGTATTTTCTTGATAAACATCTTAAACAACAGAAAACAGGGTATGAGAGCAGAGAAACAATCTGACCTCAAATTTACCAAGGAGGGGTTTTTCCCTACCCTAGTTAGCCTGAGAGTACTGCAGGAGACCAGGGCATATTTCAGTCCTTATCTCAACAGCATAAGACAAACACTCCCAGAGTGGCCATTTATAGACCTCCCCCCAGGAATGCATTCATTCTCCAGGGTATTAATTATTAATATTCCTTGCTTGGAAAAGAATTTAGCGATATCTTCCCTATTTGCACGTCCTTTTATAGGCTCTCTGCAAGAAGAAAAATATGGCTCTATTTTGCCCAACTCCACAGGCATTCAGACCTTATGGTTGTCTTCCCTTGTTCCCTGAAAATCGCTGTTATTCTGTTCTTTTTCAAGGTGCACTGATTTCATATTGTTCAAACACACATGTTTTACAATCAATTTGTACAGTTAACACAATTATCACAGTAGTCCTGAGGTGACATACATCCTAGCTTATGAAGATAACAGGATTAAGAGATTAAAGTAAGGCAGGCATAAGAAATTATGAAAGTATTACTTGGGAACTGGTAAATGTCCATGAAATCTTCACAATTTATGTTCCTCTGCTGCGGCTCCAGTTGGTCCCTCCATTCAAGGTCCCTGACTTTCCACAACATGAAATAAAGCAGAATAGTTTTGTAGAGAGTAGCTAGAGAATGCTACCTCATGACAAAGACAGTTTCCATGACCAAACTTCAGTTAGGTTCCTCTGAGCCCTCTTCCCAACAAGGCCTTCATGTTGATCCCCATCCTGACAGGGTCTGCATTGTTCAGTCTTAGCAAGAATCCTGTTAAGTCAGTCTAGTAAGAATCCCCCACCCTTGATATCTGATCACTCTTGATGATGTCTGATGGGATTCTTCATCGTCTACCCTTGTACTTGGTGACCCTGGCCTGCCTTTATCAAGAATCTCATTGAGTAGGTTTAGCAAGAATCTCCTCTACACTTGATGTCTCCTCTTAGTAATTTTACACCCCTGATCCTTTCACTGTTCTCATTGGCTGCAAGTCCCCAGCTGTTTTTGCTGTATTTGAAGTTGATTCTGATCTCTCCTCACTATTCTAATGGCTTTGACACCTATTACAATGGTCTCGAATAGTCTTCCTCACTCTTTTAACAAGTGTCGGAGTTATCTTTTCTTTAAAACTTTCCCAAATGTCATCTGAAAAGCATGTTGCTAAGACAAAGGAAAGTTTATTGTTTATTGCATTAAGAGAGACTACTGCTTCAATGGAATCTGATAGTCTTCCTATCAGAGGAGGAAGAATAAAGTCTATCTATTGAGATACTAAAGTTTGAGTTAGGGCAGTGGGAATTGGGGAAAAGATTAGTATTGGGCAGGAATCATGATAAAATAGTTTAGGATTTGAAGACAGAGCCAAAGGAAGATTTTGAAGCGAGAAGTTCAAGAGTATTAAGATGCAAACTGCCTGTGTTCATTCTTTATTAAAGGGCTGATTAGTCATTCTGGAAGTTGGAAGTTGTTATAATGAATAATAAAGTTATCTACAATTTATTTTCCAAGAGTCTCCTGGAATTGTGAAGTTATACTAGTAATGACAACGAAATGATAAAATCATGTTAATGGATATTAGTGGTTGTGATACAGGAGTTAAGAAGAAATTACTTAGGCAGATAATAAGGGTATAGGAGTCATTGGTAAGGCTCCTCTTTTTAATGAAAAGCAACCTCAAATCATTTTCTGACAAAGAGCAACCTGTAAAGTCAAGCTACAGACATATATAAGCAAGCTGGGAGCTTGCATGGGTGAATGCAGGCAGGAACTAGGGACTAGACATATTCAAGATGGCAGCTCCATCTTCCCTTCTCTGCCAGCCAAAATGTCCAGTAAGATGCAGACAAGATGGCACAGATCAACTTGAAAGCCCATTTGCATAAAATTAGGGTGGGGCTACCAGCCTTCCCCATGCACTATATAAACGTCATACCTGTTTGAACCAATCTGTAAGCCTCAGACACTAAATCAGACACTGCCTTCTCAAACTTGACTATAAAATCTGGCACATTCGCCACCAACCAGTCCTTTCCTCTCAGAGACCCCTGTCTCTATAGAGAGAGCTGTTTGTCTTTCTCTTCTATTCTGTCTATGAAACCTCTGCTCCTAAACTCCCATGTGTGTCCATGTCCTAAATTTTCCTCTTGCATGACAACAAATCCCAGACAATGTAGCTGCTTCATAATGGGGCTCGTCCGAGATAACAAGGTATAATACATATCAAAATAGTGAATAGAGGAGCAGACTCCAACTAGATCCTTTCATTTTAAGGATCTCAGTCTCCATTTTAGTACCAAATCAAACCAAATACTGTGCCCCCTTCAGCCATTTATTAGAGTGGCTGTCAGCCTTACAAGACTTGGGGGACAGGCTTACTGGAGAGAACATGGAGAGTCCCCCAGCACCCACTGGTTGCTGGGCATGTTGGCCGTGTTTGAACCAGCTTCCTTTCACAGAGGACTTAACCATCATGTGGGGATGAAAGAAGTCCTGGGGCAACAGGATTTCTGGCTGGGGCTACCCCCTGGTGTTATCCAAAGTCTTCTGGATTTTCTATTGCAATTTCCTCCTTTTCTGTCCGTGAGAGTCATACCTCTTATCCTCTCTGTGTGTGCAATGTTTGGGAAGTTTTACAGTTCAGGGAAGTAATCTTGTTTGGGAAAATCAGGGAATTTTGTAGTAACCAGGGATATAGCTCAAGGGAAGATGTCTTTTTTATTTTCTAGGAACAGAGGGTCCCCCACACAGTGAGCATCACTCTCTGCCCTTGGTCTGGAGAGCACATGGCACTTTCAGGTCACTCTCTGACCTTGGTCTGGAGAGCACATGGCATATCAAGGTCAACAGCGACACCTAGTGGAATAGGGATCCTTTCCATGAGACACATTGTTGGTCTTTTAGTGAAACACCCTAACTTCCCAGTTCTCCCTTTTTGGGCCCCTCTACTAGAGATAAGGCTTTATGCTGCTTCTGTAAATGGGAAAATTCTGCCTTCAACAATTAGGAGTAAAATATCCTCCAAAGCCAAAATTTAGTCTCAGTATGGTCCCATCAGTAGGAAAATGGCCATTCAGTCCCTACATTCTTTTAAGGCACCTATTCTGCTTCCAATTAGAATGGTACTTAATTAATAAGGGGATTTTAATTTAGGAAGTTAACTGAAACCATTCTCTAAGGGTAAACACTTTTGCACAGGCCGTAATAGAAGGATATAGAGCTCAGATCAGCACACTTTCTCCATTAAGGAGGGAAGTACAACAGTTGCCCAAATGCAACAGGCACATAGTCTCCCCTGAGATCCACTTTTCGGGGAGACAGGCAGGTCACACAAGTCTAGGAAGTCAAAGGGAAGTCACAGGCAGAGGACTAGAGCCACATGGGTGAACATGACTAACCCCAATCTCTTAATTCCTCTGGTTCCATTGCTGGGGATCATGCCTTCAACCATGGGCAGCACATTCAACAAGGTGCTGGGACCCAGGAACCATGGAGGGAAAAACAGCAGAGGGGACACCTCCACTGTCTTCCTCTCCACCCTGGGTCACACCAAAAGGAAGGAGACTAAAGGGATGACTTTTTCTCACTTTTGTTTATCATATTTCACCTGTACTCCTCTGGAGTGCATTCTGAAGCACAGAGACTCCACTGACCCTGAGACTTTGAAGAAAAAGTTGCTCATTTTCTTTTGCACAGGGCCATGGCCTTCTTACTAGACCTTTGCAGGTGTTACAAAATCAACCCTCATAGCAATCATATAAGGCAGGCCCAAACAGAATGATTCTCCAAGACTAGAAAAGCAACTTCTGGGGGAACCATCTGAGGCAGCTATTGGATGTCATAGCCCTTCTAGTCCCCCTTATCTGGGGCCATCTCCAACCACACCACAAGTTCTTCCACCTCCACCATATCCAAAATTTCCTACTCCTCACCTTCACTTTTACTCCTACAAGAAATGCCCAGTGGAGGTAATGCCACTAGGATTCATGTTCCCTTACATTGCAGGACCTTAGGCAAGTAGAGGGAGACTTGGCTGATTTTCTGAGACCCTGATAGGTATATAGAAGCCTTCCAAAATTTAACTCAGGTATTTAACCTCTCATGGAGGAATGTTATGCTGCTCCTAAGCCAAATCCTAACTACAGCTGAGAAGCAGTCAGCTCTGAAAACATCAGAGAATTTCAGAGATGAGAAATAGGTCTCCTATACTAGGCCACAATGGAAAAGGGAAAATAGGGAAGGTGAAGAAATAGGGGAAACACTAATTCCAATAAGAAGAGGAGCAGTACCTCTTGATGATCCTAATTGGAACCTCCAGACTTTTCTGTGGTGTTTTTTCTTCTTTTACAGTTTAAAATTGCTCCTATCTCTTTTTTTGTAATATTCCTCAAAACTCTGAAAAGTTAATTTTCCCAAACCTTAAAATGCTTGGCTTAGAGTTGAGCTGGGGGAAGGGAACCCAGATGCCTGACATGCCGGCAAAAGGGTAAAAGTTTACCAGTTGAGTTTTGGCTTCTCTTTCCCTGTTCAAACTGGTAAAATGGATAATAAGCATCATTGTTTATATTCTCTGTAAAGTTTTAATTTGTGAGGTTGGATTTGTGAGGTTGGTCTTAAGCTGTAGCCAATCTGGTGTGCTTCTTGTGTCTTTCTGTATTTTTCTGTCAAAAGAAAGGATACGTTATGTTAGAATGGAGGCCCAAGACCCCATAAGCCTGTCATTCAAGCCAGCCAAAAAAATGATCAGTAATAAACTTTGCTGCAGTTCTCCATTTTGTTTTATGTCCTTGGGAACATGACCTGTAACCACATAGCAATACTTTGTTATAGTCTCCACCATTTTGCAATGGTGGCTGTCTTCTTGTATTTAGTCAGTTCCTGGGTGGGGGAAAAAAAATCAGATAAGCTAGTTTATTGATCTGGATGGGGCCAGCAGATCCATCAAGGGCAGGGCTTACAAAATATCTGAAGCACTG
Organism: Homo sapiens; assembly: GCF_000001405.40. NCBI lineage: Eukaryota > Metazoa > Chordata > Mammalia > Primates > Hominidae > Homo > Homo sapiens. The sequence goes on from NC_000008.11 coordinate 34,893,502, forward strand.
ATCTTGAGGGCAGTTTAGGGAGGGTCAAATTCTGTCCCCTCCAGCTGCATGATTTTTGGGCCATAGTTTCTAATCCTGTGGCTAATTTTTTAGTCTGGTCCCCAGGCAGAAGGGAAGTATATCTTAAGAAGGGGCTGTTGTCATCTTTGTTTTAGACTATAAACTGTAAAACAGGCTCCTCCCAAAGTTGGTTTGCCCTACACCCAAAGATGGGCAAGGACAGCTTGGGGGCTAGAAACAAAATGGGGTTGTTTGGGTCAGATGTCTTTCACTGTCTCAGTCACAGTTTTGCAATGATGGTTTTAAAAGCTATTTATCTTTCTTTAAAAATATCTTTTACACTCATGGTTAAGTCATAACCTAATTAGGGATTGTGGGTTTCACCTGTGAAATTACTTTTTGTAAAGTTCAAAAGCCAAAAATTTTAACGGCTTGGTGTGGCTAATGTAGGGTAACAAGAGATTTAAATGAATTTTCTTAAAGAGTGCTCAGCTTAATTAAAAGTGGATATTGAAGTTATAGGTATACTTAATACCTTTATGCTTTTCTGTTCTTGGATTTTGTTTTTCTTGAAAAAGGTTTTTTTCTTCTCAGCCGATAGAATTATTTTTCTCCATTTTTTGTCTTGCCACTCTTAATGCAAGCATGAGAGGCCCTAAGATAACTTCTGGTACCCTGGGACTCCTTGGAAAAAACAGGAGACACAGACCCCATTTTGAGGAAAAAACAAACAAACAAAGAAACAAAACCTATGTTTTCCTCATGAAACCCCAGGAATTAAAATTGGATAGATTTCTCTCAAAATCAAAGGCTCTGTTCTGTTTTGCCTCATGTTATCTGACAGTTTTATGTTTTGCAGGTATCAGAAATTACCTTGCATTATGAGAGAGCTTTGGTGTGTAATAACTAGGTAGGAAATATACTTTAAAGGATAGCTAATAGTAGTTATGGAGGGATACTTAACTCTGCACATTTGAATCAGAGAAGCATGCTCATGGCCACCTGAAAGCTATGGAAACATCCCCAATCCCCACTGAGAGATGAGACTCCCATGGGGGATGGGTTGATTACAAAATAAGGTGATTGGTTTTGGGTTGCCTTGCAATGAAATGCATGGTAGAAACTGCACTGTCTTCTTCCACAGTATCTCCCTTTTTTTTGGAGATCCAAGATCCAGTACAAAGTAGCACCCTTAATTTTGGGGATCTGTCTTTGCCGTTAGTTGTGTCTGCTTATTAGGCCCTAAAAATGCACGCTATCCTGGCCCTTTTCCTCCAAGGACCCCACGCTGAAGCCAGTAAGCCAATTAAGAAACTGGCAAATGAAACATCTTGCAAGTGCTGAATCTTCTGTCGGTTTTGTGTTGATATATATGTGTTGTGTGTAATGTCTATAAAAAGAGCTCTAACTGATTGGCTTAAAGAAAAGTAAGCACTGAAATCAAATATTTTTTAGTTCATGTGCCTTAAATAGTTATGAAATAAAAATAGTCTTAAGGATTATTCGTAAAATGCAAGTGTTGTCAAAATGCAAATGTCTAAATTATACAACTTAGATACTAGGTTTGCTAAATGTTCCAAGGTTGTATACTGTCTGCTTTAAGGCTAGGTAAGGCCTGGGACACGTGGAGTTAGATACTATAAAGAATCAGACCTTATCTGCACTTCTGTCTGGGTCCTTAGCTCCATACCTTGTACATAATTAAAATCGCTTACTAACTAGGTTTTTCGCCAAAAGTAAAATTTGCTAAGAGTTAACCATGCACCCAGCAGCCACCCCGTCTGGGAGGTGGGAGGCACCTCTGCCCGGCCGCTGCCTCTGGGGGGTGAGGGGCCCCTCTGCCAGGCCGCCACGTCTGGGAAGTGAGGAGCCCCTCTGTCCGGCCGCCACCCCATCTGGGAGGTGTACCCAACAGCTCATTGAGAACGGGCCATGATGACGATGGCGGTTTTGTCGAATAGAAAAGGGGGAAATGTGGGGAAAAGAAAGAGAGATCAGATTGTTATTGTGTCTGTGTAGAAAGAAGTAGACATAGGAGACTCCATTTTGTTCTGTACTAAGAAAAATTCTTCTGCCTTGGGATGCTGTTAATCTATAACCTCACCCCCAACCCCGTGCTCTCTGAAACATGTGCTGTGTCAACTCAGGGTTAAATTGATTAAGGGCGGTGCAAGATGTGCTTTGTTAAACAGATGCTTGAAGGCAGCATGCTGGTTAAGAGTCATCACCACTCCCTAATCTCAAGTACCCAGGGACACAAACACTGCAGAAGGCCGCAGGGTCCTCTACCTAGGAAAACCAGAGACCTTTGTTCACATGTTTATCTGCTGACCTTCTCTCCACTATTGTCCTATGACCCTGCTAAATCCCCCTCTCCAAGAAACACCCAAGAATGATCAATAAATACTAAAAAAAATTTAAAAAAAATTGCTGTTGACAAAATAAAAACTACCACCTCAAAAACAACAACAAAAAAAGAGTTAATCATGCAATATGTATTTGAGATCACTAAATGGTTGTTTTACATGCAAGGTGTATAAAAACAGTAATATGTGGTTTTTAGTAAAAGATTATAAGAAAGCATGGAAATGTAAATTTTTCCCAGGGATAAGGGATTATCTTAAATTTGATAAGATAAAGCTAAATTTTCAAGTAAGTTATTGAAAGATTATAAAATTTAGTCTTGCAAAAAGTGTGTAAACATTAACTAAATTCAAAAGGGTATTACATGGTCTTTTTATAAATTGAGTTTTGAAATAAAAGCACAGAAGTTTGTCTTAAGATGCTAATCTGCCTTTTAGCAAAAGGGTTTATAAAGGATTTGTAAAGATTTTACCTCATGGTCAAATTGGTTATGATTAGATGAAATTTTCTATGAGGTTTCATCAAAAGTTGGTTTAACTTTAATAAACTTATTCAAGTGTAAAATTTGGCTTTGAACAGGATTTTCATGTAATAGTAAAGGCTAATAAAGATTTTTGCCTTTCAAGTCATCATTTTGGCAAAATATATAATTTATAGCAATTGGAATTCTATTTCATAACATCAAGTGTTTTAAACCTTCAACATTTAACAGGTGTCCCAACACTGAAACTTCAAGTTTCAAAATTGTCTTTCCTGATGCCTGGCTTTCTGGATGGTTCAGATGGCCCATGAAACATCCAGAGAAGTGGTAAAGAGGATTATTTGACATGTTAAATTTTATGAGATTGCCAAAATGATGTCCAATATTCTTTAGGTTATATTTTGATGAGTAATACTAACATATGTACCAAAATTATATGGGATTTCTAAAATCTAATGTCTAAGTATATGCTATCAATCGTAATTAGGGTTAAAGTCATTGCAAACCATGGGGTTAACTAAACTTCTTTGTCAGTAATGTTTTTAATTTTAACTACCCTGGAAATTTTGTAATTAGCAGATAATTGTTGTTTTGCATTGTTCCTTCTCAAAAGAGGTTTATAATCAAGATACAGGAATGTAACGTGTGTTCTCAAATGCAGGTTTTTAATAGCCTTGAAGATTGTAACATTAGAATAGAGAATAAAAACATATAGGACTTGCAAAGAACTGAAATGTTCACAGATATCAAGCAAAACAAGAGTTGACTAAATGGACTGCACTAAGAAAGCTAAAGCAACGTGTTCATTTTATTATTGGAATATTGTTGATCCTTGTTTGTTTTTCAGAATCAAGGAAACTTATTTTGATCTATTTATGGCCTTTAATAATTTAGTAAGGTACACTCCTGTGAACAAAACTTGGAGCATGTTTGTTTCTCTCTGTCTCGTTCTTCTAGAATTTGGAAACTATCTGTGAGTACTCTTAACTTATGGCAATAGAGTTATTTGCATCAGTGCAATAAGAATCCATTTTTCTTTTGCAACAGGACACAATTGGAAATAACTGGTTATTTTACCAAGACTTTGACTGGAAGGTTGTGATTCCTTTTAAGGAGTCAATCTTGACTCACAGAGCTGATAAAAGCCCCGTGGGGAGAATTGGCCTCATACCCTTGCCTATACAGTCCCTGCACAGGGTTCCTGACCTGTGGTCAGTAAAGAATGTCACTTTCTAATAGGTATAGTAGCTCCAAGTTTATCACATGACCTTAAGAGAAAAGGATCACTCAACTCACAGGTATTTAAGGATACAAACCCATGGCAGGGCTCAGCTAAAAGAGGCCTTATGTGAGATTCTTTGTGGAACAGAGTTCCATCAAAGTCAATCAAAAAGGCCTATGTAGAAATAATTATTCTTGCTGCACTTTATGCAAATAATCAGGCCAAGTAAAAGACTACAGTTTATTCTACAAACCACAGGGTCCTATCATAATTTGTTTTTGCCAAAAATGAGGACTGGAGAGAGAAATTGTGCTCCAAAGCTTATTATACATTTGCCATTAAATCCTATTCTCGTTAATTGTTTTTAAGCTTTCTGCCTACATTGTAGACTATCCCTGCTTATTCCTGTGAATCAAATGGTGATCTCCTGCAGCTTGGAAGAAATAAAAAGCAATGAAAAATGTAAAAATTTGGATCAATATGCTATTTCTGGGAAATTAACCTGCAAATTCTGACAGGTAATGAAAGTGATTTGAGTGCCCATTACCTGGAGGTTTATTTGGGAAAATAAAACCAAGGAAACTCATAGACCCCCAAATGGAAATTTTATATCTTGACAAGTAAAATTTTAGATGGAAATACTCCATTATGTCACCCTTGTGGGAATTGCTATACTCACTCTGCTATTTGCAGTAGAGCTATACACGGTAGCACCTTCTAACTGAAATATTGGACAGAGAGTTTCCATTGCCATAGTATTTTGCTTAATTATTATTCTTATAGCAGGGATAATAGTTACTAGCATAAAGGAAGCATAGAAGTTTTACTACCACCGAATCTTCTAAAACTTCTTATTGGGTTTGATAATATGTCATATCCTGGCTATGCAAAGAAGGTTATAAAGAAAAGAGATTTTATATAAAAAAGACCTTGTATGGTAAATACTTTTCCTAAAGAGAACAGTTGGCTGTTTAAAAAAGGGTTGTTTAGGACAAGACAGAAGGTTTAAGCATGTCTTAGATGGTATGTGGAAGTCATGAAGGGATTAATAATTGCAGGAAAGATTTGGCCAAGGTTAACACTAAAGTTACTCTAGCCACCCAAATCCAATGCCACTTATCCTAAAAGGAATGTTACTTTTTAAAAAAATTATTTATTTATTTATTTATTTATTTATTTATTTATTTATTTTGAGATGGAGTTTTGCTCTTGTTGTCCAGGCTGCAGTGCAATGGCCTGATCTCGGCTCACTGCAACCTCTGCCTCCCGGGTTCAAGCAATTCTCCTGCTTTAGCCTCCCGAGTAGCTGGGATTACAGGCATGTGCCACCTCACCTGGCTAATTTTGTATTTTTAGTAGAGACAGGTTTTCTTCATGTTGGTCAGGCTGGTCTCGAACTCCCGACCTCAGGTGATCCACCTGCCGCAGCCTCCCAAAGTCCGGGGATTACAGGCATGAGCCACTGCTCCCAGCCAGAATGTTACTTTTATCTTAACGTTTCAGCAACATCTGGTGGAGGCAAACCAGTGTTACAGCCCATCAGAATGGCTGACTGCAATCAAACTCCAAATGGTGTTGCAGACAGAACCACAGATAGACACACTTTTCTTCCAATGACCCTTAGATCAACCACAGGAGGAGCCCTAGCTGCTGTTCCCTACACAACTCCCCTTTTCACCAGGAAGTAGTCAGAAGAGTCATAGTCCAGCACTCCATAACAACAGTTAGGGTTACCACTCCAGAGAGGGGAATGATACAGGAGTTAAGAAGAAATTACTTAGGCAGATAGTAAGGGTATGGGAGTCCTCAGTAAAGCTTTTCCTTTTCATAAAAAGCAGTTACAAATCATTTTTTAATGAAAAGCAGCCTGTAAAATCAAGCTGCAGGCATATTCAAGCAAGCCAGGAGCTCGCAAGGGTGAAAACTGGCAGGAACTAGGGACTAGACATGTTCAAGATGGTGGCTCCATCTTCTCTTCTCTGCCAGGCATGTGCACAGTAAGAAGCAGACAAGATGGCGTCGATCAACTCAAAAGCCCATTTGCAGAATAAGATTAGGGTGGGGAGACAAGCCTTCCCCATATGCTATGTAAACATCATACCTGATCAAACCAATCTGTGAGCCCTATGTAAACCAGCCACCTTCTCCTCAACCTTGACTATAAAATCTGGCACATATGCCACTAGCCAATCCTTTCCACTCCGTGACCTCTCTCTCTAGAGAGAGAGTTGTTTCTCCTTCTCTTCTCTTCTGCCTATTAAAGCTCCACTCCTAAACTCCTCATGTATGTCCATGTCTTAAAGTTTCCTGGCATGTAACGATGAACTCCAGGGTATATACCCCAGAAAATGTAGCTGCTTCAGTCAGCTAACTTTTTCTTTAAATGATCAGATGACAAATATTTTAGGTTTGGAGGACCACATAAGTACTCTATTTTATATTCTCTCTTGCTTTTGTTTTTGCTTTTATTTATAACTCTTTAAAAATGAAAAAAAAAAAAAAACTATTCTTTGCCCATGCATTATACAAAATGAGGCCACAGGCTGGATTTGACCCACAAGCCATAGCTTGCCAACTCATAATACAGACAGTAAATTGAGTGGGGTGGTTTTACTCTTCAAGGGAGCTATTTAGAATTATTATGGAAGTCCTAAAACTAGGGACTTATGGGAACAATCAGATTCCCATTCTTAGAATTATAAATACTATACTTGTTGGGGCTCAGAACACAATATCCCAAAGTATGGCACCTTGGCATATGGAGTATTTTAAGCTGAAGAAATTTGAGAAAATTGAAAAAGCAGGGTGGTCTTTCTGAACTTTTCCCAACCCCCTCTCTCCTGATGTGGACCAGAGAAACTTAAATGTCCTTGACCCCTTTATTCACTGAAGTGGGCCATAGAAACAGAATTTCTCTTGCCCCTTCTCCCCTGAAGTGGGCCATGAAGCCCAGCTGACCTTGCCTTGAAATAGGTAATCATAAGACCCTCCTTCCAAAAGGGGTCCTATCTATACCCAGAGGGAAGGAATGCCATTATCTCTGAAGACACAAAGACACAGAAGAGAATCTGAACAAACAGGCCTTGCTGATATCCCCCAAGTTTATGACTTAAATCCTAACCCTTTTTGTTCAATTGTTTCTCTCCAACTATCCACTTCTTTATCAGACTTAGCAGACAATATACACAGAATTCCCTGTTTCTTTGGGTCTTTATTTCCTGATGAAGGTTCCCATGTCAAGTAAAATTTATTAAATAAATGCTTATGCTTCTCTCCTGTGTCTGTCTTTGTCAGTTTTATTTTCAGACCTTGCCAGGAACCCCAAGAGGGAACCCTTCTTCTCCTATGTCCTATCCTCTGAGGAAACCTGTTGAAATTCTTGGATAGTTTGATGATGGTGGATGTTATTAATAGGCAGGCACTGAATGGTCTGTTAACAGTAGTAGGAAGTGGGGTTTCCAAGTAATTAAATGAAAAAAATAAAAGTAGTCTTTCTTGTACCTCAAATGATGAAACAGATCATAGATCTTACATCAAGAAAAAAATTATGAGCTGGAGGGACTGAGTCTTTGAGAAACGTGTTTCTCAGTTAAAAGGTCCAGCTTCATCTTCCCTGCTCCTTTCCCACCTCAAATTTATATTAATATGACTAGAGAAATAATGCTGCACTGCTGAATATTTTACAGGCCTGGGGAAGATTAGTCATTACATGCTCCTGGATGGGCTTCATTCACACACATTCAAGCTAATTATAAAAGAGCTTTAAAGCTATGTATGGATGCTAGGAGGTGGAGAGATGAAGGGAGCCTCTATTGCAATATAAATAAAACCCTGTAAATATATATAAATATTGGAGAAGGCAGGGTTGGAAGAAAAATGACTATAGCTTAAATTCAATCTCACAGAATGTCTAGCATAATTGTTTGCATACAATAGGTGCTCAATGACCATTTGGTGAATTAAAACATAAAAGCAAGAATAAGCAATGAACAACATCGTGGGGTCCTCCACCGGGAATTATTAATATGTCTCCTGATTTTCTATTCACCAAGCATAGGTTCTCAACAGACTGTTTCCTGTTTCTTTCCTACCCTTTCCAGTTTGACATTTCATTGCTTGCTATGTAGTTTCTTCCTAGATGGAAAAAGCAAACTTGTGTATCTCTTTATTTCAGGAGTTGTTATGGTAGGTTTAAACATAAAAAAGGCTGATATAATAAGGTACAACGGGGATTTGATGATTTCACTGATCTTTATTTTTTCTAGCTGTCCTACTTTAGCAATATAATTTCAAGGTGGTCCAAGCAATATAATTCCAAGACAGTAAATTGCTTTAAATTATGCTATCTCTTTCAAGCTGAGTTAAATCTCATTCCATGGTTAGCTAGTTGCTATATGGAAGTAAATACTTTGTGCTTGCTTTAATCTTTTTGCCATGTCTTCATGCAATAGAAGAGGTAATTCATCAACCAATGGAATAATATCATTTAAAAAGATCTCGGAAAGTTTGATCTTATTTTTAGGAAAAGTTGTACTTCATGTTAGTGTTTCACAACTGCCCTTTGGCCATTCTTTCCTTGCCTGGGAAGCTGACCAGAGTGCTGAAGTCTTCTATCTGTGCCCTTTATCTTTAGCCTCAGGCAACTTTCTATTCAACTCGTTCTCTAGTCCCATGGCAATGTCCCCATTGAGAAAGAAAAAATAAAATACTGATTGAAGGAATCCCCCCTTGGCCAAGGGAACCCCAAAGAAACCCTAAAAATTGAGTTCCTGACCATGAAAGGACAGGAAGGAGACAAAAAAAAAAAAAAAAAAAGAGTTGTTTTCCTTGGTGAGTCAGCTTTAAGTGGATAAAATAACTTTAGAGAACAACTTTATCTTGTTCTTTGGGAGAGATAGTGGAAGGGAGGTCAAAGAGATCTTGAAGTTTCTTCTTCAGTTCAGCATATTAAAGAATCGTATTTTAAGCTATTGGTTTCCAAGCTCCAACACCTGCAATTTTTTATGGCAATCATAATGGTGGTGGAGCTGAGGACCATAAAGGAAGAACAATTGAGTAACAGCATGAAGCTGAAGTTGGTGGTAGCAATACTTTCTTATAAGTAGGATATATGTTGACATTTAAAGACACTATGTTATCTCACTTCTGCAAATGTTTAGTAAATAATTACCCCTAGAGCACTTAAGCAAGAAGAGTTTGTCTACAAGTTCCCCTAGGCAGCTTTCTTCTCATAACACCTAAATTGGCAAAGGGAAATATCTCTGCAAAGACTAGACTTATCTGTTCATATAGGATAGCCCTTATTTTAGTATTCTACTCAGAACCAGCTACATAGTTTGCAGGACATAGTGCAAAATGAAACGCTGGTTCCTTTGCCCAAAGAGTCTTGAACCAAACACGAGGTCCACCTACACATGGTGTCCTGTATGACTGCACAGGTTGCATGTCCATGAACCTGGCCCTGACTATGCTAGACTCTTTTCTGTTCTTTCCTCTGAAGAATAGCATTCTTAGTCAATTTAAATGAGCAACTTAGTGTCACAAAAGCAAGAAGGAATTTAAAAGACAGATTACATAGAATTAACATAATTTAAAAGTGCAGCTTTATGTTACTCTACTAACTCAGCATACGCTTAATTTATTAAAAGAGCCCTCTGTGCTTTCACTCCTCTATTAGCAGGTGCTTGCTATCTCTAAACATAAGTTTTAAAGCACTTGTCTATTTATGCTCCTAAGCTGAAAATGATTTGTGTATTTTCACTCCCTAGAAAAAAAACTGTATTTTCTTCTCTTTCACCAGGTTCCTGCTCTCTCAATTTTAATTCGCTTTTAAATAACAATTTTAAGCAGTCTTTATTTCTATTTTAGTTTTCTTTTATCTTTATTCTAAAGCTGTGTTTCTTAACTTTTATTTCAATTTTATTTTCCCCCATGGAAGATTTTTTAGACAATTTTTTTCTAATGGCATCTCCCATGAAATTTTAATACTATAGATATACTACTTATGAAATACACATAGAAATATATATATATAATATGTGTGTATGTATAACATATACACTTTTTCAACCCACAAAAATAAGAATCAATTCTATCCCTTTGGGAGTAATAGACTCTTTGAGAATGCATGATCTAAAGAAACATGTCTCAGAATCTATTTCAATTCCACCCTCACATTGTTTCTCTGTCAAAAAAACAACAAGATTTCCACAACACTAGCTTTCACAAGCCCAAACCAATTGACTAAGCTGAGTTCCACATCATCAACTGGGAAATTAGCCTACAAACATTTGTGTACTAGGACAGAGTATTCTGTGAATCTATCTGTATTTTAATTACAATTTCATTTTCTTTACTTCTGAGGTCAATTCAGTTCACAGCTACCATTTGAAGGGGATGCTTTTAGGGATAGATGTTAACAAGAATATAGCAAATTTTTGCCTGCAGCCACGAAAGGGCAATGATACATAAGCGCTAGAAAGGCAAGCTTCCTTCCAGCTTGTCAACTTCAAGATAAATACATAGATTGACATTTTCTGGACATATAGGTACATCTCATAAAGCCAACTTCAAAACAGAATTTGTTTTTCTCAATAAATATGGCAAAAAGTGCTGCTGAAGCAGCACATCCCTGGATTATGGTGCCAACTGTAGAATGATGAGGTTCATACATTTGGAAAAGAGAGTTTTATTTCTCATAAAGTGTTGCAGCCGGCAGGTGGCCATTTTGACTGACTGGGAAGGGCAGCGTCTGGCCAGAAATCCAAAAACAAGGACTTCAAGTGTCAGAAGAATAAGACAGGGATTTATGCTGAATGGAGTGGCCAAATATACTATTCAATAAGCCATAGGAAGAGTCATATATTTATGAAAGGAGGAACATGCTCATGCACAACTGAGCACCATGCCTCTTCATGGGTTCCATGTACAAAAAACAGGGCAAAAGCATGACTGCAGGGTGCAGCTATTGGCCCTCTGACATCAAATGTGGAAGCAGGGAATATGAAAACCCTCACTGCAAATCCTCCTAGACTGGCCAAAACCACTCTATGATCAGTGGTCTCTAATATTACTAGGAAGGATGTATTGTGAAACCAGGGAGCTATTACACTGGAACTGCAAAGAGGGTAGGGAAGTCAGTTGCGACCTTAGATGATGGGCTAAAGGTGATGAAAAAATGAGTTATCCATTTCTTCTTTTCTAGATCTGGTTTCTGCTGACTCCTTAGTAAAGAATTCTGCTTAAAAGTTGCTAAGGAAGGAACATACTGAGGTGACAAGAAACAAAACAAAAGAGTTGTTTTCCTTGGTGAATTGGCTTTAAGTGGAAGCTGTTTTATTTTCAGACCCCACCAGGAAACCTAAGAGGACTGAGGAACTGTTATCTCATTATCCATTGCAGAAAAGAAGACCAACTATGTAACTACACTTGAACAGACCCTTTCCCAAGGTGGTGTCTGTCTCTCAGTATCATTCAAATTCCAAAGAGAACTATTTACAAGTTCCCTGAACCATTCATTCTCTCTAGTAATCATTTATTGCCCCTCAACAGAACTCCTCTTCTGCTCCTCTTGTAACTTATTTTGCCAGGGTGATAGTTAAGCTTCTGAACTCCATTGGGAGGTGGGTAATCACTCTGTGATTTTCCCCTTGTACACGTTAATAAATTTGTGTGCCTTTTCTCCAATTGTAGTCGCCTAATGGGTTCTTCCTGCTCACTGCAGATGAAACTGCCATTGCAAAATTGTAACTGAAACAGTGAAAGAGATTTGACCTAACCAACTCCATCTTGCTTCTAACCTCCAAGCTGTCTTTGTTCATTCCTGGGCATAGGCTGAACTAACTTTGGGAGGAACTTAGTTTATAGTTTAAAACAAAGACGATAACAGCCCTTTCCCAAAACAAACCTCTTTCTTGCCCAGGAACTAGACTGCCTTTGTAGGGCTAACAAATTAGTCACAAGATTAGAAAATATGGTTTAGGAGTCATGCAGCTGGAAGCTACAAGATTCTGACCCTCCCTAAACTGCTCCTAAGATCAGTGCTTGAGATATTTTGCAGACCTTGCACTTCAAGGATTAGCTGGCACCACCCAGATTGATAAACTGGCTCATCTGATCTTGTGGCCCCCACCCAGGAACTGACTCAGTGCAAGAAGACAGCTTCAATTCCTTATGATTTCATCTCCTACCTAACCAATCAGCACTCCTGGCTCACTGGCTTCCCCTCACCGACCAAGTTGTCCTTAAAAACGCTGATCCCTGAATGCTCGGGTGACTGATTTGAGTAATGATAAAACTCCTGTCTCCCACACAGCTGGCTCTTCATGAATTACTCTTTGTCTATTGTAATTCCCCTGTGTAGGCAAGGTGAACCCATTGGGTGTTTACACAAAGACAAAACCAGTTCACTGAGATTATGGTATTGCAATAAAGACTTTAATTGACACAAGGTCGGTCACAACATGTGGGGGACAGTAATTACTCAAATCAATATCCCCAAAAATTTGGAGATTGGGTTCAAGGGTAGTTTGGTGGGCAGGGGTCTAGGGGAATGGGTGGTGCTGATTGGTTGGGAATGCAATCTTAAAAGTGTGGAAAATGGTCCTCATGCATTGAATCTCCCTCTGGGTGGGGGCCACAGGACAGGTTGAGGCAAGAGTCATCTGGATGGGGCCATTTATTCAGAAATGCAAAAGCCTGAAAAGACATCTGAAAAGGCCAATCTTAGTTTCACAACAATGAATTGGGGAAGTTGCAAATTTTATAACCTCCAGAATAACAGCTGGTAATTATTTAATTACACCTACATTTTAGCAGAATTCAGGCCCCTCATCCTCCCAAACTGGTGGCCTTTCATTAGTTTTATAAAGGTGGTTTAGAATTGGGGAAGGGCTTGGCTCAAGCCTGGGAATCACCTAGGGCAGTTTGGAGGTTAAAGGCAAGATGAGGGATGGTTAGATCAGATCTCTTTCACTGTCATTGTTTTCTCACTGTGATAATTTTTGCAAAGATGGTTTCAGAATTAACCTACCTTTGTAAGTTAACTTTTCAGTGAAACTTCAGAGGTTAAAGGGAAAGTTTATCCATTTTCTTCCTATGTGGGAGAGAGATGAAAAGAAGTAATGTACTAAGTCAAATACAGCATATGCATAATTGGCCTTATTTTTTGGCATCTTCGGTCATATAAGGTTACACTTTTATTATTACTACCATAAATAAATAAATTTCATGAAAATAAGGTTATCCCAAAAACTTTGCTTCTACCCACTTTAAAATTCTATCATGTTATGATATAAAGAGATTATGGATAATTATGAGAGATTTGCTTACTCAAATTAAGTGGGCTAAGAAGAAGTGAGTGGGCTAAGAAGTTTCTGCCTGCAGTGTTTAGAAAGCTATCAGCAAGATCAAGCTGGAGCAGCTGTTTGCATTGCAAGTTGACTGTTTTTCAAAAGCTGATGAACTTTAGTTAGTATAACTATGGCAATGGCAAAGACAAATGCTCACAGAAAATGTTCTCTTTCCTTCTATGTGAATGCTTCCTGTCCTAAGGCCTCTCGGGATTAGAAACTAGATCCCTTTTCATGGCATCAGCCCTATTCAAAGATGTCAGCAGGGAGCCAGGAAAGAGGCACTCTGCAAGTGGAGCTGCCTTTCTTCCCCAGGGAGTCTGCTGCTTTTTGCAGGTGATGAGGAGGAGGTGTAATTCTCACATTTAATGAAATCTCTGAAATTTGAAGCTTTCAGTTAACATCTGGTTGTGAAAGAGAAACACTTGGCTGGCTATTTTCAAGCTGCTGGCTAGCTGGCTGGGTTGAAGGGACTTCCTGTTCACCTCCTCGGTCAAGGTAGCATGAGTGAATGGTTCAGTTTCATTCACCCCAGCAGGGGGATAGCTGGCAGGAGGAACCCACTCAAAGTGCAGGACACTCATGACAGCTGGTTCCTGCCATTCTCAGCCTGTGCCCTCTAATCAGGTAGCTGTTCAATTATGCCCAATGAACCCTAGCTGAGCAATTAAAAAAGCAAACGCTTCCCCAGAATGGCATGGCTGCAAAAATTGATAAGTTCACCTTTGCTTGTGACTCAAGGCAGAGTGTAAGCTGTTTAAATGTTACCCTGGAGCCGCAGCTTAGGAGAGCTTTAAAGAGGGCTTAGCCTGCTCAAAGGGAAGAGGCTACAACTAACACACACAGGGCAATAGGAATTCTTGAACCATCATTACATCTTTTTCTCCTGATTTTCCCTTCTCAATGAAAATTATATCTTTCTGGCTGTAATAGAAAATATTGCAATTGCTTTGACTGGCCGGTATTCCAGTAAAATTTCATGCCCCACTGTATTTCTTTCTTTTGCTTTTAGACAATGGTGTTGTTTTGATTCCAGAACTGATAGAACAAAGGGTCATTTTCTTGGTCATTGGTTCCCTCTTATATTTTGCATTCTTTTCTTCTTCCTCTCTCCTGTCTGATCCCTAGCCACTTCAAATGATCCCCAGGCTTTCCAAAACAAGAAGCTTAAAAAGAAACCATGCAAATAGAACACAGTGGCACAAAACAGAGCCTTGAGCATGCCATCTTGTTAATGCATTGATGTAGTGATAGATCATTGAGGACAGCTTTTCCTGAGAACAGCTGGTAGTAGATATTTGTATTTTCAGAAAGAGATGCTATTATGTTGGTACTAGAAAAAGGTCCCGATCCAGATCTCAAGAGAAGGCTCTTAGGTCTTGTGCAAGAAAGAATTCAGGGAGAGTTCATAGACTAAAGTGAAAGCAAGTTTATTAAGAAAGTAGAGGAATAAAAGAATGGCTACTCCATAGACAGAGCAGCCCCGAGGGCTGCTGGTTGCCCGTTTTTATGGTTATTTTTTGATTATATGCTAAACAAATGGTGGATTATTCATGCTTCCCCTTTTTAGATCAAATAGGGTAACTTCCTGATGTTGCCATGGCTTTGTAAACCGTCATGGTGCTGGTTGGAGTGCAGCAGTGAGGATGACCAGAAGTCACTCTCATTGCCATCTTGGTTATGGTGGATTTTAGCCGTCTTCTTTACTGCAATCTGTTTTATCAGCAAGGTCTTTAGGACCTGTATCTTGTGCTGACCTCCTATCTCATCTTGTGACTCAGAATGCATAACCCTCTGGGAATGCAGCCCAGTAGTCTCAGCTTCATTTTATCCAGTCCCTATTCAAGATGGAATTGCTCCGATTCAAATGCATCTGACAATATCATACCAGAATCTTAAGAATATTGGCAAACTTTTGATGTAGGAGATTCCATATACAAAGCTGGAGTATTAGGGGAGAAATAAAGAAGTGTGTAAAGCTATTACTTGTTGGAAATGTACCAATGTCATACATAGAAGTAAAACAAAAAAAGTAGGATATAACCTAAGTGTTACTTAATAGAACTGGGTACATAAATTATAGGAAAATGGAATATCCCACCCGAGAATATGCCTCTTTGGAATAAACATTATTTTGAGTTGATTATTTTGAGAAAATGTACACTCAGGAGAAACTGAGTAGAAAGGTATCCTTTTGTAAGGGATATTTACACTACTAAAGGAAATCTTCATTTGTGAGGAATGAAGATTCCTCTCCTTACCAGGAGGAATGGAAAGATTCTAAATAACTGAAGACTTTGAAGGATGGTGTCAGCAAGATTGTAGAATAGGATTTTCCAGTGCTGGTCCTTTGCAGAAAGATTGATTTGAACAACTTATCCATGCACAAAAATATCTTCATAAGAGCCAAAAAATCCAGGTGACAAATTACAGCCTCTGAGTGTAACAAAGAAATAAGAAAACATGTATTGAAGACAGTAGAAACACTGTTTTACATTATCCTTTTCATCCTTTCCCCAAGCCTGGGCACCATAGTGAAAAGACAGCCACCCTTCATGTGGGTCAATGAAAGGGAAGTGAACATGACTATACTGCAGACTCTATCACCAGGCCCATCCTAGTACCAGAGTTACCCCTATGGCCCCAGCTTCAGGCCAGCAGCTGCAGACAAACATTACAGTAGACCCTGAGTCCAGGACCACTCCAGCAGACCCAGAGTTCAAGCCTGCCCTATAAGATCATAGCCTTCAGGTCCTATCCAGTGTCAGACCAGCCTCTGTGGCTCCAGGCTGTAAGCCAGCCCCCATGAACCTAGCCTTCTGTATGGTTCTTGCAGATCCAGGATTCAGGCCATTCCCTGTGACCCCAGGCACCTGGCCAGACCCAGGGCCCTAGACTTTAGGTTACCTCCAATAACCCCATGCTCCAGGGGACTCAGGGTACAGGCCCACCTTATTAGAGCCTGGCTTTGGCTGGCATCCACAGACCCAAGCTCCAGGACAAATGCTATGAACCCAGACTACAAAACAGCTTTGCTGATTCAAGCTTAAGGCCTTCCTCACTACCGGGCTGGCCCCAGGTTCCAGGTTGATCCCCGAAGGCCCAAGTTCTAGTTAACTCAGGATCCATACTTGCTCCAGCATATCCAAGACACAGGCCCAGCTTCATGGACCCAGGCTGCAGGACCATCTGAGTACCAATTCATCCCTTGTGGACTCAGGCTTAAGGTTCAACCTAGCACCAGGTTGGTCCCTATAGACACAAGCTTGAGACTGACTCCCACAGATGATCTAGGCCCATTCCCACAGATGCATTTTGGGGGAACCCACCCCCAATATTTCAGTGTAGCTTCTTTCTATTTTCCATAAGTGTCAGCCAGCTGAGAAATAAAGAGAGACAGTATAAAGAGAGGAATTTTACAGCTAGGCTGCTGGGGGGTGACATCACATATCAGTAGGACCGTGATGCCCACCTAAGCCTCAAACCAACAAGTTTTTTATTAAGGGTTTCAAAAGGGGAGGGAGTGTAAGAACAGGAAGTAAGTACAAAGACCACATGCTTCAAAGGCCAAAAAGCTGAACTACTAATAAGGGTCTAACAAAGATCACATGCTTCTGAGGGAACAGGACAACAGGCAAAAGCAGAACTACTGATAATGGTCCAACAAAGATCACAAGGCAAAGGGCAAAAGCAGAACTACAGATAAGGGTCTATGTTCAGTGGTGCATGTATTGTCTTGATAAACATCTTAAACAACAGAAAACAGGGTTCGAGAGCAGAGAACTGGTCTGACCACAAATTTACCAGGGCAGAGTTTTTCCCCACCCTAGTAAGCCTGAGGGTACTGCAGGAGACCAGGGCGTATCTCAGTCCTTATCTCAACTGCATAATACAGACATTCCCAGAACGGCCATTTATAGACCTCCCCCCAGGAATGCATTCCTTTCCCAGGGTATTAATATTAATATTCTTTGCTAGGAAAAGAATTTAGTGATATCTCTCCTACTTGCACGTCCATTTATAGTCTCTCTGCAAGAAGAAAAATATGGCTCTTTTTGCCCGATCCAGCAGGCAGTCAGACCTTATGGTTGTCTTCCCTTGTTCCCTAAAAATCGCTGTTATTCTGTTCTTTTTCAAGGTGCACTGATTTCATATTGTTCAAACACACGTTTTACAATCAATTTGTACAGTTAACACAATTATCACAGTGGTCCTGAGGTCCTGATGTACATCCTCAGTTTATGAAGATAACAGGATTAAGAGATTAAAGTAAAGACAGGCATAAGAAATTATAGAAGTATTATTTGGGAACTGAAAAATGTCCATGAAATCTTTACAATTTATGTTCCTCTGCCACGGCTCCAGCCAGTCCCTCCATTCAGGGTCCCTGACTTCCTGCAACAGATGAAGTAAATAGGTCTACTTCGGTGAACTCCACCACCAGGCCATCCCTCATGGACCCAGAATCCAGGTCCACCCCAGCAGAACCAAGTTCCAGGCTCAATCATATAGACACAGAAACTAGACTATGACCTGTAAACCCAGTGTCATTCTTGCCGATCTGCTGACCCAGGCACTCTACCCATCGCCCAAAGACTCCAGCAGCAAGCCTAACTGCAGACACTACCAGACAGCTTGCCAAGAATATGTGATGAGCTGACTGGTGAAGGGCTTTTCCTGATGAAGCCCTTCTGTAAGGACTGAAATGGGTGCCTACATCTTCAAATGCACAAAAATCAATACTAGGCAATAAGGATCACAAATAATCAGGAAAACATGACATCAATAAAGGAACAAATTAAAGCACTAGTTACAGATACTAAAAAAATGGATATCTATGAACTGCCCGAGAAAGTTCATAACTGTCTTAAAGAAGCTCAAAATAATCTTCTTAAAGAAGCTCAGTGAGCTACAAAAGAACACAGATAGAATCCTGAACAATATCAGGAAAATAATATACAAACAAAATGAGAACATCAAAAAAGAGATAAAAATCATAAAAAATACAGAAATTCTTCTGCTAAAGAATGTAATGGCTAAACTGAAAAAATTTCATAGAGAACTTTGACAACAGAGTCAGTCAAGTAGATTGAAGACTCTGTGAGCTTAAAGAAATTTGAAATTAATCAGTCAGAGACAAAAACAAAGAAAAGATGGAAAAAGCAAAGAAAAGCCTGCTGAACTTATGAGATACCATCAAGTGCAACAATATACACATTCTAGGGATGCCAGGAGAAGCAGAGAAAGAAAAAGAGGCAGAAAGCTAATTTAAAGAAATGAATGACAGAAAACTTCCCAAATTTGGAGAGGGAAATGAACATCCAAGTCCATGAAGTCTATGTTAGTCCATTTTGCATTGCTGTAAGGAAAGATCTAAGACTGGAAAATTTACAAAGAAAAAGGGGTCATTTGATTCATAGTCCTGCAGGCTGTACAAGCAAGGTGAGCATTAAAATAAACATAGTTAAAATAACTTATTAATTATACATAATATATAAAAAATAAAAATTGTGGCATCAATAACATAAAATGAGAATGGGAAGAGAAGTTAAAGGGTAGAGTGTTTATAAATTGTTGTCAGTTTAAAATTGAATGTTATAACTATAAAATGTTTTACGTACATCCCATGGTAACCATAAATTTAAAAACCTATAGTAAATACACCAAAGAATAAAACAAGAATCAAAGTAAACTACCATAAAAAATTACCATAAAGGAAGACAAAAGTGGAAAACAGTTGAAAATAATTAACAAAATGGCAGTAAGTCCTATTTCTGGTTCTAAAATATATGATTCTTTATGTCATAATTTTTTAATGAGCGGTCCCAATGGAGTATTATTTTGGATTTTGGTCACTGTGACAGACATATGACGACTATATTTTTGGTGAATGACTCTGTCAGCAACCCTTATTAGAGTGCTACATCACAGGGTACAGGTAAGCATTCTCCCTCTTAGTCACACATATAACCAACCCTGGCAATGTAAGGAAGAGAGAACAACCCCAATGAATAAGCACCTTGATATGTTTCTAGATGAACATCTAGATAGTTTCCAGTAGTCTACAGAGTATTTCTCTGATATTTAGATGTTTGTGAGCAAACTTATAAGGTATCATCAATTATTTAGCATTGTCAACAGTCCAAAAGTTTGCCTTACTTCAAGCTGAGGGGAAGGCGTGAATTCCAATAAAAGGAAAAATTATGTGTAGATAGATGTGTGGTGGATGTGCTTGTGTGTTCATGCCATGTTAAAGAAGAGGTGAAAATTATCTTGTCTTTACCCAGATATGTTTCTACCTTTCCTTCTGCAGTTTGTTTTTTCCTCTGGAATTCTGTGCTTGAATTATTTCTTCTTATCCCAAGAAATATAAGACTTAATTAGGCTCCTGATTCTGAACACAGTTACAGACACAGTATCAAACTATCCTTATGATTGTGATCCAATTAAACAAAGAGATGTGGTCATATTAAACAAGAAGTTATTATATGACTTTGCATTGTGCCTGCATGAATTTCACAATCTTAAAACTATTCCATTATTTCCTTTGCATGAAGATGAATGGATTTCTGTGGAAGGTGGTGTCTCATGGCTGATCCTGGACACGTATTTTGCAGACTCTCTTCCCTGTCACACTGGTCTCATTGGCCCATAGTTATTATTATATCTTCCACAGTGGAAGAACACAGACTTTGAGTGAAGATAGGATGGTGGGGAGCCTGAAGGCTAGTTTTAAATTGGTTAGTTTCCAGGGATGCCTGGAATTGTCCCATTGGATTCTATCCAATCTACTGTAATTGCCTAAAAATGTGTTGGGAATATCTCATATTAACACTCATTTTCTCAAGAATGATAGAGGTCAATGTTGCTATGGTAAAATTCCTTGAAATAAATTCCTTTGATGATTCATGTGTAGTTTGTGTCAACCACACTAGTACAGCAGGTTGGCTTGTAGCCAAAATGGCTATAATGCCTCTCAGAACAACTGGGGATGGTCAATGGTGTATACTAAGTCTTCCCACAAACTCTCCCACAGAAAAAACCAGAATGCTCATTCCTGTTAGGCTGTATTATTTACAATAGTTTCCTTCATAAGGACCTGAAGGCGAATGAAGCAAATGGCTTCAAAAAAGAGTGTCGGGATAGGGCTCGGCTTCCTCTTTTTCTAGCATAAACATTATTTCCTTCAGAAATTATCCTTTACTGGTATCATACCCTTCCCATTTGGTCCACCCTGAGATTTTCAGGTGATGCTGCAGAATGGCTAGATGTTTAGTTAGCCCTCGCATTTAAATGAACAGACTGCCCTCTGGTTCGGGTTGGGTGGACAGTGGGGATGGCGGGGGACACAACTCTCTTCTACACATGCTCAGTATCCCTTCAATCTTTCCATGTGGTGCCTTTGGACCTAGTTTGACCAGCATCTAGAAAATGCTTTCCAACCTCAAGTCTTTTCACAATTGGATGTTTAATCCTGAGCCAGTAGATACCATGGAAACTTCCAGACATGTCTTTTCCTTTTCCTTTTCTTTTCTTTCAACCTTCTCAAAAATGCCTATTTCCTCTTTCTAACATTAGAGATTGTATATTTCATCACAAAAAGCTAACAGCTGTACATATCATATACAAAAATTATATACATGTATGTGCATATATATATATGATTGTGTGTGCATGTGTATATGTGTGTGTGTGTGTGTAAAACTGAAAAAGTGTTCCCAAGTACACAAGGCCCATGACACACACTAGAAAATTTTGCCCAATATATCTCTGACCCCGAACTTAGAGATTCACGCTCACATTTGCATATGAAGGGAACTGAAAAATCCTGCAGTCAATCTTGTTAATGTATTAATATGACTCAGAATTTGTTCTTTTATTTGTATAACATCATATAGAACTAATATTATGCGGGCATATTCAAAAACGTTGCTACAAAACAACAAATAGAACATTGTAGAGCTGAGTCCCAAGAGCTTAGTTTTTAAAGACAATACCTAAGGTAAAAAAGCTCATATGACAAAATATTTTAAACAATCAAATCATACTTATTGTGGTGAGATACTCACATTAGAGGTGGCAGGAAGAAAATGAGATTGCCTGACAAACAGATCTCTGTGTCTGCCTACTTGCTTGTTGGTAAACATATGATCACTGAGGGAACAATGGGATAAGACACCTGTGATCTTAAATAAAATTTGTCTATTGTTTTCTGATCAAATGCATGTTTAGTTTTTAATACATTACACATGTATATGCTGCAACCTCACACTAGTCCTTTGAACAGTGAACGTACTCTCCCTCATGTAGAAATGTAGTTACTCTTACTAATCATTTGTAAACCTCTAACATGTATTTTAAAACCAATCTTTGGCAGAACTGTGGAACTTAGAAATATCATCATTTTAGAGTTGAAGCCTTTCATACTCTAGTGAAAAGAAAAGGGAATTTGAAATCAGAAGTGATATGATTTGGCTCTGTGTCCCCACCCAAATCTCATCTTATAGTTTCCATAATTCCCATGTGTTGTGGGACAGATCAAGTGGGAGATGACTGAATTATGTGGGGTGTATCTTTCCCATGCTGTTCACTTGATAGTGAAGGGGTCTCATTCAATCTGATGAAATGGGAGTTTCCCTATACAAGCTCTCTTCTCTTTGCCTGCTGCCATCCATGTAAGATGTGACTCACTCCTTTGTGCCTTCTGCCATGACTTTGAGGGATCCTCATTCATGTGGAACTGAGAGTCCATTAAACCTCTTTTTTAAAATTATTTTTGTATTTTTTTTAGACAGAGTCTCACTCTATTGCCCACTGGAGTGCAATGGCGCGATCTCGGCTCACTGCAACCTCTGCCTCCCAGGTGCAAGCGATTCTTCTGCCTCAGGCTCCCGAGTAGCTGGGACTACAGGTGCATGCCACCACATCCGGCTAATTTTTTGTATTTTTAGTAGAGACAGGGTTTCACCGTGTTAGCCAGGATGGTCTTGATCTCTTGACCTCATCGTCTGCCCACCTAGGCCTCCCAAAGTGCTGGGATTACAAGGGCAAGCCACCACTCCTAGCCCAAACCTCTTTTTATTCCCAGTCTCAGGTATGTCTTTATCAGTAGCATGAAAATGGACTAATACAAGAAGACTCTGAGTAAGTCTCAGCTATGTCACTGTTTAGCTGCATAAATTTGAATAAGCTATGTAAATTCTCCCTGAATTTCAACTTCTTCATAAGTAAAAGGAGAGATTGTTATTATCTGCATCAGAGGATTATTTTAAAAAATGAGCTAAAGGACCATCCTGGCTAAGATGGTGAAACTCTGTCTATACTAAAAATACAAAAAATTAGCCGGGCTTGGTGGCTGGTGCCTGTAGTTTCAGCTACTCGGGAGGCTGAGGCAGGAGAATGGCATGAATCCGGGAGGCAGAGCTTGCAGTGAGCCGAGATCGCCCCACTGCACTCCAGCCTGGGCGACAGAGCAAGACTCCGTCTGAAAAAAAAAAAAAAAAAGAAAAAGAAAAATGAGCTAAAGGAAAATGAATTGTGAATGTCCAAGATTCACATAAACAGCATTGTGTCTGGAAAAACTTCAGCTACCTAGTGATCCCACTATGTGTCCTAACCTAGACCAAAAGCCTAGGTAATTTCTCACATACAAAATGCTCCTTTCTCTGTCTTCCATAATCTCAAATACCCTTGCTTCCTTACTCACAGCTAACTATGCACAAGAGAAGCAAGTTGATAAAAAAATGTCAACCCAGGTATACGTTATAATGAATAACTAAGTGTTGCAACAGGGTGGCATACTCTCAGAAAAGAGTTACCTTGAGGAAACCTAAACTACATGATGATAAAATTTATGGCGACTGGGAGCCATACAGGAGGAATATTTCAGAGTGTTTATTCCCCGCACTCCTCGAGTCATAAGCCGTAGATGACCTCCACACACAATGGAAGAATCAGGAAAAATACCTCTGGGATATTCCACCCAGATACACATTATTTTGTTCGTATGTGAAATCATGGGGGAGGCTCTAACTCTGATTTTGTCAAAGAATGTAAGGGCTCAGACACGAACTTATTGATAGGGGTCAACATAGAGATCAAGAATAAAATAAGGCTGGGTGAGGTCGCTCATGCCTGTAATCCTAGCACTTTCTGAGGCCAAGGAGGGCATATCACCTGAGGTCAGGAGTTCGAGACCAGCCTGGACAACATGACAAAACCCCGTCTCTACTAAAAATACAAAGATGAGCCAGGTATGGTGGCACACTCCCGCAATCCCAGCTCTTCGTGAGGCTGAGGCAGGAGGATTGCTTGAACCCAGGAAGTAGAAGTTGCAGTGAGCCAAGATGGTGCCACTGAGCTCCAGCCTGAGCGACAGAACAAGAGTCCATCTCAAAATAAATAAATAAATAAAAATAAAATAAGATTTGTGAAGCATAGTTGAATATTTGATATCCTAAACTTTTTGGGATTTACCTATTAATTAGCATTCCCACAGTAAACTCTTGTAGCTTGTAGAATGCTTTTTAGATGCAAGTGCTTCTTATTATATTTGAGGATTGCCTTTAACTTCGGCCCTGCGCACTGTCCATTCTTAGCTTCCAACTTTCTCCAGCTGCTTTAGCTTTTCTAATACATTCCAGGTGATAGAGTAGACTTACAGATAAGCAGATTGCAAAGAATTTTATCTGTGAGAAAAACATGATAGTTTTTTTTATTTCCAATTCTCTCCAAATATTCATTTCTCTGCCTCTCCTGTCTTTTTCTTTTCAAACAAACAAAAAAAAGAGTTCTTTTTTGTTTTGTTTTTTAATATATACTTTTTTAAATCACCAAGCCCACGTATTTTGGTGGCTAGAAGGAAATACTCCTCCAAATACTAACATAAACAGTAATTCTCATCTCCCTAACATTTCACCCAGTTGGGAAATAGATATTCAAGAAAAGTACTTCACTCCTTCCGCTAGTCTATAGACACATGGCAGAATTTTCTTCAATATACACTTGACCTTTGAACAACATGGATTTGAACTGTGTGGATTCACTTACATGTGGATTTTCTTTTGCCACTGATACCCCTGAGATAGCAAGACCAATTCCTCTTTTTCTTCATCCTTCTTAGCCTATCCAGTGTGAAGATGATAGGTGGGCACATGGTGGGCCTGTAATTCTAGGGAATGCCAAGGTTGGTGGATCACTTGAGGTCGGGAGTTTGAGACCAGCCTGGTCAACATGGCAAAACAAAAATACAAAAATACAAAATTACAAAATTATCCAGGCGTAGTGGCTTGCATCTATAATCTCAGCTACTCGGGAAGCTGAAGGAGGAGAATCACTTAAACCCGGGAGGCAGAGATTGCAGTGAGCTGAGATCAAGCCACTGCACTCCAGCCTGGGTGATAGAAAGAGACTCTGTCTCAACAAAAATGACAACAAAAAATCAATGTAAAGATGATAAGGATGAAGACCTTTATGATGATCCACTTCCACTTAATGAATAGCAAGTATATTTTCTCTTCTTTTTTTGTTTTGTTTTGTTTTGTTTTGAGATGGAGTCTTGCTCTTTCACCCAGGCTGGAGAGCAGTGGCGTGATCTCGGCTCACTGCAACCTCGCCTCCCGGGTTCAAGTGATTCTCTCCTGCCTCAGCCTCCCACATAGCTGGGAATATAAGCACACACCACCATGCCCGGCTAATTTTTGTATTTTTAGTAGAGACGGGGTTTCACCATGTTGATCAGGCTAGTCTCGAACTTCTGACCTCATGATCCACCTGCCTCAGCCTCCTAAAGTGCTGGGATTACAGGTGTGAGCCACCACGCCCGGCCCTATGATCTTTTTATTAACATTTTCTTCTCTCTAGCTTACTTTATTGTAGGAATATAGTATATAATACACACAACATAACAAAATATGTGTTAATGGATTGTTTATATTACGGATAAGCCTTTTGGTCAACAGACGGCTATTTGTAGTTATGTTTTTGGAAAGTCAAATGTTATACATGAATTTTTGACTGCACAGGTTTTGGGGAAGTGGCACCCCTAACCACCATGTTGTTCAAGGATTAACTGCACTTTATATAGTTCTTTATTTTTTTGTTTTATTGTAGTTCTCTTTAGGAACCAAAACTTTTTTTCTCTAAACACTTAAAACATTTGAACAAAATTAAAACGTTTTTAACAAAGTTTTACAATGACTTACTTATTCATGTGTGCCAAGCTCATGGTTGATGAGATTCTTCTCCAATATGTGAGTAGCTCCTGATCCTTTTACTTCTGGGTAGACCTAACACTTGGATGTCTGTTGCCTATGGCACTGGGTGTACAGCTTAATTGAGCTACCACAGCTAACACAGAATAGTATCTAAATTAGCACAATCTATGAGGTGATTTCATGTTACATTTATCATTTGAGATGAACCTTCAGTCTATATTGAAAGACCATAACCAGACATAGAAACAAATATTTTTAACAAATGCCCTGTCCTTGAGAAGTTTATAAGTTAATTGAGATAAAAGGCAGATATCAGTGAACATAAGTAAATGTATGACTAACATAAAAATACTAACTCCTTGTTACCTGGTGTTGTTAAAAATGGAATATTCTGGTGAAACCCTATTGTAGTTCTCAAATAATTTCCTTTCTTTGGTTTCTAAGCAATAACTCCAAAATCCATTTTTAAATTGTTAAGCTATCCTACAATATCATTAAACATAATGTTACTGTACATGTTCTGAAACACCAATTAAAAGAAAGATATGATTAGCAGAATATCAGTTAACAAAGATTATATGGTTGGTGTAAAATTATTTAAAGTTGTGCTAAGCTTTTTATGAGGAGTTTTGGTCTACATCTATGCTTATATGTATATCTATATATGCATACAAACATATATGTAAAAATATGCCTATAAAATGGCAACCATATGGTATGTTTTGTATACATGTCAATGTCAGAAATCAGTACTATCAAAGTGTGTAAACTATGATTTAATTAGGATCTCCAGCTGCTTTCCACAAACACTTATCATCACTCTGACATTTTGACTCATTCACAATCTGGTTTTGTAGTGTTGCTAATAACTCTATTTCTTTACTGTGTTTATTTTCCAGTTACCATGTTGTACTGAAAAAATAATAATCGGGCATCCTATATGAGTATCATAATACTACGCTTTATTTTTATTGTTATTCATTACAGAATTATATTGTGATAATTGTCTGAGTGATATAGCCACTAATCATCAAATTCGTATAACTTTGATTGATATAACAGTTCAGAAATCTCTCTTAATCCAATATTACTATAGCCCTAGACTTTAATTTAATGACCATCAGGTTATCCTACAGTTGAGGATATAAATATATGCCCTAAACTTTCAATACTTTATACACTATCACTTTGAATATCTGTATAAAACTCATTCTCTGCTCTGCAGTGCTGACAAATAATGGCATAAGAAAATGCTGATATTATATAGTTAGAATGAACATCTCTTTATAACGTCCAAAAAAAGAACTCTGAGGTTTTATTTGTAGCTTCTCATGTATTTTCCTAACTTCTACAAATGAGTAAAGTTATTCAGGGTGGTTTGGTTTCCATTTGAACAAGGTCCAGGAGGTAATTGGTCAAAGAGAGAAAGGCTGGCATCACTGGCTTCGGTGTATTATTATCTTGGTGCCTGGTTCTAATGAATGCCATTCAAGGAGGCCAGATGCATCAGCCTAGGAAAGAGCCTGAAGAGGGACATCATTATCATTGATATTCATTGCTGATGTTGATGTGATCATTACGAGGAATAAGGATATCTGCCAAGTGTGTGGTGAAGTCACAAATTGCCAGCTACTACAAAAGAAAATGCCTTAACAAAGAAAAAAAATGAGGACATGTTCCCTGGAAAAGAACAGACTCTTATCCAAAGACAGAACTAATAATAAAGAGTCAATAAGGATGAAATAAATATATTTGTTAAAGGCAGGTGGACATACTTGGAGAAAATAATGTACCCTAAGATTATAAAATCACAATGCCCACTTGTAATAGGTTTCTCCTCCTTCCTATGAAATAAAAATCAGATTTAGAAAGGCTAAAGCATATAATTCAAAAAGTTTTAAAATTATGAATGGAGGATTGACTTCCGGATTCAAGAAGAAAATTCTGATTAAAAAGAAGTAAAAAAAAAAACCTTCAGATTATGTGTCTGAGAGGCTGGAATCTTTAATACAAATAAGAAAATATTTTTATGTTTCATTTTTCAATCATTTTGTGCATAAAAAGATTTGACATGGTTGCTCCTGGAACAGTTAGCTCTTAAAAATTTTAATGTGTATGAAAAAGCAAACGTTGTTGACATCCTCTCCTTTACTACCTGTGTAATGTGTGTGGTATCATTAAGATTTGAATTTGGCATTGCTTTGTCTTCACTATGCTGTGTTTACTTAGCAATTTTCTAACTTTCTCTATCCCCAAGGAAAACCATTAGGTCCCATTTGAGTTTACTAGCATTGTCCAGTAAATTTAAAATGCGGGAGACAGCTTGAAAGGAACAAGAGAGCACTATTCATTGGTTAATTAAGCATCTTACCTAAACAAGTCTTTTTTTTTTTTTTCTAGTCAGGCCAGCAAAAACAAAACTATGTTCAGCAAAGTGTCCATGCAGAAGGGAAGAAGAGAAGGAATCATTGATTGTGTAAGTGAGAAATGAGATGGTATTCAGTCGACCCAGCAGGGATGTCACTCTGGCAGCATTTGTGCAAGTGTGCAAGGCATATTGGTAGACTGCAGTGTGGCTGGTGCTTATTCCATGAGGATGTGTTATTCAATCTGTTTAAATAGAGAATTATTAAGACATGTTAGAAAAATTGTATTTTGAGAAAAACAATAATTTTTGAATGATGATGAAGGGCAAAGTGAAAAAAATTGCATATTCACACATATCTTGATTCAGTCTCCTTTCTTACCTGCAATACTGAATCAGCCATTTAATCAGTGTCCCATCTTCCCACCTCTAAGCTGCAGGCTCCCACCCCATCTAACCTCCAAACTCGTCAGAGTTACTCTCCTTAAATAAAAGTCTGATTATGTCACTCATTTGCTGAAAACCCTTCAGAGGTTCCCATCACCTAAAGGATAAAGAACAAAATCCTTAATCAAGCAGCAGAATCCCTCTTGGAACTAGTACCAGATGACCTTTTCTATTTTATTTCTTGCTGCTTTTCATCTCGTACACACTTGAGCATTAGCTGTATCAAACCTCTTTAGTTCTGTAAACTCACCATTCTCCATCATACCAGGCCACCGAACATGTGCTGGCTCATTTATCCATAACAATCATTATAATTCTCTTCATTCCATATATATGCATGTGTGGTGTGTGTGTGTGTGTGTGTGTGCACGTATGCATTCCACTGCTGTGGATTCTGTTATAAACATCCCCATTCTACAGATAAGAAACTGAGGCTGAGTAGTTAAGGGAAACTTTTATAGCTAGTAAGAGTCGTAGGTGTAATTAAACGTCAACCAGCCATTGTCCCATAACTTCCCCAAATGCTCCTATAGGTAATGTCACTATTGTAGAACTCAAGATGATTCTGTTGAGATGTTTTCCAGACTTTCGCATTCTGGCAACCAATTGACTCCACACGGATCCATGAGCATAATCAGGGCATTCGTCTTTCACTATCAATCCAGTGGCCTACTTTCAGAACTTTGCTTGCTATCCCCATAAGATTGGTGTCGGCTGGTTAGAGTTTCTCATTCCAAAAAAGAGAAACAATTCTGAGTAGGGTAGAATAAATATTACAATGAACTAGACTCTGCTACGACCATGTGGTCCCTTTTGGCTATTCATGCCAGTGCGTCAACAGTCAGAAAATGTAGGTAATGTACTCAAGCAGTAATGAACCCTAAATACCAAAAAAAGATGTAGAATTGCTGCCAACAAATGTGAGAAATAAGACTTATATTTAGAATTTAAAATTTGCTGAGAAAGATTGCATCATGTTTCTCTGCCCAGTGATAACAACAGAGAATTACTGGAACAATTACCCAAGAAAAACAAGGCAATAAAGACTTGGACCCCACAGGGATGTAGTTTGATTTTTCTATTAGGCAGCCTACCTGACCAAAGAACAAAGTGCTGGTGAAGGTGATGTCACTCTGTTTGGAGAGTATAGGAGGAAGATGATGAAACTCAGATGTGTCTTCAGGATCAGCTGCAATATCAGGGAGTATGGCTTATTTCATTTGCATTAAAACATTTCAGAGGCTATGGCTAGTCAGCTATTTAAACTCATATCATATCATCTTGGGGGAAGTGGGGGTTATATTTTTCTCTTAAAAACGGAAGCATTTGGCTTATGCCTGTAATCCCAGCACTTTGGGATGCCAAGGTGGGTGGATCACGAGGTCAGGAGTTCGAGACCAGCCTTACCAACATGAAACCCCATCTCTACTAAAAATACAAAAATTAGCCGGGTATGACGGTGTGTGCCTGTAATCTCAGCTACTCAAGAGGTTGAGGCAAGAGAATCGCTAGAACCCAGGAGGCAGAGGTTGCAGTGAGCCGAGATCGTGCCATTGCACTCCAGCCTGGGCAACAAGAGTGAAACTCTGTCCCCCCCCCAACCCCCAAAAAAGGCTTTACTGTAGAACGGGAACCAGACATGAATAGAGTAAAAGGGTATTGGAGTGGTTCAAGAGTTGGGCTGTATCAGAGAACTCTTGCACACTGCTTCAGATCTTCCCAGGCACAACTTTCTTTGGCCCCTTGTCCATTCATTTTGTTCCAGTCACAATATGACAACTTCTTGCTTCATGCCACTGTCACATGCCTCTTTCCTCTTGCTCCAGAGATTTTTGTTGTCTTGATGCATTAAGTGCTACATAACCTGTTCAACACCCATTTCCATATATGTTGGAAGTGGATGAGGATTAATGTTCCACAGAGAATACTTTGTCTAATGAGAGTTGAGAGCCAGTAGATGTATTATTCTCCCTTCTGTCATTGGTATGGACCTCATTATAATGCAATATGGTCTCTCAAATGACAACTCTATGCAGAAAAGCAATCAATTATAGTAACCAGCTCATGATCTACCAGCCATATTGACTTTCCTGCCTTTCCTATTTCAAAAGCCTCCTCCTTCATTCATTGGTTCTCTGGAATTACACTTATTGATAAAGTAGGGATGCATGATTTCTTTTTCATCTAGTTTTGCCTGCTGGAGAAACCTGGCTAAGATATCATATAAGGGCAAGTATGTGTTTGCTTTTATTTTATTGCCTTTTAGTCTGTATTTAAATGCATACCTATTAGGTGCCAACCATTGTTAGGCACTTAGACTATGAAGACATAAAGACATGATCCTTGCTTTAAAGGACTTACAATTAAGTGGGGGAAAAAGAATGACAGAAAGTAAATGGAAGTAAGTGCAAGGAAGAGAGGAGATACAAAGTAGGGAATATCTAAATTTGCCTGATAGTCAGTGAAGATTTAAAGGTAAGGTCAAACAGCAGGTGAAATGTAAGAATGACTAGCATGTTTTCAAGCAGACAAAATGAAGTCCTTCCAGCCAGAGGGAGTAAGGGTACAAAGGCATAAATGCATACTAGAACATGAGACATTTGGGGAAATAGCCAGTAACTCAGAAAGACTTGGCTATGTGGAAGATAAAGGTGAGAACTGAGATAACACAAGAAGGAAGAGTTTTAGGTTATGCAGAGAAACATAAACATAAAGGCTCTAGGTAGCCAATAATAAATTTTAAGCAAGAGACCAACATAAACTGATTTTCTAGTAAGAAAGCACTCTTGGAAGGTAGTGAGAAGGATATATTGGGAGTGGGAGGCAATTGCAATAATCTAGCTAAGAGATTAGGAAAGCATGTAGTAGGCAGTGGCAATGTGAATAAGGATGAACGAACATGTTGAAGAGACTTTCAAAAGGTAAACCCAATACTGCTTGCTAATTTATTAAATGATAGGAAAGAAGATAGGGGAGATAGAAGAGTCCAGGATGATTTCCCCTTTCTTAACATTAGTAATACACTGAGTTAGTGAATTCCACAAAAGTGCTACATTTTTGTAGCCTCAATAACTAGCAGCAGAGTGTCTGGTAGATAGATGATGCCTGTTAATATTTTTTTCTAAATTATCTTAATTTCCCTAGTACTCTTCCCTACCCTACTAACCCTACATACTGATTGCTGCTGGAAAAGTCAGCATAAACTAATATTTTTTAAAGAATCATTTATATATTTCTTTCCTAAATACAAATGATTTTAAAAATGTTCAGCAGTAAGTAAGTAAAATGCCTTGACTATACTCAGGCCTTGGAGCTAATGTATTTCGTTTTCACATTTATGAGTTGGGTATTCAGCCATCTGGATTTTCCACGTGGATCCATTTGAGAAGGAAACTCCAATGGCTTATAATACTAAATTAGCTTGTTTCAAGGGCCAAGCAACAGATTTCCTTTTCCTTGTCTATCTTGACAGCTTTCTTCTTTGCATTTCATCTACGCACATATTTGGGTAGAAATGCGTTATTCAGTGTGATTCCTGACAGCCATAATACTTAAGATTCGAAGTGTTTTGCCTCCTGAGAACTCAAGTCACATTTGTTAATTTTGATTTATAGCTAATGTTTGGTTCTCCACTCATGACTTTCACTTAACACACTTAATGAGCATCAGTTCTCACAGTGCCCCATATGTGGTCTGAGAATGTTATTTACAGCCTCTTGATGAGGGAAATGTCACAACAAGAGCTTAGATCTCAGCAGGCAGCAGGATAAGCTGGACTTGGGATGAGCTGGGTTCCGGGAACTTAATATATGCAATCCCGATGAGTCATATGCTCAGATATGAACCTTGCTCTTAGCAATATGTACCTACCCAGCCAGTTAGGATTAATACATTATAATGACAACAATTCAAAAATCCAAATGTCACAAGCAATCAAAGTACTATGTGATGGTCTCATAGACTGAGAAATCAAAAGGGCGTTTAAATTTAACAAGTAGGTCATAGGTGATTAAGACAGGCATATTTTCAATAGATTGCAGAGGAAGAAGCCTGATTTCAGTAGGTTGATTTTAAAATGAAAGTGAAAAATTGTGGGCAGATGTTGTAACTCCTCTTGCAGTCATTGTAGTGATAAAGGAAATAAGAGATAAGACTATAGATTGATTGTGAGATAAGGAAACAATGGGGAAGCAGATTTTAATACTGTTTTTGTAATGAGGGGATTCTTAATCCTATTTTTAGTTTTGAGGAAAAGAGTCAGTAAAGAAAGAAAGTTTGAAGAACTAAGAGAGAAGAGGTGTGAATAGTACTGGGGAAATGGGGAAAAATTAGTTAATGTGAAGAGAAGAGCCTGGTTACCTCAAATGCTGATGGCAGGACTTTGTCTTCTTAGATGATAAGTCACCAAGGACATAGTTGACTTCACACAGAGGATATTAAAAAGAAAAGCTGGCTGGGTACAGTGGCTCATGTCTGTAATCTCAACACTTTGGGAGGCCAAGATGGGAGGATCTCTTCAGGCCAGGAGTTCAAGACCAGCCTGGTCAACATGATGAAACCCTGTCTCTACTAAAAGCACAAAAATTAGCTGGGTGTGGTGGCTCCTGCCTGTAATCCCAGCTACTCGGGAGGCTGAGGCAGGAGAATCACTTGAACCTGGGTGGCGGAGGTTACAGTGAGCTGAGATCATGTCATTACACTCCAGCCTGGGTGACAGAGTGAGACTCTGTCTCAAAAAAAAAAAAAAAAGATGCTTACCTTCAGGAACCTGCTGTTTCAAGGCCTTGAGAGGGGTGCTAAAAATGTGTCCACAAGGTTGTATATGTTTGTAAAGTTTCAGAAACGTATGATATTTTACAAGCAATTGGTAACAACCACTATATATTTCTCCTCCATCTTCATATCCATCACACTTCTCTTTGTGTCAGGTGGTATAAGAATGGCTACAAGGATTTGGGAGATCAATCTAAGAGGAATTCAACTTGGGAATATATTTAGTTTGGGTTTTGTGGAATATATATGTGGTTTGTGGTCACTTTCACATCTTAATAGATGATTGACCATGATTTCAGTGTGGGACTATCTGGCAGGTATGGAATATCTTGGTAGGGGTGGAATACCCCTAGCACTCACGTGTCTAGTGACCTGAAGCAATGGGATAGAGGAGTAGGGCTACAAGTGTCCAGGTATGAAGTGTGATACTATCTTGCAGGTGTGGAACACCTTAATAGGAGCAATAGTATAGAAGAGTAGGGCCACAGGCTCTCCAGGTGTGAAGGTACCAGTGCTTCTAGTACAAAATTACATGGGCAATGGAGGGGAAACAAGATATAAAATGCATGAACACAGAAGCCAGTCTTTGAGGAAATTCTCCAAACTTTGCTTATATATGAAATAAAACTTTACAAAGCCTCCAAAGTTGACAAGTTTCTAAAATTTTATATGAATTTATCAATGAGTTGTAAAGCTGAAATAAACTTTTTAAAACAATTAATAATTAAAACAACTTTATTTTGTCATAGTTCAATTATCTTCTTCTCTAGAGAATATTATATTTAAAAATAATTCTAAAAAGGGGCTTCTAGAGAGTGTAGAAAAATCACATAGGATAAAAGTAGTTTAGAAGTGTCAGTAAATTAATAAAAATTATGCATTTTTTTCTGAAATTTCTGATGTTCTTTTTACCACATTTTAAGTATATAATTTATTGCAATAGCTTTCTCTTTATAAATATTTATTTTGGCACTCAACTTTTTATTAGCAATTTTATGCTCTTTTTCTCAAATAGGGTTCCCCACATTGCATAGATTTCAGGCCTCACAGAACCTGGATTCACTATGGCATGCAAGCTCAGCTCCTAGGAGTCGGGAGACCCAAAATTTGAGAACAGAAGGGATGAGAGACAGAAAGCCTGGCAGTTCATTATAGGAAATGGAACCCTGACTTCATACATTTCCATACTCTCAGAATAGGAGGAGTGGGAGGAAAGAGTGTGTGTATGGCAGTGAGAGGTGGGGAGGGTTATATTTACAGAGCATTAGAGCTTTCCAGACACTGTGGTAGACTAATTCACTTAGTCCTCTCCATAAAAATACGATCTGACCGTTATTTAGCACTCACCCACTTACCATCTGGCAGGTACTATTCCAAGTATTTTACATCCATGACCTCATTCGAACCTCACAACAACCCTATGAGATAAGTACTATTATTCTTCCCATGTTATGATTAGGAAGAAGTCTAATTAGTAATAGAGCCATGATTCATACAGGGCTATTTGTTTTCAGAGCAGCAACATTAACCCCTACAGTATGCCTGCTCTATAACAACATTAGTAAATCAGCTCTGTTGCTTCTCCATTAACTATAGAAACAAACACACTCTTAATAACTAAATAACTTGTTCAAAGTCTCACAGTTTGTGATAGACCTGAGATTTGGAGCTCTTCTGAGTGTTTTCAAAACCCATACACGTTTTTGCTGCACCAAACTGCCACTAATTAAGTCAAGTTACTATGTTGTGCACTCATCAAGAAACCTCCAAATTTGGGGAGGATGAGATATGCTCATGTTTCCAGTTTATTGAAATTTGAAAGTAATGAGTCCTCTTCTTGTCTAGTAGCCATTCCTCTGACTGTAGCTGGAGAGGAGGATGGGGAGAAAATTCTAATGCACTAGGTCTGTGCCCAATTGAGCAGTGGCTTTGGCAGGTCATAGCAGGCAAACTGGAGAAGCACTCTCAGGAGACATAATAGAAAAACAAACACTAGTTCAAGAAGGAGGAGTCAATACAGGCTACATCTTCATGCAGGTATAGTTTCAGATATGTTAGGTGACCTTTTATTTAATTCATTGTCAGAAAATAGTGAAGAAAATAAATTATCGTCACCTTTATTTTCAAAATCACTTTGTGTTTGTTACAGAGAGGTCCTTCTCATTATGCTTGTCACCACAAATCACCTCATAAACTATTAAACATATATGACATGGCTGATGACTAAGTCACTTCTTCTTCCTTGAGATTTCACCACATGGTACAGCTAGCACTGGCTACGGCAAATGGGAAAATATTTGAAAACAATATTCCTAATGAGTTATTAGTAAATTATATTTGTTGCTGTGGCTATATGTGCTTGGCATAAATTAACTAGATTGTAAATCACTTAGAAATTGCATTCTAGCTTAGGGAACAAACATTTATAAATGCAAATTTAGAACAAGCATGAGTTCCCAGAACATGACCTAAGAAGTCAAACAAGTGGGATAACCAAAGGCAAGACTGAATCTAGACTTTAGATAGTGGACAGGGCTAGGCAGATAGTTCAAAAGGAGATTCAAAAGGAGAAGCAGCACAAAGCGAGACATATTCTCAAGAAAAGGGTAAAGTGAAAATCAGAATGGTAGGAAGAGGGAGGACTGAGAAGACTGAGATTTATTTTTATTGAAGAACTATGACAGATGATTTTTGATAGGTAGTTCAGTGTATTAGGGTTCTCTAGAGGGATAGAATAGGATAGATGTATATATGAAGGAGAGTTTATTAAGGGTATTAACTCACACAATCACAAGGTCCCACAATAGGCCGTCTGCAAACTGAGGAGCAAGGAAGCCAGCCTCTGTCCCAAAGCTGAAGAACTTGGAGTCTGATGTTCGAGGACAGGAAGCATCCAGCACAGGAGAATGATGTAGGCTGGGAGGCTAAGCCGGTCTAATCTTTTCATGTTCTTCTGCCTGTTTTTTATTCTGGCCTCGCTGGCAGCTGACTAGATTGTGCCCACCCAGATTAAGGGTGAGTCTGCCTTTCCCAGTCCACTGACTCAAATGTTAATCTCCTTTGGCAAGACCCTTGCAGACACAACCAGGAACAATACTTTGCATCCTTCAATCCAATCAAGTTCACACTCAGTATTAACAATCATGGTCAGGTATAGATGTTGGAGCCCAAGTTGAGCAATCTGTACTTCAGAAAATGGAAAATTATCAAAAATTGAAAGAGATCAGTAGCAGGTGCATTTGACTGTTTTAGGGAGATTGATTAGGTGTCAATATGCAGACTTATTTGAAAAAACAAAGAGGCTCAGAAAAGAGATTGAGTTCAAAAAAATAACTATAGGATATTATTAAAACTTTCAGCAGGAGGTATTGAGACACCAAAGGAAGGTGAGAAGTACTGAAAGTCACGTTTTATAAAGAAACAAGGCTTGATGACATTGCAATATAACTGGTTGTGTGAGGAAGAAAGGGGAACACAATTACAAGTAGACATTGTAGGCAGGATATGGTGCAGTAGACAGAGGTCCTCCAAATACCAGGAAGGAAGAAAGGAAGGAAGGAAAGAAGGAAGGAAGGAAGGAAGGAAGGGAGGGAGGGAGGGAGAAAGGAAGGAAGGGAGGAAGGGAAGAGGGGGAAGTGAAGGAGGAAAGAGTGGGAGGGAAGGAGGAAGGGAGGGGGGAAAGAAAGAGAGAGAGAAGAAGGAGGGAGGAAGAGAGGAAGGCAGGCAGGCCTGAGAGACCAAAATAGATACTCTTTTATCAACTAAGATGGACCTTACCTTAATATTAAGGAACCAAGTTACCTATGGGTCAAGGGATCAGGGGCTAGGTGGCATGGCAAATTTCTAAATTCCTACAGGCAAACTCCCGAAAATAGGCACTATCTACTCTGAGTTTCAACGCAGACCACTACTACTCTGATTGGACGGAGGACCAGACTTACAAACATTTTTTTCAGACACGCAATTACAGACTTTAAGCAGGTTTCAGTCAGTTTATAGAGGCTGTGCACAAACTGTCTTTGTGTCCTATAGTTCACCTTTTGCCATAAAGATCCAAAACCTAGCTCATTTTAATTCTAAAACCCCACCCTGAAGTGAACATTAGATGTATGTCACATACATGTTTACCCAATCTGCATGCACTTGGCTCCTGTCATAAATATGGATAGCTTTCCCCTAAAACCTGCTGAATATGTAAACCTGCTGGCTCTGTGAGGCATAAAACCCAATCTGTCCTCCCCTCTTCAAAGAGAAAGCACCTTCAACACATGCCCAGAGATTATCTCTTCCTGGTTTGTAAGTTAATATCACCAATAAAGTGCTCCTTTCTATTATTTAGCCATTCTGGTGGTCCTTTATAGGATGGAAGAAGGAAGGAAGGAAGGAAGGAAGGAAGGAAGGAAGGAAGGAAGGAAGGAAGGAAAGGAGGAAGGAGGGAGGGAACAGAGGGAGGGAGGGACAGAGGAAGAGAGGGACAGAGGGAGGGAAGGAGGGTAGTATAGAAAAAGAAAGTTACCTCCTGAGATGTAATGCAATGAATTTCAAGGTTCATGGGAGAGACTGATGCTGTATGGGCAAAAACCAAGAGTCTGTCTGTAAATGTGTAACCTGTGTGGTTTGGGACACTCAGGAAGTGAACATGTGTTCACTTCCTTTGCTCTGCATTTTGGCTCACTAATCAAATTTCTAATTATTTATTTGATTTCCCATAGAGATGACATCAGGAAAGTATTGGCTGGAAACTGTGAATACTACAGGTTCTAGGAAGTACTATTCCTATTATAAAAAATTCTTTGGCATTCTTGTTTATACATATGTTCTCTGTAAATATGAGTTCAATGTGTTCAATTAACTCTAGAGCTTGGCAAGACAGAAGTTCTGAGACCAGCTCTCCTCTGTGTCCAATTAGCCAAGGTGATGCTTCTTGTTAGGCTCTGTCTCTGTGCTAGTTAGAATAGCTTTGCAGTCTCCTAGTATGAAACACATCTAATAGCATTGTTCCCTTTACACTGCAATCCTCTGCAGAGAGGACACCATTTCTTTTCTCTCTAAGGCAGCAGTCCCCAGCATTTTTGGCACCAGGGACCAGTTTCATGGAAGACAATTTTTCTACAGAAGGGGCGGGGGGTGGGTGGTGGTTTGGGGATGAAGCTGTTCCTCCTCAGATCATCAGGCATTAGAATCTCATAAGGAGCATGCAACCTGGATCCCTTTCATGCACAGTTTAAAATAGGGTTTGTGCTTCTTTGAGAATTTAATGCCTCCGCTGATCTGTAAGGAGGCAGAGCTCAAGCAGTAATGCTTGCTCACTCACAGCTTACCCCCTGCTGTGTGGCCTGGTTCCTAACAAGCCACAGACCAGTACCAGTTGGCAGCTGGGGTTAGGGACCCCCGCTCTAAGATATAACTTTTCTATTTCATCCTTGAAGGCTCAGTGGAGAAATTGAGACTTCCAATAAATGAATTGATATAATTTGAACATTTTGAAGGTTGTGATAGAAAACATTATCCTGACGCATGCTCACTTTTTGATTGTGAAACTGTACTCATGAATAGATATGACTTTTCAAAGTGAAGGTTCAAGAAAATAACCATAAAAATGTTCTACAGCTTCAGTTCACACAGACCCATGTGACCCATACTGAACCACAGCATTTTCTTTGTCTTCTAATGTGTAAGACAACTGTGAGAACTAATTAAATGTGCTCCTGCGGATTTGAGTTTCCCCCAAGGAAGATGCTTGAATAAGGCAAATATTATAAGAAGTAGTCGGTGATTATGGAGGTGTATTTAAATGACCCAGAGGTGTAGAAATTGAAGAAGCAAAATGAGTATACTATAGATTTTTATTTAATGTGCAGCAGGTCATTAACCTATGATTACATCAAAGGCTAAACATTTTTTTAAAAACTTTTCTTTTCCTTTTTTTCCTTTTTCTTCCTTCCATTATTTTACTTTCTCTCTGCTGGAACCTACAAAATACTGTTTTATCATGCCTATGTCTTGATTACATTTTAAAATAAGAATCAGGAATCCCATATGACCTATGAATGTAGAGAAGAGAAGAGAGAAATGAAAGGGTCAGGATGTATGTACATATTTGTGAGATTAAAAAGAAAACAGAACACTGTATCTTAGGAAAACAGGCAATATCTCAAAAACCCAAACCCAGACGTAATCAGATTTCAATTCAATCTAGCATCTTTTCAAATACTTTGCATCTAATAACAGCAGAAATGGGAGTGCATTACATCAAAATGACATATAGTAGAAGCTCACCCAGCTGGCAGACAGAGGATTCTAGTGCTTGGGATGGTGTTATTTAATGCATTCATGACTATTGCTTAAGCATGTTCAGAATTTTATAACAGAAGCATGAATAGTACTTACTGTATCTCAATACAGCCACATCTGCATACAAGGCATATGGAAAATGTATTCCCTCAAACACTTTACCACGAATTACCAGTGTTAATGAATATCCAGACATTATATTGGGAAAACAAATATTGGGAATGAAAGCAAAGGTGCAGTTGTTAGGAAGAAAGCTTTGTCCTCAGATTTATCAGTAAGGAATATTTCAAATGAGTTTTTATAGATTGCCATTTGATAACCTTATTATGAACTATGCTTTTAACATGGCCCCGTTATTCCCAGACGTCAAAGTGATACAACCACCAACCACCCTCTCCTAGGAAATGAGTTTTTGTGGATACTTTCTTCTTCCTCTTTTTTTTTTTTTTTTTTTAGGAGTTGGGGTCTTGCTCTGACACCCAGATTTGGAGTGCAGTGGTGCTATCATAGCACACTGCAACCTCAAACTCCTGGGTTCTAGAGTGCAGTGGTGCTATCATAGCACACTGCAACCTCAAACTCCCGGGTCCTAGTGATCCTCTCACCTCATCCTCCCAGGTAGCTGGGACTACAAGTGCATGCCAACCTGCTCAGCTACCTTTTCAAAATTTTTTGAAGGCACAGGTCTCACTGTGTTGCCTAAGCTGGTCTCAAACTCTTGCTCTTGAGCGAGTCTCCTGCCGTGGCCCCCCTAGTAGCTACAAATGGAGGCACACTCCACCAGCTTGGCTAACTTTTTAAAAATTTCTTTTGTAGAGATGGGGTCTTATTATGTTGCCCAGGCCAGCATAGGCCCTTTCAAAAAAGAGAACAGAGGAAATTGGGACTCAAGTGGGGGATGAATTCAAGAGAAAGCCAGGTGATCATTTACTCAACAGCAAAATGCCCAGATGTTTTCTAACGTAGATTATAAATGCAAATGCCACTTGCCTATACAAATGGCTATGGGGGTGCTGTACCCACCCCCTGGAATATGCAGAACGGTTTTCATTTCTCAGTTTTTCTTAGCTTCTGAATTTAGGAGGTTCCCTATTTTGTTATAAGTCTTTGTTTTGTGGCAGCAATTTTCCTCTTTTTATAGCATTTTTATGACCCATGGAAAGGCCTCTTGGCACAATATCTGGCAATGTTTCACCTCAGATACTGTCACAAAAGAATTCACAGCAGTAGAGAGCAGAGCTTCATCAAGGAATCCAACCTGTACTTGCCCCAGGTGTGACAGACGTCAGCCCTCAGCTATCCCTACTTACCCTGTGATGAACTTGGTTCTACACAGTCTCCCAAACAAATGATGTGTAAGCCTGTACAGCTATCAGGGAAATCTTTCTCATCAGTGGGTGAGTCTAAGGCTTTAAACCTCTATCTCAGGGCACCCACATGAGAACCAAACTGCTGTGTTCAGTCCCCAGATTTCATTGTGACCTCAATCCATCTAATTTTTTCTCTGGTTTCAGTGGCAAATTCAGTTCCCTCCTGAGCCTAGAACCTTGCAGTACATTGTAGATCAGTTGGCTAGATAACTGAACTTCCTGCTCATTCCTTTTCACCTCATTCTTGTCAGTTTCCAGTGCCCCATATCTGGATCTGAGCCCCATGGTCTCAGATGCTGAATGGGGCCCTGTCTGAACTTCCCCAAATCTCCCCGAAATTCTGATGCTCATCCTTAAGACTACCTCTATACTCTTGAGGCTATCTATCCCCCTCTTTGAGTCAATCTTGATTTTCATCCCCTACTCCTCAGCCTCACCTCTTCTAACGACACCTACAGAGGTAGGATCAGATGACTCTGCCTGCCCTTGGACTGCTGATTTGAATTACTGGAACTTCTTTATGAGACAGGCAAGTACCCTTAATTTGGCATACCCCAAATATTACTTCCAAGAATGTACCGTATTTGCAAGTCCAGGCAGTTTGGAGGAAAACACAGAAACTCATTTTTAGGAGAGGAAGAAAGCTATAGAGAATGAAGTCCAAGACATCCCAAACAAGTGGGAAGCTGAAATAGGGGAAGTAATTCTGATTTCTTCATTTCATCCCATTACCTGGAAAAGTCTGAATAATGTTGGAAAGATAGAAAGAGAGAGAGGGAGGGAGGGGGAGAGAGAGAGAGAGAGTGAGAGGGGAAGGAAGGAAGGAAGGAAGGAAGGAAGGAAGGAAGGAAGGAAGGAAGGAAGGGAAGGAAAGAGGCCAGGCTCAGTGGCTCATACCTGTAATCCTAGCAATTTTAGAGGCCGAGGAGGGTGGATCACCTGAGATCAGGAGTTCAAGACCAGCCCGACCAACATGTTGAAACTCATTCTACTAAAAATACAAAAATTAGCCAGGTGTGGTGGTGGGCAGCTGTAATCCCAGCTACTCAAGAGGCTGAGGCAGGAGAATTGCTTGAACCAGGAGGCAGAGGTTTCAGTGAGCCAAGATGGTGTCACCGTGCTCCAGCCTGGGCAACAGAGCGAGACCCTGTCTCAAAAAAATAAAAATAAAATAAAATAAAAGATAAAGAAAGAGAGAAAAAAAAAGAAAAGAAAGAGAAAGAAAGCAAATGACTAAACCAATAAAGTGATGACAGTAAAACCTAGATATGAAGCCCTGTAGACATGGAGACCTGAATTTTCTTTTCACTATTCCTCATTCCTATTTAGTTGGTTACATATTGGAAGATAGGATTGAAGTTCTTGCTTTTGAGCCTGATGCAGTCTGAATTAAAGTCAACTTGAGTAGCCCGGTAAGTCTAGCAAAAAGTAAGTCAACTTCTATTTTGAGGATACCAAGGATATTGTATTGTTTTTCCTTTTCCAGGTCCTTCCTCTGTAGCCCCAATACT
Organism: Homo sapiens; assembly: GCF_000001405.40. Classification (NCBI taxonomy): domain Eukaryota; kingdom Metazoa; phylum Chordata; class Mammalia; order Primates; family Hominidae; genus Homo; species Homo sapiens. The sequence goes on from NC_000008.11 coordinate 34,935,894, forward strand.
ACGCTTTAGTTATACCTAATCATTTCTCATGTGTTTCCTACACATCACCATACTATTTCATATTCCTGTGCTTTTTAAAAATAATGTTCTCTACTCCTGGAATTCCCTTTAGCTCTGTTTCTACACAGGGAGCACCTTTTGGTTTGTGAAAGCTAACATTATAAGTCACCTCCTCTCTGAAGCAATTTCCATGGCATCTGTTCTGTTGCTGTTAATGGGATAAATCATTTCTCCTCAGAATGTTGTACAAATCAGTATTATTTCACTGCTTGGTGGTGCTAGTGTCAGGAAGGGGTTAAATATACAAGTGAATAAGTAAAATCACATTATGATACTACAAATGGTAATCAATAATCATTATAGATTATGATGATTGTAAACATGAACTACAAATATAGATAAAGCAGTGAATGACGAATCGTTTTCAAAAAGCAATATTCAATGAATGTTTTCCTGGCTATACTTTTATATGGTTTTTCCAAAGGCTCTTTCCATGCTTTATGTCCTTAACTTTTTTTTGTGATTGATGTCTTGAATGAGACAGGTGACATGAGTATTTTGATTCACCAAACCCAGCAGGAATGCTAACACAGTTGACAACAAAATGAAAATTCAGAAGTGTTTCAACAGCTAGATAGATGGACAAAATTTAGTAGAAGGGGTACTGAGTACTTACACATTGTTGATGGCATTGTATATTTGTGAAACAGATTTTTTTGAAACTTGGAAATGTATGTCAAAAATATAAAATGAATGCATAACCTAAAAACAAAACATTTCACATCTGGAGAGATTAACTAAGAAATAACTTGACGCGTCATGTAAGTCTTATATATATGGATGTTCGTGGTATTTGTAAAATGGTAGTAATGGGGATTTGACCCCATGTCAGTAATATATACATATATACCCATAAATAATATATGCCTTAATATACATGTTATAAACCATATTATAAAGCATATCATATGTTATAAGATAAATAATATTGTGCAAAACTGTAAAACAAAAAGGAAAATGTTAGATTATCTGGACAATGTTATATAAAGACATTTTATATTTGCCCATACAACTGAGAAGTCATCAGGGAGTACAATGGCTCTCAGAGACCTAGTTAAAGCTTGATTTCCACCCTGCAGTCAGAATTTGTGGAACTATTATACAAAACCATCCCCAGAGTTTCTGCTCATTCCCAAGGGCTCAAGCACTCCTGAGCACCTACATTTACAGGTGATGTTTTAGGGTTTTATCACCCCAGGTAAAAATGCTCCATCCTTTTACCTGTTTCCATAAAAATAAGCCCACTCACACAAAGCAATGTGTAAGTTTTCATTGGAGTTACTGAAGATAAGGAGAGTTATACGGAGGACTTACATTGCTATGCTCTTCAATTTCCATCACTTTCCTTGGCTTCCACTCCTCCAACTCCTCCATGCCCTCCTCTGCCAAGTGTTCTCATTTTGTTCTCATTCTTGGTCCTCACCCCTTTGTCTTGGTGTCTGGGTGCCCTTTGATAACCAGGCCAAACCAGGAATCAACTCCTACCTTAAGGACCAACAAATACAGATATATGTGTGCCGGCTGTTGCAGTAATAATTCATTCCCAACAAATTACTTAAATATGTAAAAAGGAAAGGCAGCATAGGAATATATCAAAATATTGATAGCAATTAATTATTGGTGGTGAGTTTAAAAGTGATTTAAATTTTATTATTTATTCTGTAATTTCAAAAATGAACAAGTGTTACTTTTTCATTACAAGGAAAACAAGTTTTTGAAAATTGAATTGTTTGTGTAATGTACTGGTAAACTGTCCAAAAATAGAAACTATATCATAATTTGGGGGACTATTTTAGAGGTAATGGTATAGGATAGCTCTTCTAACTACAGAATTTTATGATTCAAGGGTTTTGTTAAGGTAAAATGACATAATGAAAATGACAGTACTTTGAAAGGTACAGATCTCCATAAAAGTATGCTATTATTTTGAGGCTTTGTAGTGCAGTGAGTGATAAGTACAATTGTTGGTACTGAATAGAACATAAACTTCTAGAACAGGATGGAACAGACGTTTAATGGTAGACATATGATAAAATGCACAGTGGCTCAAATTTCTGAACTCATCACAAACTCATGTTTGATAAAGACATCTTACATCTTATCTCTTCTCCATTATTTTCCTTTCCTTCCCTGCTTTCCTGAGTCACTTTTTTTCTTTTTTTTTTTTTGAGAAAGGGTCTCCGTCTGTCACTCAGGCTGGAATGCAGTGTTGTGATCACAGCTCACTGCAGCCTCAAACTCCTGGGCTCAAGTAATCCTCTCACCTCAGCCTCCCGATTAGCTGGGACTACAGGAGTATGGCATGATGCCTGTTAATTTTATTATTGTTATTAATAGTAATAGTAGTAGAGACAAGGTCTACCTATGTTGCCCAGGCCGGTCTCCAACTCCTGTGCTCAAGTCATCCTCCCGTCTCAGCCTCCCAAATGCCGAGATTACAGGCATAAGTCATCAGCCCCTGATTCTCTCTCTCTATTTAATCCTTGGACCATGGGAAGAAAAGTCGGGGTAATTGCAGCTTCATTTCATCACCATAAACTTAAGAATTTAAATAAGTATTGTCATATAATGTTTTGTTTACACCTATAGCAACAGAAATATTAAATCCTATTGTGACTTCTGGAGTTTCTAACCAAATCTTTTAATTGTGCATACAGTCAATATAAAGCAAACCAATTCATGAATAAAAATTAAGAAAAGCAGAGTTTATAGGTAGAAAGACGAGTACATATTTGGTGTTAGAGAAGTAGTCAGCTGTTTTTCGATTTGCCCAAAAAAGATTAAAATAAAACAAAGCCATTTTTTTTTTTTTTTTTGCTCATTGGACCTGAATGCATTAGGAAACCTTTTCAATTATAATGAAATCTTGTTTTTATTTTGGTTTTGCTTTGTTTTGTTTTCTACGGTTGTCTGAAAAAATTTAAATGGGTGTTTGGATGTAAGAAAGATCAAAGAAAAAAAGCCTTTAAAAATATGAGGTCCCTGTCATCATTTTCAAGGAGTGTCATCCATGAATATAAAACATACTTCCAGCTCCTTGAAACCTTAGCATTAAGATTATTGCACATTTTATTGGCCTTTCCTAGGCTCTGAAACTAGAAATTCATCTGCTTCTAACCTTTCCACCCAAGTCGACTTCATACATAAGTAAAGAGCAAGTTGAAATTACAGGGAGCTGTAAAGAAATGGAAGTTCCCCGCTTTCTTCTTTCAAAACCAATATTAAAATATATGAGGTGCAACTGTCAAACTAAAAAATTGCCAGATGATTCATAAGAAATGAGTGGCCAGCAGGCTAGCCTGACTGCTCCCTTGCATTACCAATTTTTGACAGGTCTTTGGGAAGGAAGATAGTTATTTCCTGTTAAGTCAGAGAGCAATGAAGCTGTGGGCTGCTGGGCAAAGGGGAGGGAGAATGACCAGCTGCTGAACAGAAGCAGAAGATAATGCCACTCAATGCGGCAGGTTCAGATGTTACTTTTTTTAAGTAAACAGCTTGTAAATGAAATTCCAAAGGACTCTATTTCCCCTCCTCCAGTTCTTATCTCTCACACCATCCCCCATTTTATCATCTCCCCAAGGAGAAACAGGCTTACCTGTGAGGCATCCTTTTAACTTGTCAGGGACTTAACTCTAGCTGAGGCAGCCAGAAATTACAGCTAAATGGATTTACACATTGGAGGGTGAGAATCTGCTTCTGTTCACTGAGCCACACCATTGATGCCTAATTTGTTGCTTACATGTCACAGCAGCAGCAATGCTTGTAACCAGCTTGCGCAAGAGGCAGGGGTTCAGAGCAAGCATGTGATCCTGTCCCATCTGATTTGGCCATCAGGGACAGCTTATCCCTGCGAGGTTCTGGACCAGCATCTTCCTGACTTACACAATAGAGTTGTAGTATGTGGTAAACTTGGAAAGAAAGCAAAGGGGACGTGAACTTCTGTTCCTATTCTTCAGAAAGCCCAACACCACTACTATGAGCATCATAATGAATAAGTTTTGAGGCTTTCATTGCAGACTGCCTTATATTGGGCAGTGTTCATTGACTTTGTTCATTCATCAAACATTTAATGAGTTTTTGTTTTACGAAGTTCTAGCTACTGCCTTATAAGGCCTTGATTCTTTTGAATATGTAAACTGAACATATTTATATTAATATATGCATATTTGCGTGTGTGCTTGTGTGTATAAATATATATGTATATACACATATAAATATTACACTTATAAATATATGTATATATATTTATACACACACACACACACACACACACACACACACACACATACACATATACAGGATCCCTGAGTAAGGGGACAGGGGTTATTCTGCTGGAATTGGATATTGTCAGGGTGAATTGCTGGAAGTTTCCATTCCATGAGAACCAAATAAATATAATGGGAAAAGTAGTGTTAAGGTATATTGTAGTAAATGAACAATGACAGAACTGGAATGGAAAAAGAAGGGACATAGTTTGTAATAGTCCTCTAAACACTAGGGAAGTATATCCTCAACTGATATATTTCATTTAAAATGAAAACAAAGTTGGTGTGCATCTTGTTATAAAGACATTCATTGAATATCAGTACAGGGAGTGGTTTGAGAGAAATATTGTATGGTACTAATCAGAACATTTTGTGACCTGCTCCTTAAGAGAAGACAGACGCAACTGCTGTCTAAATAGACTGAAAAACAGCAGTGCTAAATAACAGAGTGGTAATACCATGAGTGATTTTTTAAAAAGGAAGCACAACAACTAGTCACTGTTTGGGGCTTAATCAATAATACTAATACTGAGAGGCTAAAACCCTTCTCCATTACAGCATGATGATTGTTGAAGTGAGACATGGGACATAGAACAGCATGGGACATACCCCATGGAATAACACCAACAAACTTCAAAGTCAGCTTTGGGTTCAGCTGACAGTAACAGACCCGACAGCAGGTAGCAGGAGTAAAATTATAGAGTTTAGCAGAATGGAAACCACTGAGCACAGAAGGCTACAGAAGAGAAGGTAACTGACCACAGCAACTTAACTCTCTTGCTGGAAAGGAGAGGTTCTCAACCCTGACTACACTGATTATCACCTAGAGAGCATCTTAAAACCATCCCTACCCTGAAGAACCCAAATTCAATCGGCCTGGCATGAATTCTTGGCATAGGTGATTAGAATCCTCTTGGATTCTAATGTGAAGCTAGAGCTGAGAACAACTGCGCTAAAGAAAATGAAGGATTGGATAGGCTGGTTCAAGCAGTTAAGCCAGCGGGAACTGGAGCTATAGATTAAGGCTGTGTTGACCCACACTCACCCTCCTGAAGGACTCCTTCTCATTGCTGTGGCTTGAGAATGTAATTTACATATAAAAGATGAAATGATACACATAATTTATCTCTAGCCAGCGTATAGGTTAAAATCAAATCATGCTTTGTCCTATACTCTAAAAGAAATCTTAGGGCACATTTTTTAAAAATAAAAATGACATTGATACATTCTGAGTAAATTGATCAAGAAATTGTCTATTTCTTTCCAATGAAGCTAAAACAATTTTATTGTCAAGAAGGATTTCAAGAGAGTATTTAAAGGCAAGTGGGAGTCTGTTAGTAGAAAAAGAGAGAACATTCCAGACACAGGGCACAGAGGTCTGACAAAGAGGATTTGAATTATTAAAGGAAATGTTGAATAGTGTGTTTTTAATTTCTTCTTTTTTTTGAAATATGTTCTTCCAGAGTGGTTCTTTTTAATATTTATTTAGAACCTGTGTATCTCTTAAGGAAATGCCTTACCTATAAGATGAAACAGTAAAGCCATGAGCAAGTACAGTAAGTCATAAAACCCCTCCCCATGTTTGAATTGATAATGTGTCTTCCTTCTTGCATCAGTTTATTTTTATCATTATCAAGAACGGAAAATTATTAAGTATCCCTTGCACACACAGGATTATCCTAAGTATAGTCAAAATCTTTAGTTTCTTTTCTGTCATTTTGCCTTTAAAGATATTTAAAAATAACTTATAAAATAAGATTATAAATTCCTGCACTATCAAGCTGAGGATGAACAATATTACAATAAAAAAACCTTGGCTATACCAAAAACATTAGCCAGGTGTGGTGGCACGTGCCTGTAGTCCCAGCTACTCAGGAGGCTGAGGTGGAAGGATTGTTTAGGCCCCGCAGGTTGAGGCTGCAGTGAGTCAAGATTGTGCCACTGCACTCCAGCCTTGGAGACAGGGCAAAACCCTGTGGAAGAAAGAAGGGAAGAAGAAAGAAAGAAAAAAGAAGGAAGGAAGGAAGGAAGGAAAGAAGGAAGGAAAGAAAGAAAGAGAGAGAAGGAAGGAAGGAAGGCAGGAAGGAAAAAGAGAAAAGAAAACTTGGCAATATCTATGTTGGAAGTCTGGTTGTTTTGTTATGCATTACCATAAATCTATGTGAGGTGTACATGAATTTTAGTGTTATTATTTTGAAAGTAGAAAAACTAAAGAGAAGAAAATCTGAGTGACACTCCTAAAGATGCACACTGGATCAAGAATAAGATATATGCAGGTCACTTGATGACTAATAGATCACAAGAAAATCCATAAGTCGGCCACACAGAGCTATGATCTATCTCCCAATTTGCTGCTTACTAGTCATATGATTTGGCCATGTTGTTCAATGTCAGGATCCCCCTCTATAACGTGGAGACAGTACCTGTTTTATAGTACTGTTGTGAAGTTTCATGAGATGAGTATGGAAAGTGCTTACTATAGTAAGTACTTAATAAATGGATGCTATTATTCAATCTTCATAATTGTATTTTTATTATTGACAGGATCTGATTTATGTTGAAATACACAAGCTCCTGAACCACAACTAATCCAACATCTTTAAAAGGTGGCAATAGAATAAGCATTGCGAGCTTATATTGTTTTTTGTTTTGAATGATTGAATCTATTATAACACGCTGCTGGAGGCAATTCAGTTCCCATATTTTCTTAGCTAGAAGATGGAATATGAGAGACAAAGAGGAAGGTTTTTTTCCCCCTGGGTTACTGTTGCTGTCTCCTACAAACAGAGAGCATGTACTGAAGAGAGGACCAAGAGATGTTAGAGCTAAAAATATTTTTACAGATCTATAGTACAAACACCTTTTTAAAACAATGAGTAAAAACTCTAAACTTGAGCTAAAAGTTGTACCCAAAATCTCACTGTTATTTCACAGTAGAGACAAGTTAGAACCCAGATCTCCAGATTCTCCATCATTCTTTTTACTAAACAATTCTTCTATTTTTATAATTTTTATCTGTTATTAAATTGCTTCCTAAGCTTAGTGCTGCTAATTTAAATTATTTAAATCTTGCAACTTTACTTTTTATGTCTTACCCTTCAAAACTGTGTATACATTATCTAACCTGTGGAGACATAAGACCACTCTTGGGGATCTGCTTATCACCAGAAAAGGCCCTGAGATGACAAGTCCAAATCAATCCCACAAGAAGGGCAACTGCCTATATGAAATGCAGAGACCTTGCGAAGCCCTGGCAAGAAACTTCTGGGTCATATTTTAATAAAAAATCCCAAAGAAATTACATCATACATTTCCACATAAGATAAGACATTGGAGAATAACTAAGCTAGATATGCTTAGAGGTTTCAGAATGTATGCTCAATCTCCAATACCAAGGATATAAGAGATGATTATTTTGATTTATTGTAAGAATGAGATTTGAGAGGCATGGGATCAAAAATCAAATGCCATATAATTTGAAAATAAAGAAAAACTTCATGTGTGCTTTATTAATTAGCAGCTTAAAAATTAATCTTCCGAGTCCTATATCATTAGTTCTCCAGGTACTGTGATATAGGCAGTGCTGTCTTCATCAGACAGGTTCAGTGATTTACCCAAAGTTACACAACTCCAAGTTAGAAATCCAGTACCTATAGAGTGGGGTGATTGCCAGCATGTTGTCCTTTCTAACACAATACTACCATATTACTCCAAAAATCTTTGGAACGTATAGTTATCTGGTCTAAGGAAGAAATAAAAGAAACTGAAGTATGTATAGGGCTTTGAGGTTTTAAGAAATGATTTTCTATACCACTTTGAATATAAACTGTATAGACACAGTGCAAAGAGAAAACCACAACTGGAAAAGAATCTCAAAAGGTCAACTGGTTTGAGAGGGCAGCCAACAGAAGCCATCTCAATTTTAGTAGGTTCTTGATATATGGGTATGAACACAATCTGAAAAGACTAACCTAATATCTTCTTGACTCAGAGTTGACCCAAACCCAATCCAAACCTGAAAAAGAAGAAAAGCTGAAGCTGGAGGTTAGAAGCCATATCTTATAACATATTTTAGATGGAAATATTAGCAAACTATTTTTTAGCCTAATTGCTAAACAATAAACAAGCAAGAATACTTTATAGATACACATTTAAAAAGCAGGATGAGTTTAAATATAATAAAGATCCTTTATCTTGGAAAAATTATCCATATATTAGTTGCTTATGTATACACCCACACTCAAACATGGCAATTTCTTTGTTTCTTTCTTGCTTGCTTGCTTTCTTACCTTTCTTTCTGTCTTGGTGTGTTAAAATTTACCTGAAAAATCAATGTAGGGAAAGATAGACTATTAAGGAATGCCCAACCTTTTCTCATAGGAAAATTGAAAATACAAATTATTACTACATTAGTCACAGTCCTCCAGAGAAACAGAACCAAGAGGTTTATTATAAGAAGTTGGTTCATGCAATCATAGAGGCTGGCAGATTCCAAGGTTTGCAGGGTGAGTATGCAAGCTGGACAGCCAATGGTGTAGTGCCAGTGTGAGTCCAAATGCCTGAGAACCGGGATCATTGATGATAAAGTTCTAGTCCAAAGGCTGGCAGGCTCAAGACCCAAGAAAAGAAGATTTTTCAGTTTGAGTCCAAAGGCAGAAAAAAGCTAATGTCCCAGTTTGAAAGTCATAATGCAAGATGAATTCTCTTACTCAGAGGAGGGTCAGCCTTTTTGTTCTGTTCAGGCCTTAACTAATTGGATGAGGCCCGCCCACATTAGGAGGGCCATCTGCTTTATTCATTCTGTCTATTTACATGTTAATCTCATCCGAAAAATCCCTTGCAGACATACCCACAATAATGTTTGAACAAATATCTGGGCACTCTGTGTCCCGGTCAAATGGACACATAAAGTTAACCATCATAGGTAGTAAAGGTAAAGAAACCAATATTATAACAAATACATAAGAATTTAGAAAACCAGGCAAATGTGGCTCTTCAATGTCATTTACTTTTGGAAAAACATGCTCATTATAAAAATATTTATATGATGCCCCTTAGTCAGGTGCCTTTGCAAAGGACAAAGGTATTCAAGAAGAGAAATCCAAACCAAAGTTTAGGTTACATGAAAGATCAAGTAGATATATAGTCCAGAGCCTGAATGAAGAATAGAGAAGAAAAGTAGAATAAGCCCTTTATCCTTGCTTCGGCTCCAGGCATATCTATGGGAGGTTTCATGTTGCCATAGAGATACGTGTGTGTGTCAAAATTGTCTCTTGAATTCTTTTCTTGATTCTTCCCCACACTGGCAGATGAGACAAACATGAAGTGGAATCCAGGATTTCTCTACCTTTAGGATAATTTTGTCAATCACCATTTTCTTGAGAAAAGTGCTGAATTCTAAAAGACACGAAGAGAATGTGTCTGAATTTGTGTAAAGCATTGTCTGTAATTAGTACTTTTTAAGAGAAGCTGAGCAGGTAAAAATCAAAACAAACAAAAATGTAAGAGAAGTGGTTAGTTAAGTGTGATTTTTAAGAGCTTATTTTTAAGCTGACACAATAAACATAGGGGCTCTCTGACAGTTTTCCCTTATTTTCCATTGCATGCAAACAGATACTGAATATTCTTCACCATTAAATACCTACTATTTATATAATCATATATAGCTACATTTCAAAACACTATCAGATCTCTATTCATATTTGATTCTTATAAAATATCTCTAATGTTTATAAGAATTAGTGCCTCGCCAATTTACAGATAGCAAAACTGAGGCACAATTCAGGATGACTTTCCTTACATCCCAGAAAAAAAGTGGCAGACCTGGGCAGAGATAAGGCTTCCATTTTTTTTTTTTTTTTTTTTTTTTGAGATGGAGTCTCCCTCTATTGCTGAAGCTGGAGTGCAGTGGCACAATCTCGGCTCATTGCAACCTCCACCTCCTGGGTTCAAGTGATTCTCCTGCCTCAGCCTCCCAAGTATCTGGGACTACAGGCACATACCACCACACCTTGCTAGTTTTCTTGGAGGTTTCCTTTGATAGCACAATACCATAAATACCTTCCACTCTTTTCTCATAATTACTCCATAGATCATTCAAAAGTTTAATTGTCTTGTAAGGTGAGATGATACATATTTTCCCCTTTCCTATTTTCCAAGGATTAAAAATCTCAATTATATCTGGGTAGGAGGGACTTCTGTTACTACTTTTCATGGATTAAACAACTCAATTATATGTGGGTGGGAGGGACTGCCATTCTGTAGTTGTCTGGCATTCCCTGTCTCCCTGTGCCTGAGATGAAAGCCTGATACATTTGCTTTGCTCTTCTCTTCCATTGTTCAGGCAATGAAGGAAACATTACCCTAATCGTGCTCAATGTGTGCTATCTCTGGGCACAGCTGTTGTGTAGACCTTCCAAGCTCAGCCATTAAGGAGTCTTACCGATGGCAGAGCCCAGTGAGCGCTGCAATGCCAGATACGTGCCCTCTAATAACATCCATTTTTGCTTTTCTAGCTAATTCCAGGAAAGAGCCTGATGGGCAAGGTTTCGCAGTTCATAACTCTCTGTTTTGTCACTTTCCCTCCTCCTCTATAGGGGCAGCTTGTGAGCCAATTCCCAAACAGAGCCCATGGAGCAAAAGATTAGGCATGGCTTGGAGTCAGCTTCTTTATCAAATGAGCCCATAGAGTGTGAGCAAAGGCAAGCCTCAAAAAGAGATCTGCTTTGGCAGCTGGTTCACCAGTGAAGATGCCTGTAGCAAAAACTAAAAACGGCAGATTTTTCTGGCTGCCTTGGAATACAACAGCTTAATGTCGACTCCTCTTGCTTGGGAAATTAATTGGGACTGATTGCTGGTGGGCTTTGAAGATCACACTACTGACCTGCTATGGAGTTTTCTGGAAGTGGAATAGATAATGAGAATGTCTGATATCAAAAACTTGGTTTAGAAGGCACACTCACTTCTATCAACTCCTTTGAAGATAAAAAGGCAAAAATATGGGCTTTCAGTCAAATACCTCAATTCAAACCCCAGCTCTAATTTTACCAGTTGTGTTACCCAGAAAAAATTACCAACAGTCTTTAAACTCAAGTTTCTTTATCTATAACTGGGGAGATAACCATGCCTACCTTCCTAAGTCATTGTTTAGATTACAATCTATGTATAAGTTAAATGTTAGATATAATTTACTCATTCCATAGAATATTAGAATATATAGCATCGCTCATTAAGTGGTGGCTATTACTGCTTATCACAATAGTCATATAAATTAAGATAATTGTCATCATTTTAGCAATAAGAAAACTCAGGCTCAAATTGCATAGATTTGCCCAATCTCACAGAGCTTTAAGAAGTAGAGCTGAGACCCAAACATATCACTCAAACACATAAACAATTAATTCTGTCATTCCAGAAACATAGAAACTGGACAAATAACCAAATATTGAAAGAAGTTTCCAGTGCCTCACCTTGACTTTTTTCTCTAAATTGCATTGGTTTTTCTCCTGGATTGAATGTTCTTGCTATTCAAGAGGTACATTAGAGAATAAGAACGTAATTTATCTTGAGTAATAGCAAGAGAAGGAAAATCTGGAGTTGGGGGGATGGTACAGGAATCAAATACATGCTGCATTCCCATAAATTATTTTATAGAGCAAGGTTAAGATAAAGGAATAGAGGCATATCTGTTAGTATAAGGAAAAAAGTATAAGGAAGAATGGAACACATCTGCCAATGGAGGTGGATATAGGTATGATATGAAATTAATCGATCTCAATCAGCGGGAGGAAGAAGGCACGTTAGACAGAAAAGGGTTAGAAATATGTAAATAGCTATTTGTATCTGTGCCTTAGGCCTAGTTAGCTTGTAAACAGTCTCTTGGCATTCATTGTCATGCTATAAAACATGCTATAATAAAATTACAAAACTTTTATGCTTTCTGAAGGGTTAGATTCTTTCAGCATATCAAAATGGTTATTTCTGGAGAGGATTGCTGCAGGATCCAGTGGGCCACTGGAACCTGTTTCTTAGATTCTAACCCCCTACATTGTCACCACAGCTGTGCTGCCATACTGCTGCCTTACCCCTTCTATCTAAAGATACAAAGAGCCCTTGTGCCAGGCACTGTTCTAAGTGCTTCACATTCTCACAATAGTCCAAGAAGGTAATGCAAATGTTACCCCACACTAAAATGATGAAAGTGAAGCACAGAGAAGTTAAGCAATTTGCCTAGCATCATGCAGTTAAAGTTGGCATTTCAACACATGCAGTCTAGCGCTGGTGCATGTATCCAAGACATGCATCCAAGACAATATATTCCATACCAATTCTTTTCAAATTATTTGTGGCAAAAGATTTATTTTGATTTTGTTTTTATTTATAATATATTGTGAGCCAATACTTTTGTAAAATACACTAAAAGTCATTTAACAGAAAAATGAAATTAAAAGATATCCAAAATATCGACTCTAATTTTAAAATTATTATTAAGTTCAGCATGCATAAAATGAGTCTATAAATTGTTATGAAAGTTTCTAAATGCTTTCTCATTGCTTACTCTCACTGTCTTTGTGTCCCACAGTCCAGCAGGGGTCTCTAAACCACACTTTGATTAGCACTGTTCTAGTATTACTAGGCTGGGCACATTTTGTGTCAATGAAACCAGTGGAACTGGCTGCTCTACAACAAGGTCAATCTTGGTGCCACCAACCCCAGGCCTGTGTTTTCTAATTACCCGAGTTAACCACTCATCTAGCCTGACTGAGAATTCTAACAGATAGAGGAACCCTTAAGAACTGAAATCAGGATTTAGTCTGTGCCATTCTGAAAGGAGCTGAATGTTCCAGTGCGTTAATGTATAAAACCAATTTTGCAAAATGTCTTTTAAGAAATCACAATCTTCTTTCCTCCAGTTGTTCTTTTATCTTTTTAAAAATAAATTAATTTTCAAATTGAAACATAACTACATTTTTATGGGATACTTAATGATGGTTTTTGATTTTGTTTATGTTTTTTGAGACAGGGTCTCACTCTGTCACCCAGGCTGGAGTGCAGCGGTGCCATCTTGGCTCACTGCAACCTCTGCCTCCTGGGTTCGAGAGATTCTCGTGCCTCAGCCTCCTGAGTATTTGGGATTACAGGTGTGTGCTGCTGCAGCTGGCTAATTTTTTTTGTATTTTTAGTAGAGATGGGTTTTTGCCATGTTAGCCAGGCTGGTCTTGCAATCCTGACCTCAAGTGATCCACCCATTTCGGCCTCCCAAAGTGCTGGAATTACAGGCGCGAGCAACCGCGCCCAGCTGATGTTTCCATATATACAATATACAGTGAACAAATCGGGGTAATTCATTGCTTTTTTATCTTAGTATGACTTTCCTTTTCCTCTTGTTTTTCTCATGACCTAAAGTGCTTGGCACACTGCCTGAAAAATAGTAGGTATCCAATAGATGTTTATGATTAAAAATTCCCATTTATTTCAACAAATACTACTGGTATTAAATTTCCAGGTATAAATGACACCATGTAGGTACTATACAAGCCTGAAATGACAATATGCTCCCTATCAAGAGGTCAGTCCTAAGGAAAAAAATGTTATAGATGAAGGAGTTGGAAATACACCACTCTGGCATATTGACTATTTAAGTTAAAGGCACTTAAATAAAACAGCAGTTGCAAAAAGATCACCGTGACCTTTGGGCTATTTCTTAAAAACAGAAGATAAAACGACCATGTGAGGATGCAACGTTCTTATCCTCAAGGATGAGAAAGTTGAGGCCAAAGTAATTCTGTACAAAGAAACCTTGTTAAATGAATCTTTACCTTCCTAATCGTTGATCTACCAATTAAGTACTTGAGTGCAGTATATAAGTAACTCATTCTAACTACCTCTCAAGGTAGTCATTTCCTCATAAGGGCTCCCATGCCATGTAAAACTCATATTGAATTTGTGGGCATTTCGTATGTTAATCTGTGTTATGTCGATTTATTTATCAGACCCGATGGATAGAGGATTGAGTTAAAGTTTTGCTGCTCCTATACGGACAACATCCAAAGTAATGGCTTATTCAAGTGAAGTAGGGGAAATTAAGAAGGAAAGAGTTAAACTCAAAAGTGTTTACAATTTTGCTTTATTAAAATATTCAAATATTTTAATATCTATGCTGTAAACTTAATGTTATTATTATAACTTGGAGGCTTTAAGTAGTGCATGATTGCTCACACAATAAAGACTGTCTTCATAATAAAGTTTTGTATAAATGTCTTTAAATCAAGAGTGCTAAGCTTCATGTCATTCCTAAAAAATACAATTAGTCATATTTTCCTAACAATTCATAAATACGAGTCATGCATAATGACAGCATGCAGTTTGCCACATATGGAGATCAATAAATCAATTTCAGCATCTATTAAATGCTGAGAACTTTACTGAGTAGTACTGGTTAGGGATGGGGAGGAGGTTTTACAAAAGACTATAAAACTGTGTTCTGCTTAAGTAACATATAGTTTAGTTGGGAACACGCGAAGCAATGAGGCAAGAATGCATCTTCTCTTTGTATAGCAGGGTTCTGCTCCAACTTCCACACCCCGGCAATCACCCACCTGCAAGCCTAGTGAAAGCAGACAATGAAAGAATCCCTAGGATTTCACTAAATGTTGCATTATTCAGTTCACGCAGAGCATAGGGGAGAGGCTGCATAATCATCGCCAATATCTTTCCTGTTTCATACTATCAGACTTTAACACTTACCAGACACTTTAGAGATCTTTAGCCTAACTTCTCTCCTAGAAAAGAGAGCCCTGGGAATTAGCTTCTGGAGGTGATGCATATTGACCCATCTTCACTGTGTTACTTGCTTTCTCCATCCTCCATCCATTGAGTCTAATAAGTAAACTGACATAACACAGATTAACATATGAAATGCACACAAATTCAATATGAGTTTTACGTGGCATGGGAGCCATTATAAGGAAGTGAAGACTATAAGAAGCAGTTAGAATTAGTTACTTATATACTGGGCTTGGGTACTTAATTGGTAGATCCATGACTAGGAAGACAGTCTTTCACCTGCTAATTTAAGGTGACTGAAAGGGTTTAGGATGCCTAAGGATCCATGAAACACTCCCCATCCACAATGAATTCAAACCATATAATTCACTTCCATTTAAACAGAGGCTTTAACTTAGTCTATGTGTCAGAGTCATAAGAATCTCATCATTTTCCCCTTAGCCATTTAGACAGTTGAAAAAATTCATGGACTCTTAGAATAATGTGCACATATCAGAACCTTCCCTTCTCTTCAAGGAATGCATTCTTCACAAGGTTTTTTTCTCAAGTATTTCCCTTGGTCTCTTCAGCCTATCTTCCACCACTGGTAACAAATTTCCTATTATTTTCTGTGTAGATACCCTTTCCTTGAAGCCAGATTGAATCATTCTGTTCCTGATATGATGATGTTCCTGAAGAAGAGCCGGGACAAAAAAAAAAAAAGAAAAAAAGAAAAGAAAAAACCTGTAGTACTGTGATGATTGAACATAACAGGAAAGTTATATAAATGTTTTATCTCCCAACAGACAAATTTTTATGTGGCTACACTTTAAGAAGACAGGAGAGAAGTTATTCCTGAAAGAGCTGGTGAAAGAGGAATTATCCAGGGCAGGCTAATCTATGAGGTGTTAATAAATAAGTTCCCAAATATTAGTGAGTCTACACAAAAATGGTTCATTTTCCCTTCTGCAAAGCCAAGTGTAAAATTCTCAGCCAAAGGATGACTCAGGGATCTAGGCTCTTTCTGCCCATGGGACCATTATCCCCTAATGCAGACTTTCTCAGAATCCAGAGAAAACTTAAGATCTAATGACCTAAGGGATCTATGAAAGTAAGGAATTAAAGTAACTCATATGCATCCACTAACTATGTGCCATCCTTGGAAGGACTGAGGAAATAGTCATACAAATAATTTTAAATGGGCCTTAACTTGCTCACAGAACCTCAGCAGTGAAAGACTGCATTAAGGTCTCCTTGGAGTCCTCCACTAGATCCTCTGCGTCCTACCATCCAAGAGGGAAGAATGTTGAGGATTGCCTGTGACAAGTGATGGCCCAGTCAGGCAGTGATGTGAAACTCTTTCACTCACATTCCATTGACCAGAAATTTCATCCCTAATCATAGGAAGACTGGAAAATATAATCTTTTTATGTGTCCAGGAAGAGAGAATAGTTTTTGAGCATCTAGCCAGTCTTTGCCATAGGAGCTACGTATAGGTAGCATTGGAAGGCTTTAGCTTACACATCGTGTCTTCCTGGTGGATCATCTAACCTATGTAATGCACTTAAAATAATGTCTGGCCAGGCACAGTGGCTCACACCTGTAATCTCAACACTTTGGGTTGTCGAAGCTGGAGGATTACTTGAGCCCAGGAGTTTGAGGCCAGCCTGAGCAACATAGGAAGACCCTGTCCCTACAAAATATAATTTGAAAAGTATCCCATCGTCAGTGTTATGATTGCCATTACCCAGCATGAACATCACTCTGTTAAAGATGACCTTCAAAAGACTTTGTTTTGTGGGAAAAGAGAGTAGTTCCTATGGGTACCATCTCGATCTCTTCAATTAATTTATGGTCCTAGGTATTGTTCACTAGTTTTATCTAATTCTCAACTTAGAATACAGAGAGGGCCTGACTCTAGGAGAGGGGGACCATTTCATCAGGGAAGACTCACTGGCAGCTAGAAGCCTTGAGTAGCTGTGAAAACAGAGGTCCCAGTCCAGAGTCCCAACAGTAGATGTCAAGAGCTGGGATACCAGACAGGGAGAGTAAGGCCCTCTAGACCAGGTGCTGCATGCAGGTGCTTGCCATGGGCTTGAGCAGACCAGTGCAGAAGAGAGAAATCCTCACAGGCAAACTAGAGTATGTGGGGCTTCATAGAATTATTTCCTCTCACAGTTCTCCTAGTGCTTTTTCTACTTCCCAGGACCTTTGGTAAATGTTTTTGTTTAGCCCTTCTCAGTCGATGAAATTTCATTGTTCCTCTAAAATGTGTAATTCCCCAAGGGAAACTTTCTTACAAGCTTTAGTGCACACTGGTTAACTCCCCAACTTCCCCATCTCAAGTGCCAGCCATGTGCTACTAAGTACTGAGCAGGGACCCCCTAGGGCAACACAGGATGACTTTTTACTGCTTACTGCTCTCAACAACCCCATCCCTTCCCCAAGACACAGACCAAAAAACCATATCTGCACCTTTACTTCTCAAGGCTAAAAAAGCTGGAAAGATTAGAGACAGAAAGATCATCCACCTTACTGGATTTATTTTTTCCTCCAAGTTGCACTTATTCTGAAGTCGAGGGTTTAGTTAACACTTAAAGTGTCCCCACTTGACAGGAGAATGAAATGACTGTGAAGAAATGGCTAACAATCTACCTTCCATAGAGAAAAGACACTGGATACACTTTTGGAAAGCAGTCATCCTTCTTGACACTTTTAGGTGTCTTTCTGTCTTGGAGACAAATGTGATGGTCCATTTCCTATGACAGTTGCAATTTCCTCAATGCACTGTTCTTTCCCTTGGCCTCTAATTAAAATTTTACCTATCCTTCAGATCTCAAGGGAGATGCCTCCTCCACCATCTTCCCGCGCACCTCCTGCAACTTTCATGGTCCTTATCCCTTTTCTAAAGTAGACTTGAGCTCCCCTAGTACATTAGGAAGCTTGCAGGAATAAGATTTTTGTCTGGTTCATTTCCGTATACTTCACAGTGATTATTTAAAATCTTAATAAATACTTTGAGATGACGGAGGTCCTGTCAGCAAGACCACCTGAAATGACACTGAACAAATCATATCTAAATGTTGGTTTATCACAGGATAAAAGGTGAATTTGAACAAGAGTTCTAGGATGCACGTGAGATTCAAAAGGAATTTCATGTTCACCTTCATTATGTGAACACAGTATTTCCCACAGAGCAAAGTTACAAATTTCTGTAGCAAAATATTGTCTCAAGTCTCAAAATGTATACAGAATTGTTTATTTTGGTCTCCTTGTACATAATTTATCCAAAACATCCTACTAGTTTATTGGTAATAATCCTACTAAATTATTAGTAATAGTTAAGGGTCTTAACTACAGTGGGCACCTACAGGCACAGTTATGAGGGGATGTAGGTACACATGACCTTCCAAGTATATGTTTAATGCCAGGCCTTTTTCTCCACACTTACAAACAGCACAACTAAATTTTACTTATTCTTTCTTGACTAGGCATGGGTACTTGTGCTAAGCCTTTCAGGATCTGCAATGATGAATAAGTCATACCCAAAAGTAGCATCTATTTTACTTAAGAAGAATGAGGCACATACAAAAATAATAACAATGCACAACACAATATAACAGCTTTCAAATGAACCATCTAAAAACGTTAGGAGAGTTCAGAGAACGAAAAGATCACATCTGTTTGAATGAACCAGATAAGGAAACTTATTAGATGGCTTTTGAGAGAGGCCTTGAAATAGAGTCAAATTTAACTGCAACATGATGTGATTAGAAGTAGAGAGTCATTAACAATAGGAGCAGTGACAAAGAAGCCAAGCACATAGTGAAAGGATTTTCATCTTTTGTGACACAACAATCTTGTCATCTTGTTTAATTTTCTTGCACCTGTAGTCTTTCCTTAACTTTATTCAGATATTATGTTATTTAATTTACTTAGTCTGAGACAGTGTGAGATATGATATGTGTGTGTGTGTGTGTGTGTGTGTGTGTGTGTACGTGTAACTATGTATTAGTTGCATTGCAATGCCTTTTATGGTTTTATTCTAAGACTGACCCTATCTAAGAATTATTGGCGTCAAGAATAAGTGATGAGTTTTCAACTTCTTGGCTGGTTTTCACAGCTCTAACTTGATATTTTCCTTTGCTTTGAACCATCATTGTTGTCTCTGCTTTTAGCTTCTCTACGACTTTAGCTATTAACATCTATTTGGTTTTCTCCAAAACTTCACTTCCTTTGGATTTTGACTATTAATCTAATGTCCCTAATACACTATCATTCTAAACTGGGAAACCGGGAAGGAAATTATTACATAGTTAAACATCAAACAGAAAATGCTCAACAGAAGATAACTTTGTATACATTGGAAATGACACATTTTCTTCAATAATTTTTTTTGCATAAAACAAACATTTTAATTACACAAACAGATGTCACTTTCACATATAACTAACACTTTCCTGTGCTGATTGACCGTCTTATATACAAGTTATGAAATGAAAATGAATAAAAAATGTTAAATTTTTACGATAAAAATAAAAGTAGACCTGTAATTCATAATTACTTTCTAGTTTATTCCCATTCGCTAATCTCTGGCAGTCTACAAATGAATGCATTAGGAAATAATGCTGTCTTAGTCTGTTTTGTGTTGCTGTAAGACAACACAAAATACCTAAGAATATAAGAACACCTAAGAATATAAGAATACCTAAGACTAGGTAATTTTTAAAGAAAATATGTTTATTTGGATCACAAATCTGCGGCTGTACAAGAAGCACGGTGCCAGCATCTGCTTCTAGTGAGGGCTTCAGGCTGCTGCCACTCATGGTGGAAAGCAAACGGGAGGAGCTTGTGCAGAGATCCCATGGAAAGAGAAAGCAAGGGAGAGAGGGGAAGTGCCAGGCTCTTTGTAACAACCAGCTTTTATGGGAACCAATAAGAGTGAGAACTCACTCATTACCTTGGGGACAACACCAAAGAATTCATGAAGGGATCTGCCCCCATGACACAAATACCCCTCACTATGTCCCACCTTCAACATTAGGGATCATATTTCAACATGAGGTTTGGAGAGACAAACATCCCAATTAGAGCACATTCGCAACACACTGTTATATGCTTTAGATCCATGCCAGTCTTGCTCTCTGTCACTGCTGTGTTTTTTAGCTGGCCCAAATGAAAGAAAATCAACATTTGATTCATCCCTATTTGGTTTCCTTTGCAAAGTGAACTTAAATACTAATGAATCATGATGATGATGGTATATTATAACCACTAAAAAACTTTGAAAACATAACGAGCACCTAAAGAAATTCTATTTCTCCCCAACTGCTCCATCCACCTAGCCATATAGCCAACTGGCACACCGTCTATTACCATCCCATTTTCTTCATTGCCTCATCCCCTTGGCCTGTTTCCAGAATCCTCTACCTTGACTTTTTTGCCAGACATTTAACTTGAGGCCCTCAGAAAGAAACCAATTTAAAGGGAGAACAAGATAAATTCTGCAGTTTCATAAAGGTGGTTGTTTTCTGCACTTAGCTAAAAAAAATTAATTTTCTTTGTGCACCCACATCAGTGTTGTGTGCTTTAGCAGATAAGCTCCTTGGAAGCAGGGACCATGTTTTCATTAATTAGGTACAGGCTTTTTTAAAGCTTTTCATCCTGGACCAAGGTCTCAAGGTCCCTATAGGTGCTCAATAAATATTAAACACCAGCGATTACTGTCTAATGGCATTTATTAAGCGTCCCTTTGCACACACTGCTGTTCAGAGAAAAGTTCAACAAAGTCCTGCCTGCTAGGAGTGTATGCTAAGAAATTAACAGCACTGACACAGCCTTGCACTAAACTGATAAAATTAATGAACCCTTTTACATTGTGTTCAAAGACACAAAGAATCTACATAGTGGTCTTAAATAAATATTCACACTCTTTATTTTGGTTGGTTTTCACTCAAATTGGCTATCATTTATTGAATCCTGAGTCATCAGTCCTATGGCAAGTTCAGAGAAATGTAGAGTATGCTCTTTACATAAAAGACCTCACAACTTATTCATAGTTACTTAAATTTTAAGTTTTATAAATAAGGTAACTGCTTGCATAATTGCAGCAGAGACACACGAAGAAATGGTTTAAGTGGGGTTAGGACTGGAGTGGTCTTAAGTAAATGTTGAGCAGATTTCTACAATTATCCTTTATTAAAGTTACATAGATTATTTATTTATTTATTTTTAGTTTTTAAAATTTGTATAAATGTAAAGGATAAAAGTGCAGTTTTGTTACATGGATATATTGTGTACTGGTAAACTCTGGGCTTTTAGTGTAACTATCACTGAAATAATGTACGTTGTACCCAAAATATCTTCTCATCTCTCACCCCCTCCCACCCTTCCACCCTTCTCAGTCTTAAAGGTTTATCATCCCACACTCCATATCCACAAAGCTAAACATATTGCTTAAAAAATACAAATTATACTTCCTATAATCTGTAACTGAGGATGTCAATCAGATACTCACCATCTCACCTCCACTATCTACAACATTATTTTAAGCTGTAACCATTAAATAAGGCAATTACTGATCATTTTCTTTCAAAGATAGAAAGTACAAATTCAAATGATCCAGAATAACATTAGCTCCCAGGTGACTCTGGCACTTTTGGAATGGAAAAACCATCTACACAATACCATAGCCTTTAAATAGGCAAAGTGTCACTAATGATGATTCATGTGCAAAAAAAAAAAATTCTTTAAGAAGATGATTCTACAGATTTATATATATATGTGTGTGTATATGGAAATTGAAGGCCCCTTACTTGGATGTTTTCCCAAGGTTTTAATGTGTTGATAGATTACTATACATTACCAAAAGCATTTATTCATCTTCATTCATCCATTCATTCACTCACTCACTCATTAAATTTTTCACTGAACACAGACTGTATGCCATTTAATGTCCGCTATATGATGTACAAATTATTGAACAAAACACACAATCTTTGCCTTCATGGAGCTTACACTGTAATTAGAAAAGGGAGACAGGGGGTGCTGGGAGCTAGGGTTGCAATTTTAGAGAAAATGGTCAGAGAAGGCTTCCTTGACAAAGTGACACTGAAACATTGATTTGAAGACAGTAAAAGATTAGGCACATGAACATTTGAGACAGCAACCTCCACGATGAAGCAAATGTGCATGATAGGGGAAGCTGCCTGACACACGTAAAGAATTCACTGCAAGGAACCAGGGAGACCAGAGCATAGTGAGTAAACATCTAAGTAGCAGGAGTTAGTAGAGGAGGTTAGCAAAGGGAGTGGTGTGAGAAGGAGGGGAGGGCTATGGAAGGAAAGGCTAGGTACACACATCCTATAGCCTGTGTAGGGCTTTCACTTTTACTCTGAGTGGAAAAGGAGCCTCTTGGAGGGCTTTGATTATTGATGAGATAGATATACACTGACTTAGAGTTTAATACAATCACTCAGGCTATTGTGTCAAAAATAGACTTCAAAAAGACATAGGTAGAAACAGGGAGATGTGTTAGAGGCTACTGAAACTCTGTATATGATAGATGGTATTGACATGGACAAAGGAAAGAGGAGATGGTAAGAAGTATGGTTATAACTTTCTGTATCTATTCTGAAGGCAGAACTGATAGTATACACTGATGAGAGTTCAGGTCATCAAGGTTGTTGCTAAAATTTTGGCCCAAGAAACTAGAAGAATCAACTGCCACTTACTGAAAGAGGAAAGACTGAGACCGAGGCTTTGGTGGAAAGGTCAGGGCCTCAATTTTAGATGTAATCAATTTGAAATGCCTAGTATATACCAAGAAGTTGCCGGGTAGGCAAGAGGAAAAATAAGTCTAGAGTTCAGAGAAGTGGTAACAGGCCAAAAATATGAACTTTGGTGCCAGTAGCACGCATATGATTTTTTTTTTTTTTTTTTTTTGAGACAGAGTCTCACTCTGTCGCCCAGGCTGGAGTGCAGTGGCGCGATCTCGGCTCACTGCAAGCTCTGCCTCCTGGGTTCATGTCATTCTTCTGCCTCAGCCTCCTGCGTAGCTGGAACTACAGGCGCCTGCCACCACGCCTGCCTAATTTTTTGTATTTTTTAGTAGAGAGGAGGTTTCACCGTGTTAGCCAGGATGGTCTCGATCTCCTGACCTAGTGATCCTGCTACCTCGGCCTCCCAAAGTGCTGGGATTACAGGCATGAGCCACCACGCTCAGCCACACATATGATTTTTAAAGCCATGAATCTTGATGGAATTACCAGAACAGTGAGTGTTCGACCAAAAACAAGTTCAACCTTAACAGGTATATACAATTAAGTGAAAAATTACTTAGGCTTTCTGAGTCTTAGTTTTCTCAACTGGTGGAAAAGAAGCTAGTCAAGATTATTTCTGCGAATTCTAGCATGTTATGGTTTGATCTATATTTTAATAATTGATAATTTATTGTTAATTTATATATATAAAATTATTTTGTTTTGATGGTATGTTTGTCATTTGAGGAGAATTATACAATAATAAGCATTTTTAAGTAGGAAAAAATATGGTTTTAGTCTAAAACAAAGAGAGATTATCATAACATTTCAGATGGAACACCAAAATTACAAAAGGCCTTTGTTGCATCTGGAAGGTTAGAAAAAATGGTTTCTATAACTATAGCCTACATATCACCCTGAATTGCTAAGGTGTCTCTATGGAGTTTCGTCATTATTTGAATCATACAGTCCCTCTGTAGAGAGTCTTCTTAATTAAAAACCATTTTATTTAAGTAACTGGAGAGAGATCCTGGGAATAAAGGCAATAAAATTAAAATTCTTCTTTTATTACTTGTGTGTTTCTATAGGAAAACAAATGTATGTATATCCAGCATTTCCTCATTAACATATGCAGATATTTTAGGCATGATAGCAGCCCATCTCTAAGATGGTAAAAGAAAATATTTGGCATCAACAACCTGCATTTTGGACACTTGCCTTTTTTGAGTCATTATGGATACAATTAATTATTTTCTAGACAAATCTTAGATTTCCTTGCTGGTAATCATTGTGTCTTATTTCTTTTTGTTTCGCTTTCTGAAACCAAGGCTGAAATGGCTTTTAAATGAGAAGTTGTGAAGTTTTATGAGGAAAGGCTTGCACATGTAATGTGAGCTCAGTAACAGCCTGATTATCAAGCACAAGTACAAGATCCTTTTCCATTTCCCAAGCTAAACATAGATAGAATTTTCTTTCAAACTGATATTGCTTTAGTAGGAACAGACTAAAGACAACGGTAAAATCAATAACATCCTTTGAAAAGTGGTAGTATATTGAATTAGTCCATTCTGTGTTGCTATAAAGGAATATCTAAGAAAAGAGATTTATTTTGGCTTATGGCTATACAGACTGTGCAAGGAGCATAGTGCCAGCATCTGCTTCTGGTGAGGCCTCAGGAAGCTTATAATCACAGCAAAGGCAAAGGGGAAGCAGGTGTGTCACATGGTGAGAGAGAGAAAGAGGGAGAAGGAGGTGCCAGTCTTTTTAACAATGTGAACTCATTATAGCAGGGAGGGTACCAAGCCACTCATGAAATCACCAAATCTGTTCTGGTGATTTCATCAAGACTCATGGTTTTAAATATCATATGTGTGCTACTGGCACCGAACTTTATATTTTTGGCCTGTTATCTCTTCCCTGAACTCTAGACTTGTTTTTCCTCTTGCCTACCAGGCAACTTCTTCTTGATATATACTAGGCACGTCAAATTGATACATCTAAAATGGAGATGATGACCTTTCCGCCAAAGCCTTGGTCTTAGTCTTTCCTCTTTCATAAGTGGCAATTGATTCTTCTAGTTTCCTGGGCCAAAAAATTTAGCATCATCCTTGATGATTTGAACTCTCTCATCAGTGAATACTATCAGCTCTACCTTCAGAGTAGATTACAGAAAGTCATTCATGAAGAATCTGTCCCCATGACCCACACACATGCTTCTAGGCCCCACCTCCAAGACTGGAGATTACAGTTCCACGTGAAATTTGGAGGAGACAAATATCCAAACTATATCATGTATGTTAGAATGAGCACAATACTTGGAGGAAAAAATGGGAGCTAAATTCTGAGTTGGTCTCTTACATTCTATGTACCTAAGCAAATTATTTAATCTTTGTCAGTATCACTCTCTCTATCTGAAACCTCAAAGGGCCATTGGTAAGTTTAGATAAAGCAATATATAAAAATGCTCTCTATAGAAGAGGTAATTGGTGTGTTACTTCCTCAATTTATAAAATATCTTATTCAAGTTTTAACTTTCTTAAGATCAGGATATCTTAAAATCTATATTAAAATCATTGATAACCCACCAATAAAATGTATACATTTTGATAAAATTGTTGTTGTTTATATTTATAAACTTAGACAAGAGTAGAAATTATCTACTTACCTTATTACCACTGTATCTTAGTATTTGAATAACAATACATTGAGTTTTACATGGATTTCTAAGTTTAGTTTAAATGAAAGTCATATATTCAGAAGAACAGAGGAACAGATCTTAATGGTATATATGCATAATACTGAATGTATTTGACAGGACTTAAAAAGAGAAGATACTCACAGGGAAGGAAAGTTATGTATCTTCCTCACTGAGACACATGCAAAATGATTTCCTGACATATGCCAGGAAAATCAGTTAGAACCTGTAGAAATCACCAAATATATTGAAGTACGTCATAGAATTTTCAACGTCTAGAGGGGTTATATGGACAGGTCATGATTTGTGAAAAATTATCACTCAACTGCTGAATGTCTATCTGCTGAACACTTTCCAACAGACTTTCAAGAGGGTCTGTTTACATTCCATAGATATTTAATTTAATTAACTAACTAATTTGACACTAAGTCTTAAAAGTGTCCTGTAAGGACTAATGGTTGCCTGGAGGTCAAGGAATATGATTAAGCAATGCAAACTATCTTAGTGATACTTCACTTCTTTGCAGTGATTAAAAATTTAACTCTGAATATAAAGAGATCTTGGACAAAAAAATGTGTTGTGTCCTTCTGATAAAGTATAATTGCATTGATAAATGCCCACTATTTTTGTTGGCTGACTAAAAAAAAATCAATATTTATTTTCTTCCCTACCCCCCCAAAAATTTATCAAAAATAACATTCATAAATGATTTCTACAAGGAATTGTGAAAGTTTATCAGACGAGTTAGGGCATTCTTGTCATATTCAACTAAAACAGAGTCAAGAATGCAGGGGCAAAAAAGCACTCAAGGCACACAACATTGCTCTAAGAATATAATTTTCTGCAAACCTGGCTGCTGAAGCTGCCTGTTGTAACTTGAAACCAGTTTTACTTAATAGTTACTGAAACAACCTTCTGCAACTCTAAGACTAGTTTTACCCACCACCAGACAGAGCTTTCCAGCTCCCCAGAACATTACTTGTGCCAATGAATTTTCTGAAAAATCAATAAATAACATTTAATCCTTTTATAAAACCTTCAACCTTCTATTTATTTATTTATTTTTAGACAGAGTCTTGCTCTGTAGCCCAGGCTGGAGTGCAATGGCGTGATCCCGGGTCACTGCAATCTCTGCCTCCTGGGTTCCAGCTATTCTCTTGCCTTAGCCTCCCGAGTAGCTCCGACTACAGGCGTCCACCACCATGCCCAGCTAATTTTTTTTTTTTTCCTAGTAGAGACGGGGTTTCAACACGTTGGTCAGGCTGGTCTCGAACTCCTGACCTCAGATGATACACCCACCTCGGCCTCCCAAAGTGCTGGGATTACCACCACGCCTGGCCCCACTTTATTCTTTAGACATACTAAAGACCACCCAGTCTGTGTGTATGCCCCAAATCACAATTCTGGTATCCCCAAAACTATTAAACTTAGAGATTCATCTTTACATATTTTATTTGTATGATAAATGAGAGAGTGATCATAAAAATTTGGATTTAAGTAATATTTTTCTTCCTAAAATAGTCAGGTACTCCCAATGCCTATTATCATTGTATTTAATTTAGAAACTATTTCTATGACGTAAGAATATATCATATTATTTTACAGGTGGGAAAGTAAACACAGAGAAGCTTCATAGCTTTATTCTTATATTGGCTCTCTGTTACATAACAAATTGTCCCAAATGGGCCAGCTTAAAACAACAAGCATTTATCATCTCACGGGACTTTTGACGGTCAGGAAACTGTGAGTGGCTTAACTACCTGATTCTGGTTCAGAGCTGCTGATGACATTTGTAGCCAAGCTGTTGGCCAGGGCTGCAGTCTCTGAAGGCTTGACTGGGACTGTACAGTTCACTTCCAAGCTCACGCAAACGGCGACACGGCTGTTGGAAAGGGCGTCAGCTCCTTTCCATATTGGCCTCTCTGTAGACTTGCTTCCCCCAGGGCAAATGATGAGAGACAGAGAGAGAGAAACCAAAACAAAAGCTGAGGTAATGTCTTTTATAACCCCAGAAACGACATACCATTGCTCTTTCCATGTTTTATGGGCCACACAGACCAAAGCTGGTAGAATGTGGGAGGGGCTTTAAACATAGGTCACTACCAAGAGGCAGGATCCCTTGGGACCATCTTGGAGAATGGTTACTATGGTTACTGCCCCACATCTGGGAGCACAACCAAAGCTAGTGCTGCCAATCCTACTCTAAGATTCAGGATGAAAAAGAAAATTGAGAAACTAAATGATTGCTTTTCTTCTGCACTCTCCATGAATAGGGAGCAATCATTCAAGATTTTATATGTCTTCTTAGGGTTTAGACCCCTTTATGAGACGTAAAATACCTCTTCAGACTGCTAAGAGTCATCAAAGGAAAGACTGACCTAAGTTGCTTTGCATAAGAGAGTACTGGGAGTTTGGGACATGAAAGATAGCAGATGAAGTGAAAAGGAGAAGGTTCTCTAGGGAGACAGAAGCTGATAGAAATAGTAGCATGCTGGCACCAAGGTGAGGGTATGATCATTGTCAGTTCTATGTGCCCCATAGGGAAGGATGATTAGTAGATTTTAGGCCTGTGAAGCTTACACGCCTTAGAGATGCTTAGGAAAAATGAAAAAGTAGACGTGGTGCACAGCAAGAGCCAAGATGTGCTGTGAAGATAAACCAGAAAAAGGACGTAGTTAGGATCAAAAGACAAAGGTGAAGCAGGTTTGTCATAAGCTGATTTCACTGCCATGATCACAGCAATGCACACATATATGTATCCTTCCATTTAGATATTTTAAAGAGGGTATTCTAGAAGGCGAAAAGGTTAGGAATTATCTGGCTTACTTGTTCTTCTACCTTTCTTTTGTTTTGGTGGCAAAAATGTTTCTAATAACCATATAACATCCAGTAGGTGTTTTCTGGAAAAATGATATGATAATTAAAATCATGTAGGTGTCTATGTACACACAAGTTAGAGGGAGGTCAAGTAATGCTTCCCACAACATGCTAAGCTGAAAGCATACTTACAGAGTGCTTTTCGGCTAGGAGTATGGAACAGAAGAAGGCAAAGGGGGAGCACTAGAAGTGTTTGCAAAGAGGATGCTAGATGAATTGGAGAAAGTCTATTTCTAGCTTGTGATGTTATTAGCTCCAAACCATATAACATATAATTTTTCTACAGAAAAATTTTGGTGGCCAGTTTTCTAATGGAAAAGAAGTTGTCAGAATAATATGAATATCTAAAACTTGGAGTAAAAGATCCCAGTAGCACCAGCTACTGAAAATAGCAGTGTATTTATAGGAATCTTAATGGCATGGAGTTTCAAGCTAGAAGGCAATTCTGATTTCCAAGCCATTTTGGTTCCCTTGAGAACTCCTCTCTGGCCCCTGCACCTCCTGGCATTATATTTTTGTCTCAATTTATTCAGAATCAATTTCCAAATGATCCTTCTTCTATATCTCAAATTGTTTTAGTAGCTCACAATGAAAACAGAAGAACCTCTGCGCCTTAACTAATGAATAATAGCTATTAGGTTTGGCTAGAATCTTTGAGTTTCATCAGTGGTACCAAATCATTCAGATTCTGAGTATCTAGATCAGAGAATCCTTGCCTGGTTTTAGCGGGCTATTATGGGTTATTAAAAAGGTGCACTGGGTCGATGCAGTGCCTGAAAGACGTGCATTCTCTCAGGTATTTTATATACCACCCACCCCTCCCCCATTGGAAATATCTTTCTATCAAGGACTGAAAACCTTCCCACAAACAAGAGATGTCCTCCTTATCTAGCAAGTCTCCATATGGATACAAATTTCTAAAACCAATGGGATTGAAAAGATGAGCCTAGTCAGGGTGACCAACCATATGTGTAAGTGAGTTCTTTCTCTTAAAATTCCATTCAAAAGACAGAATAAATAAAAATGTATGAATAAACTTATGGTGAACATGGAAAAATGAAAGAAGACTATCCCTAGACTGAACAGTGATTTCTGAAAGATATAAATAGATTATATTCAATGAACCCCAACAGAACAGAGGAACTTACATATGCAACTGAATGGAAGATTCTCCAACATAAATAAGGTGAGTTTTCTTAGCGGAAATTTATAATAAGAACTCAGTCAATGGAATCAAATTCAAAGAATGGGCCACAGGTTAGCAGGCTGGTGTATTAATTAGCTTTTGCTGTGACAACAACACACTCAATATCTTGTTGGCTTGCAACAAAGAACATTAATTTCCTACTCTTGTGTCTGAAAATCAGCTACAGAAGCTTCACTTCAAAAGTGATTTGGGTTCAGATCCTCTCCAAACGTGTTTTTATCCCAGGATCCAGGTTAAAAAAGCATCTCCTACCAGGGGTGTTCTGTTTTCATGGTCAAAGGCTGCAGCACATACAGTGAGTATGTCTCCGCTGCCTAGGCTTGGAACTGGGATACAATATATTTGTCAAAGCAAGTCACATAATCAAGCCCCCAGATCAATGTGACAGGACATATACTCTAATCCACAGACAGTGTAATTATTTGAATAACAAAATCTACCACAGTCCTTCTTTTTAGTCATAAATATCCACATAATTCAAAATACAAATTACATTCACCCTTTCTTCAATGAAGAAACCCTAAAGCTTTATTCCAATGTGGTATCTTGCTTGAAATCCAGGACCTCAGGGTAATCGCTTTATCTGGTCTAGATATAAGTCCTCTTGATCCAGAGACCTCTGACCTAAAATGACAAGTTATCTGCTCTCAAAACATTCAGCATACAATGTGGGACCAGAAACAGGATAACTACAGAAAACACTCGTATCCAGAAAAGGTGAGTGTGGAAGACACAATTCTGAAACCCAGCTGGATGAACTGCAAGGCACCCTCCCTGAGATGGTAGAGAGCTCAGCTCATTAAACACAAGTTTTACTTCCTGGGAGTAACTCCACAGTCCATCCTGTTCCATTGGCTCTTGACTCTACCTTAGAGAATTTCTTCCTGTTTCACTTTCTCTTTGGACACATCTGAAAAGGGCAATCGAAAATATTCCCTTTAGGGTGGCTGAGAAGCACTTTTACCATTTTCTGCCTGTCTAAATTTGGGTGCCTCTGGGTCATTTTACAACTCAGAGAACAGTACCTTTTAGCCCAGCTTAGAAATGCACTTGTCAAAAATGTAGTGTTTTTTGTTTTTGTTTGATCTATTTTTATCTATGTCATTCCATCAGCTCCATATGCCAATGTCTCCATCCACAATTTGTTGCAAGATATAACTCTGAGTTCCTAACTCTGAGCTTCTTGGACTTCAGTAGAAACATGCCCTTTCCTGTTATGTCTATTATAAGGGTCATTCTGACCAGTTAAAAGGCTAATCTGGGGTCAGATTAATCAATTGGTGGATTTTAAAAAGGTGTCACGGTTGTAGCCTCGTTAGGGCCTCAGTGCCTTTGCCCCAAGTTCCAGTCTTGATCTCAATCTCACCAGGGTTTCCTCACTCAAAGCTGCTCTCCATTTTATCTTTGACTGTTTGTCAAGGAGACACAGATGCATCCTTCAATGCTGAAGTTGCCAGCATTTATGGATTATTTCTTTTTTTTTTCATTCCTGATTTCTTGTTTTGTTTTTCCTTGAACTAATATCTTTTTCTTATATAACCTTCTCAAACATAACCAATAGCTATTAACTCAGCTACCAACATTCTCTCTTTCTACTGCATTAACCAAGGACATGAATTTATCAGATATTTTGACTACCTCCAAGATATTGCAGGACACAGTTTAATCAACTGTTTTGCCCTTACAATAGCATGGATTGTCTTTGTCTAGTTTTCTATAACAGTTTCTTGCAATTCACTGTCCTTCCCTAAAGGTAATAGTATATATTTTAGTTGATATTTTTAAGAGTTGCTTTTGTTTTTATAATGACATTACTCTGTTTCTGGTACCAAATTCTGTACTAGTTAACTACTGCAGTAACAAACAATCCTTAGAACTCAATGATTCATGATGTCAAACATTTATGTCATGCTTACAGATCTGTAGTGGCTCTGTTCTAGGTTTTGGGAGGGATTCAGGTCTATTATACATTTCTATTTTCCAGGATTCAGACTACAGAAGCCATAGTTACATGGAGCGTGTTCTGAAGCTTGAATTCAGGAGTAAATGAGGATAAGCAAATGACACAGTACATTTAAATGGCCTCTCTGTAAATGTAGCACATGATTCTGCAATGGCTAAGGTAAGACATGTGGCCAACCCCAGTATTAGTGGGGCAGGAAGTATAATCCTCCCACAGATAGAGGTAAAGCAGAAGTGAGTATGTGCTAAATAATAATGCAATTTGCCATGTCTTGGCAGTAATTAATAACTGCTGTGGAAAAATTGTGTCAAGTATGCATTTTCATATCAGCAGGCACCCGTATTTGCCCTCAGGGTAAAACTGCAAGTCAAGTTTACTTCTCACAAAATAATTAGGAATTCTGACATTGGAGACATCCAAAGAGGGAGCTAGTGCTAGAAAAGTAGGGCAATGTCCTACATAAATTGTTTTTGCCAAAAGGGACAAGAAATTCCTATACCCAGAAGACAAGCTCCATGTGTAACACAAAATAGGATTCATTAATTTAAGTTAAGGGGGTCTTGGGACTTATGAAGGCAGAAGATTTGTT
The DNA here is from genome assembly GCF_000001405.40 of Homo sapiens. Taxonomy (NCBI): domain Eukaryota; kingdom Metazoa; phylum Chordata; class Mammalia; order Primates; family Hominidae; genus Homo; species Homo sapiens. Next base: position 34,968,074 of record NC_000008.11, read on the forward strand.
TCATTTGGCAAAAAAAAGTGTTTAAACTTTAAAAAAAAATCAAAGTAATGTAAACATGATACACTGTCCAGTTCTCCATAGTAGTCAACACCTATATTGCTTTAAAACTCCATCAGCTTCAGACATTTGCTTTACCTACGTGGCTTCTAAAGGCAATGTATTACAGTTTATCATGTTCTGGGAAGACAGCCTGCCTGGCCACAAATTCCCTTACCGTGTCCTCCACTATGCCACAAGCCAAGGCCACAAAATTGGAATACTTATTAACTGCAAGGGAAACAGTGGTTTTCTCCAAAGCTTAGGAAATACTCTCTAGCTACAAAAAGTGGCCAAATTATAAAACCTCACTTGCAAAAAGGTTGAGAGAAAAAAAATTACAGAAATGACTCTTAGGAACCAACACACAACAATTAGTTGGTAAGTAAACAGAATAAACACAGAAACCTAAAATAAATGGAAACTAAACACAGTTTTAACTTTTAGATATGAGATAATGTAATGGGAAGGAAAATGAGAGAGAGAATGAGTGAGAAAGAGGGAGGCAGGGAGGAAAACAAAGAGAAGAGAAGGAGAAAAAAGGGTGGAAATATGAAAGCAGAGTGATCAAAGGTATTGGAAACGAAATTACGGAAATGATGGTTACAATAATAAAAGGATGATACAGCAGAATGTTTACAGACTATATACATTTAAATATGTAAATTAAACATAGTATACAGAAAGATCATGACAAATTATTCTTTCAGATTACCAAGTTATGAGTAAAGGAGACACAAATTCTGAAATTTAAAAAAGTGAGTTAGGGAGTACTTGTGTGGGACAGTTAATACCCCACTCAACAGGGAAGACAGTTGCAAATATTTGGCAAACTCTATAACCAAGGTGCCAGAAAATCATTACTAATACCAGGCCAATCAGAACAGATTCCATCTTGTACACCATACTGATAAGTAGCTGATAACCAACATGGCTTTAGAAGAAATCTCAGAATAGAAAACAGAAAGAACAAAGTGAGAAGTGTCTTCAAAGTGCTTGATAAGTAACATTTTACTTTAGTTAACCAGGAAGGAATAAACTGGCTTCAGAATTCTAAACCATAAGATGCTTGCTTACAATAAATCAATGCTGTCAAAATTCTGATAAATAATAATAATAATGATCATTACTTCTCCTTTTAATTATATTCTTTACAATTATTTTCTCTTAACTCTATACTCAGGAAATGCCTTTGGTAATGTCAGTGTTCAACTAGAAAGGAATTTTCCTCCCCTGTGACTAGGCTTCTAGCTTTCTAGATTCTTCTGTACCAATTCAAATCCTAATGCAGACTCACTTCACTACACTCTCTCAATTGTCTATATCCAAGCATCAAAGAAGAATTAATTAGGGAAATATGAGAACTGTATTATAGTCAATCCTATGATTTTTATAAGAAAGCCCTCAGTGTTGCCTAATACTGAATTCTCTTCTGTGTTACCCCTCAGGTAGATAGTGCTGGACTTCCTGCCTGGCTTTTGATTTTGCTGTTGCTTCTAAGCACTGTCTTATATTATTCTATAGGCTGGCAGTCACATCCTTTTTCCCAAGCTTACCATGTCAAGCTTTCGGGATGTCACAATAGCTGAAGAATCCTAAGTTGAAACTTGTGGCAGAGGGAAATTTGCTATTTCTTTGAGATCAGAAATTAAGATAGTTTCTCCCTAAGACACATTGTGACAAGTAACTCACAGTAGAGGATTAATTAACTCAGGTTGAAAATAAACCATTAAATCAATTTTATCCCATCATAACCGTAGAAAAGTTTTTTTTTTTTTTGGACTTCGTATCTTTTTATTAGATTGGTGCAAAAGCAATTACAGTGTTGCCATTACTTTTTATTGTTGTTGTTGTTGAGATGGAATTTCGCTTTTGTTGCCCAGGCTGGAGTGCAGTGGTGCGATCTTGGTTCACTACAACCTCTGCCTCCTGGGTTCAAGCAATTCTCCTGCCTCAGCTTCTGGAGTAGCTGGAATTACAGGTGCCAGCCACCACACCCGGCTAATTTTTTGTATTTTTAGTAAAGACAGGGTTTCACTATGTTGGCCAGGCTGATCTCGAACTTCTGACCTCAAGTGATCCACCCGCCTTGGCCTCCTAAAGTGCTGGGATTACAGGCGTGAGCCACTGCGCCTGGCACCATTACTTTTAATAGCAAAATTGGCAATTACTTTTGCACCAACCTAATACAATTTTGCTTTCAGAGTAGATGAGCTAACCATATGATTTAGTAGGAGGAAACTTCTCTTTCAAACAGGAAAGAACTAAATTTGAACACAGCTTTCTTAATTTATTAGTTGTATAACTTGGAAAGTGTGCTATACTTATGCCTAAGAATTTCAATTTCCTTCATATATACAATGAGCATAACTCCTTCTAACTAGAACACTTGTTGGATTGTTGGAAGACAGAGAATTATGAAAAATGCCTGGTACTCAGAAAATTATGTATATATTTACTATCTTTATTATTGTTTTACTCTCAAAGGGGTCTAGATTTTCCATAAAATTAGCAAAGTTTAGAGGAAGATTTCTACAGAAGGGAACATTCTTCCTGTTTTGGCAGCCTGGTCCACAGGAAGATTTGTGAGCTGAGTGATGAGTCAATTTGTTGCCTAGATGAATTATATTCAGATAACCTCACCACATCTCTCCAGAGAACTGTTTATAAGGTTACGAGCTCATCAAGCTCTTGCCCTGTGTAACAGAAGCTGATTGGGTTTTAATGGTAACATGTTGAAGGAAAAACTAGGCTTCCAGAGACCTCACAAAGCTGATTGGAGTTCTGCCTTCCTTTGCCCTCTGCTTCTTTGTACTTTTGACAACTCAAGGTGATGGGGAAAGTTTCTGGGCAGCTAATCCTTTTGGGGTTATGATCAAGTTAAGGAAAGAGAGAAATTTCTTTGGTGGCAAGTTTCTCTCTTTTCCAGGAATTAGCATGCTCACTTTCCCCATAGAGCCATCTCAAATGGTTACCAAAAAAAAATTTTTTTTTTTTTGAGGCAGGGTCTTGCTCTGTCTCCCAGGCTGGAGTGCATTGGTGAGATCATAGCTCACTATAGCCTTGGACTCCTGGGCTAAAGGAATCTTCCTGCCTCAGCTTCCTTAATATGCTGGGATTACAGATATAAGCTACCACACCTGTCTTCTATTTACAGAAATGTTACAGATGAGGATGAGACCAAACTATCTCTTCTATGTAGTTTCTGCTAACTCTAACATTAAAATTTGGATCGGAAGCCTATCAGAGTAGTTGTTTACTGTATTGGTAAATAAATGCTAATTAATAAAATATCACCCGGAAAAAAATGGGTGGCATATATCATGTTTCATAAATACTTTCTTCTTTGCTTCTTCATAAAATGGTGGGAAGCAATTACTTCTGTTTTATCTTTTGGTAAAAATATATATATTTTATATTGTGTATTTTTCTCTGTCCCTTTGTGCAAGCTCCATGTAAAGCACCTCTTCTTGGACTTGACTTTCCAGTGTGCCTTCTTCCTGTAAGTGACACAGGAGCAGCAAGGACTGCAGGAGCACACAACCTGCCCCACAAGATCTGTTTCATGCAGCCTTGGGTTTCCAGAGGATTCATTTCTAATCTCATCTATTTTCTGTAAGCTCTTTAATCAGCCTTTAATCCTCTCTCCTTCCTTTGCCGGAGGCAATTAAATCGTATGTGTGAATGGGCAGTCTCCAGGAGGTCTGCAGGATGGGACCCTTGGGATGCCTGGGCTCCTGGGGTGGGGATGATCAGAGAGTCCAATGCAAAAGCTGGTAAAGACTGGTTCACTCATACCAACAGGAGTGCAGAGTTACCATCATCTTTTCAAGAAGACAGAATTTCCCCCTCAAGGAAGAGGGTCTTTCTGACAGAGCATTCGATTCTGGGAAAGACACAGAAAGCAGGAAATGACTTCTGACTAGGCTACAGACCTCTGAAATTATGCTGAGTGATAAAAGGGATACTGATGCTGTTGCAGCCAGACCGCTGTCATAGGCCTTGCCACAATCAGAGGTGTTAATGACACCAGCCTCTGCAAAAGATGGGCAGGGCTTTGGTTCCTCTGTAAAGCCTTCCATGGAACAACCATCCACCCATTCTCTTATTCTTTAGACTTCTTGTATAGCAGTTGTGCTTCCCCTAGCAATTAATCATGGGTTTCCTGATAGCATTTCTTAGTTTATTTTCCTGTAGTATTATTTAGTTATTGACATGTATCTGCAAATGTTTTAACCTCTCATTTCTTAGTAACAGGATCATAAAATTATTTATTTCCTTCTTCATACTGTTTTGTGAATCAATTATATGTAATTTTCAAGGACCTCTATAGGTGGAATGTTTCTCAACTAGAAAATCTCATGACTTGAAATATAGCATTGACAGGACATCAGTTAGATTCCCCTGACGATTCACAAATCAGATGAACTTTGCTAAAGTAGGGTTATTATTATTATTTTTTACAAAGCACCTACCCTATGACTGTCTTAGGCAACAGGGATGTCCAAGAGAATGCTCCTATTCACAAGGATTTGATTCTCTAGTAGAGCAGAACCATCCAATAGAACTTTCTGATGATGAAAATGTCCAATAAGATAGTCACTAGATACACGGGGTTATTGAGCACTTGAAATGTGGCCAGTGTGACTGAGAAACAAAAAGCCTCATTTTATTTAATTTTGATAAATGTGCATTTAAATATCCCTTGTGTATTGGCCCCTAAAACCCATCATTAATTCTCCTCTAGCCCTCAAAAATAATAGTTGCAAAATGCAGTTTAATCCGCAAATAAAAATGAGGTAAGTCTCTACTCATTTTTTCCACTGATTGTTTACAGTACAACAGAAAAGCAAATCATGACGAGAATGAAGCCTGAACTCTGGGATTGTGGAGCTTGCTAGAAAAGGGGAGCCCTGACTAGAAATAGCTAATGAACCAGCACAGGAACTGCACAGAGTGAGAGAGCTGTGAAGATGAAAGAACATAGATTGAGTTGTTCAGTGATGTGGAGCGCCTATCTAGAAAATAATTTATCCTTTGATAGTTCACTCTGGGGAATAGGCAAGAATGGATCTTACTTTGCAAAAAGAAGTGCTTTTTTATAATGGATCCCCATGTAGAAATGGATAAACTAGCTAGTAGCTTTTAACTAGATTGCAGATAAATGGAAATGATTATAGAAAGCCAAGCAAATTAGGCAGTAACTATGCCATCCCCACCAACTCCCCACAGACACCTTTGGAAATACATTACCGTCTGAGACAGCTCTGCTCATTTATTTCCACCTTATTTGTATTCCTCTCCTTCCAGGATATGTCACACAGGATGCTTATATTTAAAAAGCAGGACAAGACAGTCTGGAGAACTTTTCAGCTCCTGCTGTTAACACACTAACACGAAACAGACACTCTGGTGGACTCCCTGCAAGTAGGCTGGGAGCAGCTGATGCTGAGGCTTGTCACAGCACTCAGAGAAGTTCCTGTGAGCCGGAATTGTTGAAGCTAAGTAAATTACTCTCCTGCTTGGGTGCTCCCCTTGCCTTACCTTTGTGCCTCTCTAGGGCTTGGGTTTTGCCCAGCTTGTGGCTGATGAACCAGAACCTAACTCTGTATGCTGAGCGATTGCAAAAATGAAGGCATTCATGGTGATGATGATTTAAATGGTAACCCTTGGAGACTCGGGTTTGGAATCAGCATCATGAAACTGTCTATATTATTGAATGTGAAAAACACAAGTCAAACACAGCAATGAATTAAGTAGTACAAAAACGTACAGTTGTTTCCTGCATTAACGTGTAATGTTGAAGCTTCCCTAAGCACATCAAGAGAAGTACATTGCGGAAACTACTCGGGCTTCTGTTCTCAAAAGGCAGGCAGACTACTCCGTGCTAAACCATCTAAATGTATTGTAACATAATTAGAGTTGTTCAGAGTTCTAGGGAACAGCCTGTCAATTCTTCCTGGATTTCCTTTTTAATTTGCCTCGGGAGCATAGAAGACACTTCAGAGCCTATTTAAATAGAGACAATCTTGCACAGGTAGAAATGTAAATATCCCTGTAAGGCTAAGTGATGATGCTAAAATAAGCTGTTGGAGATATTTGCCAACTGGTTTAAGCTACACATTTGAGGAAGCATGTCCTCTAGGGAGATCATTTTGAATCTTGCATTTGCCTAATAATTCTTCCCCATTCCTAAATATGGGGAATATATTTTAAAAACTGAGGATTTTGTTATTTTAAAATTTTTATAATTTTGGATCTTATGACTGAGCAATTCCAAATATTTATTAAATGTATGTGTGCGTGCGTGTGTATTCACCAAACAGCATGTCTAAGAATGTTTCAGCAGCATCATTTGGAAACAGCCCACATAACCTACCTGCAGTAGAATAGATAAGTAAATTGTGGTATAAGGGAATACTATAAGGAATAGTGATATAAAGGAATACTATACAACAACAAAAAGAAACAATTATGACTACCAGCAAGATGGATAAGTACCACCAATGTAATGTTGATGATGGAAACAGATACAAAATAGTACATTGATACATATTCATGATTACACATATATTGTTCAAAATCAGGCAATTTTGAAGCTGCAAGTCAAGATAGTAGTTAATAATAGATAAGGAAACAAGGAGCCATTCAAGGTTCTGGGGTGCTGGAAGTATTTTCTCTCTTCATCCAGACATACATGGGTGTGTTTAGTTCAGAAAAATTAATTGGACTCTACACTTATGGCTTATATGCTATCCTGTTAGATATTGCACTCAGTGGAAATGTACTGAAACAAAATAAAGTTGTTTCACATTTTAATTTTTACCCAAAGAAAAAAATTTAAAAAGCTCATTTTACATTCTCATTGTTCTACTAACAGTCAAACAATATAAAACAAGCTTATTTTGTATAATATTTTAATTCATTTTGTTAATACAAAACACAACATTGAACAAACTATAAAAAAGTTTAATGATTTTTCATAAATTATAAATTTGTATCCAAGTAACCAAAACATAGATTCAAAAATAAAATAAATAAATATATTCCTAAATAGATATATGGACAACCATAGAGAAATACCCTATTCTTATTTAAACATGACTCTGCTGATAACCTATGAATGAATAGGTGCTTTTTTAAAATATTCATTGGTTCACAATATTTGGATAATTTACTTCTGTGTCTACATAAGAAGGTAGTCGAAATTAAAAAAAGAAATAAAATATAAGTTTGGTTTTGCTCTTTGTAATTTGATACATGTCAATAACCAATTTAATAACATTTTAAACAATACATTTGGTTTAAAAACTTTCAAGAGAAAAATTTGCTACCATGTTGACTCTCTGACTGGTCTTCTTTCCTTAGAGCTCTTTGTCCTATAACAAATCCCCCTGCCTCTATCATCCACCAGATATATGACTTAGCACATCACAAAGTCTTGGAATGCTTTGATTTCATGAAGCAAAATGATGCCTTCGGCCTCTTATTTTGGTCAATTTTATGAGGCTTCTGTCTCTCTTTTTATTCCCATTAATTCATTCATTCAATAATTTATTCTTAGTACAGTGATAACACAAAGAATTATATAACATTATAGTTTCTCCCAAAGAGTTTAAATGAGTTAAAAGAAAAATACGCAAGTGACTTAAATATTAACTTACAAAAGAGTTCACAAGCAGTAGATGAAGAAGTTATATAGAGAAGAGAGAAAAATCACAAGTTCCAAAGACAGGATTCCCAACTTTTTTACTTTAGCAACTAAAACATGGCTGAGGCAAAAAGAGCAAGATTTGCCACAAACTGAACTCTTCTTCAGTATTCTGTAGAGATATTTTACATAATTTGATAATGTTCACTTGTGTTTGGAACTAGTAATTATTTTAAAATAAGGTCCTTAACCCAAGCAATGTATACAGCCAAAGCAAAATAAAACACGCAAGCAAAAACCAGTATTTTATGAAAATTAAAAATGAAGCCAATTTCAATTGTTCATTGCTTAACTGAGCCTGAATTGTATTTTCTTTGTATATTTTTGCACTGAACTTCTTGATTCAGTTATTATGCATTTGGCTACTGGAGAAATCAACTTTAACTATTTAAGAGAAAGAAAAGAAATTTTCTGGGAGAATCTAAATGGTTCAGAGAAACTTCTCAAGCCTAAGTAAGTACTGGTCTGGACAATCAACAAAAAAATACAGCTACATGATCTTAGAAAGTAGAAAGTATAATCATAGTCCTTTAGCAAGTACACCCTGATCAAGACACTTCCACTGCCTTGATAGTACACAGCCACTGAAGTTGGGCATTCTGCCATTGAAGGATACTTGTGCCATCATTATGGTATACTGATAGTAGCGCAGCCATTAAGGTTTGCATCATTTGCTTAAAATTTAAAATCCTAGATAAAAGTATCTTATCAGCATCAAATAACCAACTCTTGGTTGCTGGAGTGAAAAGAGAGGCCAGCACTGCCTGCCACCAAAAACAAACAAACAAACAAACAAACAAACATTCTTTACTAGGAAAGGCAAGTGAATGAAAGCCAAATAGAAAAAAATCTACATCTGTTTAATGGCAAAATGATCCTGTCTACAATTGCTTGTCTCATTATTTTTCTCTGTTACAGGTCTGTGTTCAACTTGACAGTAGAAACAGCAGCTTATTGTTGTATCTCCCAGTGTCTATGAGAATGTTTGAGTTTGAACATGTAATAGAAGCCTGATGAATAGTGGCTAAGTGGATGAATAAATTAAAACAATTAGTGAATCAGTTCAAATCAGAGCCAACCAGAACCAACACTTGTGTAATATTTAAAACTCTCAGAATATTCTTATACTTGAATCTGGACCAAATCAGCATTTGGTTTGGCCTTAAAAATCAATTTTAAAAAAGACTAATACCTCAATGCAAATGATCAAAAAACATAAATGTAAAGTTTATAAAAGAAGAAATACAAATATATCGATATACATATGAAAATCTTTTAACGTTGCTGGTTGCTTAGTTATTAAAATGCAAAATAAAGTAAATATAAGACACTATCAGAGTCCATGGAATCTAGTTCAAATCTGGGCACACAATGTTTATATAATAACCATTCCATGTATTGAATATTCTCTTTATTGAATAAAAGAATGACACAATTCCAATCTCAGCCATAAAAATGGCAGTAATTGAATAAATTATAAAAGGTAATATTTCAAGTATGTGGTGGGAGGGGAAATAGGTACAACCTTTCTAGAAAAAAATCTGGCAAAATGTAGTAAAAATCTTTAAGAAGTTAAAGTAATTCACCTGACTAGTTTATATAAGAAATTGGTGCTTAAAAAACCCAAAGCTGTGCATAGCTATTTACATATAAGAATATTCATTTCTGTGCTCTTGATAATAGTAATAAGCTGAAAGATAATTTAAATGTTGAAATGATGAAATTAATTAAATACACTCACGGGGTGGAATATTATGCAACCATTAAAACACATTGTCAAATAATATTTTTCACACTATAATGATTAATGGAATAATATTTACAATATAACGTTCAGCAGATACAATTCTGGATACAAAATAGTTTCTTATATAACATATACACAGATATATACTTAAAAATTACTAGAAAAAATATATCTAATGTTAAGTGGTGACAATTTATTAATAAGGATATTAAAGTCAGGTATTATCCCCCACTTTCTTATATTCTGTGTTCTATATTTTCAACAATGTGTACATATTACAAATTAATAATATATTTTACTTTATTCTGTTCTTTCTTTTAAATACTTTATCTCAATAAACTGACTCCATTGTTTTTTCTTTCACATTTTTCCCATCACACCCTTTGTTCCTGACGAACTGACATATGTTTCTTTTCTGTCCTTTATTTATTTTTTTATATTTGTTTATTTATTTATTTTTGAGATGGGGTCTTACTCTGTCGCCCAGGCTGGAGTGCAGTAGCATAATTTGGGCTCACTGCAACTTCCAACTCCCGAGCCCAAGCGATCCTCCTACCTCAGCCTCCCGAATAGCTGAGACCATAGGTGCATGCCACCACACCCAGCTAATTTTTCTATTTTTGGTAGAGAGAGGGTTTCACTATGTTGCCTAGGCTGGTCTTGAACTCCTGAGCGAAAGTGATCTGCCCACCTTGGCCTCCCAAAGTGCTGAGATTACAGGCGTAAGCCACTGTGCCTGGCTTATTCTGTCCTTTTAAAAAGAAGGATTTAGGAGGTTCTAGTCTGACATTCTTTAAGACACAAAACAAGATTTCCTTGTCTCTATAACAGTTCTATTCCTGATCACCAGTTTCCATAACTGAGCTATGCCTTGCATCCTCAGCAACTGACTTCTCCAATAACAACTGCTTGTCCCCTGTGGTCTCCATTTATCTGTCACCAGTTTCTGACTTGCCATGCCCAGGACCTTACAAACACACTTCCGTAATGCTGATCATGTCATGCACCCCCATCTGCTCAGAGTCAGCACACAAACTATCCAGAAACCATATTCCTCTTGCTGGAACAGCTGTTCCAACTCAGACTGTCTCTCAGCACATCTCCAACAGCAAATGCTAAAGAAAGCTCTAGATTCCCCACCCTCCCAGGGTGCTCCATCTCACTACAATGGACAAAGCTCAAGATGGAGATTGCTTGAGATTTGAAAAAGCTCTAAAAAGCCACCATTTTTATTATTAAATTTGAACTTGGGTAAATAGAATTTCTTCTTCGTGGGCACTGAGAATTTTCTGTAGCAATGTGCTCCAGAGCCTTTTAAGAGGCAGCGTAACAACTCAGGACTCAGAATTCAGACTCCCTAGGTTTAAATCACATCTTTGCCACTTGCTATTTGAATAATGTCTGGAGTAATTAACTTAATCATCCAGTGTTTCCACCTTGCCATTTGTAACATGGGCATAATTAATACTTCATAAGATTATTGTAAGGATAAAAGGTATTATTAAAAGTGCTTAGAAAAGTGCATACATTCTAGTGAGTGCCACATAAGTTGTAGCTCTTCTACAGGTAGAATTTCACAGCCCTGTTTTGTTACTACACTTCCAAAGCTTTAAATAATTACCTTCTGAGAAGCAAAGGAGTAAAAGTGCTCTGAATTATATCAGGTATCAGAAAAGGGCAGACTAGGAAGGTATCATTTGCAGAGGATCTAGAGCTCTTTGGCCAATATGGGTTGTAGACAGTCTTCAGAAAGACAAGAATATAAAGGGAACTATTGTGGCTGTCCAAAATAGTAAATGAGGGTATTTTCCTGTTTTATGATCTAATCCTAATTATAATAAAACAAGTCTCTTCAATACTCTTACCCCTCTAAGCCGGGCTTGGGGTGTTGAGGGAGTAGAGGGAAGCTATATCTCAAAATGGTGAAATCCCATCATATAAAACGGTAAATCATGTCTGTTTTCTTTCAGTTTAAGTATTGCTTCTCTAAACCGTGAGGCAATTACTCAGACTCATTCGTAGCTCTCCTAATTTTTTATTTTTCCATTGCTTGTTCTGTAGACTATGAGCAACACACTTCTCAATTTCTGGATTTCATTAAATTTGTCATCTTTTCATTCAGTTTCTTTTACTCATCACCTGCCACAATATCACTGATATTCAATGGTAATTTAAACAAATGTCAAATAATTTCCTGTGCAAATTTCACCTGATAATATTAAATCAATAACAATTCTTTTTCTCTTAGTTTCAGCCTGCAGCACACTACTAGTTATGGCCTACTAGAGAGGAAAAAGTAAAATAAAGACTTTGATCTCTTAAAAACTAAAACATCTAGTTATTCTAACATTTGTATAAATTATGTTAGCTTGCTTTTTTTAAACTAAAAATACTATATAATAGGGGAGAAATTCTTTGAATTTGTGAAGCAGTGGGGCTCACATACCAGTATTTGTAGGTCCTGAGAGTTAGCTCTATTAAAATGAAACCATTCAGAAGGCAAACTGGAAAAAAATGCTACCATACCTCATATTTTGTGTTTCTTTTTGTAAAAAATTAAATTAGTCAGGAAATTAGAATGAATCTGCACATTCAGTCTCACAATCCTCTCCAGTCATTCTTTCAAACAGTTCCTTTAAAGGAAAGCATTTTGTTGATTGATTGGTTGATTGAATTTATTACATTATTTTTACTTTAGACTCAGGGAGTACATGTACTTGTACATTGTACATTGTTATATTACATCATGGCTTAGATTGGATTCCAGTCACCCAAATACTGAACATTGTACCTAAGCTTGTATGTTACATGGGTATATTGCATCATGATGTAGATTGGATTCCCATCACCCAAATATTGAACATTGTACTCAATAGTCAATTTCTCAACCCTCCTACTTTTTGGAGTCCCCAGTGTCGATTATCTCCATCTTCATGTGTATGAGCACCAATTGTTTAGCTCCCACTTATGAGTGAAAACATGGGATAAGAAAAGCATTTTTTTAAATATGAGAATTTGTGGTAGACAAAAGATGGCCTCATCTACTTTTTCAGCAGTCCCATAGAGAGAGACCAGACTTACTACTCCCCCTTTGAATGTGGGCTGCCTTGGTGACTTGCCCAACCAAAAAAAGGCAATTCCAAGCCCTCTGAAGTTAGGCCTAAAGAAGCCTTGCAGTTTCTGCCCAGGCCTGTAGGAATACTCTCTCTTGACTTGTGAGCTACCATGCAAGAAGTCTAACCCTTAGCCACCATGCTAAAGAAACCACATGGAAAGACACAACAGTTACACACAGAGAGAGAGAAAGAGAGAGAAAGAAGAGAGAAAGAGAGAGACATGCCTGTCCAGTAATCAGTTCCTCTGGCCTCCAGCCGTGGTCAATCAACTTGAGGTCTCAGAGATGAGGCTGCAACACACACACTACACAAATTTCAAATTGGCAAGAAAAATAAATGGCTGTTGCTCTATCAACCCACTAAGCTTTGGAACTGCTTATTCTCTACTAATGGATAACCAGAGCATAATTAATATGTGTGCATCCTGTTGGCCAAGAAACATGGGCACACTTGGGGCGTAGAATGCACTCTAGTACCAATGACCTGAGGAGTATAAAGGACAGTAATTTTGCAGCCCAAAAGTGATGAGGACATTCCAGGTTAGGTCAAACACTCATTTATAAGGAAATTCTTTCTTTGGAGCGGACTCCAAAGTAACAAGGGTTTGGATTGTATTTTGTCCAGCCTCATGCTAGATATATATTTCAAGAGATAATCTACAGTTATTCTACCACAGGCTGGCGATGCAGCTCATAGCAATGCTAGTCTCTAAAGTGCTGCTAAAGGTTTAGTATCAACAGTCTTCAACTACTCATTGAGTTATAGGATTTTCTTTTTTCTTTTCCTTTTTTTTTTTTTTTTTTTTTTGAGACAGGGTCTCATTCCGTCATCCAGGCTGAAGTGCAGTAGCACAATCTTGGTTCACTGCAACCTCTGCCTTCCAGGTTCAAGTGATTCTCCTGCCTCAGCCTCCCAAGTAGCTGGGATTACAGGCACCCACCACCATGCCCAGCTAATTTTTTTGTATTTTTAGTAGATATGGGGTTGGCCAGGCTGGTCTCATACTCCTGACCTCAAGTGATCTGCCCGCTCTGCCTCCCAAAGTGCTAGGATTACAAGTGTGAGCCACTGCGCGTGGCGCTTTTTTAATAAGACTTTCTTTATATTTATTTTATTGTTTACAAAAAGCAAATATTCTAAACCTCAATGACTGATAAGACATATCAAATCCTTTTTTTCTATAATCTTTACTATGTAGTAAAAAGTTTTGTTTTATTTCTCCCTACACATTTTTTAAATTACCATATTGGCTTTTGCTTTGAATATATTTTTTCAACACTTTATTCACAGTTCTTGGCTGATGTAACAAAAATCCCAGCAGCTAGGAGTATGTACTTGCCAACAAATGATTTTAAAAATATTTTTCTTATAAAAGTTGCCAGTGATTCATTTTATTGGGAGTAAATCAATAATACTTCCTTTTCCCTCATTTAGAAATTTGATATTCAAGAATATGGGAAAATGCTAAGTGAAATGGAAAAAAAAGTTGTTTTAATACTGTCTAGAATATACTATATGATCTTATCTGAAATGCAGACATACATAGAAACACCCAGAGGAAATTTTTTCAACATCATCTTTTAACATTTTGGGTAGTAAGATTAATTACAACATTTAATTTTCTTTCAACATACATATTAAAAGCAAAAGTTTCAACAAATTAAATTTAACAGCTTATTTGAGCAAAGGAGTCACAAATTGGGCAGCCCTCAGAACTCTGTTTCAGAGGTTCAGAGAACTCCAGGTGACAAAGTGGGCTGGCAGTGATTTTATAGACAAACAATGGAAGTGAGGTACAGAGAAAGCATGACTGGTTACAATTCAGTGATTGCCTTATTTGGACATGATCTGATCAGTTCCCAGTCTGTGATTGGCTGAAACTCAGTTACTGTGATTGACTGACACCAAGCTATGTGTTACAAAATACATTTTTAGGGCCAGGCACAGTGGCACACGCCCCTAATCCCAGCACTTTGGGAGGCCAAGGAGGGCAGATCACCTGAGGTCAGGAGTTTGAGACCTGCCTGACCAACATGGTAAAACCCCATCTCTACGAAAAATACAAAAATTAGCCAGGCGTGGTGGCGGGAACCTGTAATCCCAGCTACTAGGGAGGCTGAGACACAAGAATCACTTGAGCCCAGGAGGCAGAGGTTGCAGTAGAGCCGAGCTCGTACCACTGCACTCCAGCCTGGGTGACAGAGTGAGACTCCACCCCCCCACCTCCCCAAAAAAATGAAAAAAGAAAAATAAAGAATTTTCAGTCTGTTTACATACTAAGTTAAGTTGTAGTTCATTATGTAGGTACTGAGATATCCTTAGACCAAATTTAGTATAACACATATAATTTTTTAATTGCTACAACTTTTATTTCTTTCACAGTTTGAAAAAGATGTACTTTTTCTTTCCATTTTATATGGCATGCATAAAACAATGAGTAACGTTCATATAATGCCTTAGAGCAAGCTTCCCCACAGGTCCCAAGTGACCTAGGATGGCTCTAAATGTGGACCAAAACAAATTTGTAAACTTTCTTAAAACATTATGAGACTGTTTGCAATTTTTTTTAAGCTCATCAGCTATAGTTAGTGTTAATTTTTTTTTTTTTTTTCAGAGTCTCCCTCTGTCACCCAGGCTGGAGTGGCATGCAGTGGCGCAATCTCAGCTCACTGCAACATTCACCTCCTGGGTTCAAGCTATTCTCCTGCCTCAGCCTCCAGAGTAGCTAAGACTACAGGTGCACACCACCATGCCTGGCTAATTTTTGTATTTTTAGTAGAGACAGGGTTTCACCATATTGGCCAGGCTGGTCTCGAACTCCTGACCTCGTGATCTGCCCACCTCGGCCTCCCAAAGTGCTGGGATTAGAGGCTTGAGCCACCACACCCAGCCTAGTGTTAATGTATTTTATGTGTGGCCCAAGACAATTCTTTCAACGTGGCCCAGGGAAGCCAAAAGATTGGACACCCCTGCCTTAGAGTTTATAGAGCACTTTCACATAATTTTGCTCACCTAATCTTCACAAAAATCTTATGAGATAAAGTACTAGTGTCCCCATTCTTTGTTTTTTTAATTGACATAAAAATTGTATAGATTTATGGTATGCAACATAATTTTTGATATATGTGTACATTGCAGAAAAACTAAATCAAGTTAATTAACATACCCATTCCCTCACAACTATCTTTGGATTTGTTTTTCTCTTACACTCACTTCAGCTTTCTGGCATAAATTTTAGATTAGCATTCCATCTTACAAAGAAAGGAAGCAGCACTCAGAAACACCCTGATAAAGTCCCACAGTTTGAAAGTGGCAGACAACAAAAGTGACTGCAGCCCTAACTCCAGAATCACAGATGTTTAACTTTCCACTGCACTACCTCCCTCTCTGCAGCTCCAGTCTGAGTTCTCTGCAGCTGCCTTTCTTTCTCACTTTCAGGACATCTCAGGCTGTTCCCCTCTGAGGCAATAAGTTTTTCCAAACTAGTTGTACTTGACATCATACGCTTTCAATGTTCACTTCTGGTTGCACTGCTGTCCTTCTGCAATGATCTGCACTCAGGCCCAAATTGGCAGTGGCCAAGTCTAGGTCCAGCTCTATCTCAAGTGGTTAAATCCACAATACAGAAGACTGGCTCCGCTGCCTGAAAAGATTACTCATACTTCCAGAATTTGAGTTTTACCACATGTCAGATGAGAAGTATGGACATAGTCACCATTATTTTTGTGAAAGCTTTATGGGCACTTTACCAGAAAACTCTAAATTATTGAGTAACACCTTGTTAATTCTATATTAAGGGAGCTATGGAAAAAAAAGGACCTTAAGTATATATTATCTGATATTTTATTTAAGAGCAATAAGACATTTAAGTCAATTAGGGAGAAATAGCTACCTCAAATTCATGCTGTTTTGAATAAAACTATATCAATTTAACAAGATTTCACTGCACAAAGAAATACTATTATTACATTGCTGCACACATTATGAGAGGTGCATGAAATCATAATGGTGCTGGCCAAATTTTCATCTCTGTATTAATCAAGCGTTCTGTGGCAATTGCCATCATCATTTGATAAGTTTTTGGTTGTTGTTTCTTTTTCAAGTTAGGGCTCCCTTAACTATATGTTTCCATTTTCTATACAAGCTGCTAGCCCAATGACCCTTAAACCAGTCCAAACCAGATACACACTGAATACCACAGCCCATAAGGCAGATTGCAAACATCTACTGAGATTTACAGCAATTACTGTGGGAAGCCCATGTCAATGAATCCTCCCACTGATGGGATACTCTGGAGCTCTGAAACCCTTGCTGATGATTCAGAGACAGCATGGTGGAATCTCCCAGTCCTATGTGCTCCATGGCTTCAACTGTGAATGACTTCAGGTATTTGCCTCAGTCCAAAGTATTATAGGCAGCCATTGATTTTTCTTGGCCAGAAGGAACAAGCAAATATAAATCCTATGGTCTCAACAGTCTCAGTGGCTCAAGTCTGTCATCCCAGCACTTTGGGAGGACGAGGCTGGAGGACAGATTGAGGCCAGGGTGTCAAGACCAGCCTGGGCCACCTAGTGAGACCCCATCTCTACAAAAAATAATTTTAAAAAAATAGCCAGGCATCATGGGGCATGCCCTTAGTTCCAGCTACCCAGGAGGGTGAGCCCAGGAATTCAAGGCTGAGGTGAGTTGTGACTGCGCCACTGCCCTCCAGCCTGGGCGACAGAGGGAGAACCTGCCTCTAAATAATAAATAAGTAAATAAATTCTACAGACTGGATTCATGGAAAGCTCCCTCTGGCCTGCCTTCTGGTGGAGATGTGGGCAGTCATAAACAGGGCTTGAAAGGCGGCTACAAGAGCAACCATAATGAGCAAAAGCCCTGGAATATTTACAGCCGAATAAGCCTTTTCCAGGTGAGGATGAGCTGAGCAAACATACATTTAAAACTCTACGTATCAACATGCATATCTCCTTTACTAAGAATCCATATGCCACAGAAGTTGGCAATATTTATATCCTTTTCTTCTGCCTTCGACCTACTGTGGTCTCGATTTGGTTGGTTTGGATGGCAATCATGCACATACAAGGGTCTGGGTTACTTTCACTATTGTATCCAAGAGCCGTAATATTTGTTTCTCCGTTTACTTTTGCTAGTAAAACTTCTCCAATTACTACAGGGATTTACTTTATTTTGTCCCACTTTTTGTTTCTTTATTTATTCCCTCTATCTGGCCTGTTAGAATTGGCAGCTGCTTTGCCCATTCCCAGGAGAAAATCCTGCAAAGCTAATGATGCTGGTAGGGGTTCCATTCATTGCAAAGAAATGTCAAACAAGGTACTTAAGAAGTGGAATTGGCTAGAGAATGGGGCTGACATTATTATTTAGAGGGGAGGGAGAAGGTAGTTCTGTCACTTCTATGCATTTAAATGTCATTCTTGTCTGTTTCATGGAGTTTTATGTCAAGTTGACTATAACTGAGATTTGGCTAGTATGAGTTAATCCAGCTACTTTTGCTGCTAATTTTTTTTCTTGTTTCCAGAAGTATTGTGAAAATCTGAGTAGTCTGATTAAAAAATCAATGTGTTTTTATGCCTTACACACATGCACACACATACACACACACACCATGTAGCCTCTTATGCCACTAATTCTGTGATTTATATGGAAATCAAATTGCGGGTACTGTCTCACCAAGCTTACTCCACAGGTCTTTATCCAGAGGACATGCACTCTTCTGCCATATTATCTTACACACAATTAGCCTCTGCCTTTTCTGTTTTCTCTTATTCCTCCTTGCTGTCTCCTTTTCTGTATAGAAAATCTCGACCACTATACATACTGTCTCATTTTGCAGGTGAAGATAATGAATCCAGTTGGTACTCGTTACGAGCTGAATTTTGTCCTCCAAAAATGCATATGTTGAAGCCCTAAACACTACTCCCCCGTGTAACCCTGTTGGAAGATAGGGACTTTTGGAAGATAATTAAGGTTATATGATGTCATATGGTTGGGGTACTAATCTGATAGTACTGATGCCAGAAGAAGAGAAAGAGACACAAGATCTCTCTGTCTCTCCACGCATGCAGAGGAAAGGCCATGTGAGAATACAGGGAGAAGGTGGGCATCTGCAAGCCAGGAAGAGAGGTCTCATCAGAAACCACTCCTTCTGGCCCCTTGACCATGGACCGTAAGCCTCCAAAACTATAAGAAAATAAAAGTCTGGCGTTTATGGCCAGGCGTTGTTGCTCACATCTGTAATCCCAGAGCTTTGGAAAACCAACAAAGGATAATCATTTGAGATCAGGAGTTTGAGACCAATGCAATCAACATAGTGAAATCCTGCCTCAACAACAGCAAAAATAATAATAATTCTCTTGTTTAGGCCACTTAGTTTATGGTATTCTGTTATGGTAGCCCAAGGAGACTAATATAGTGCTCAATAGAATGTGTGTTCTAAATTGTCTTCTCTCTTTCTGGGGATGAATATATTTCATACAGATTGTACTTTCTCATTATGCCCTTTCAGAATCATTTTCAAATGTTTTTATATTTTTTTAAACTTTATTTTCAAAACACTAGACTTACAGAAAAATGGCAAAAATTAGACCCAGAATTCTCATATTTTCTTTATCCAGCCTCCCCTGATGTTAACATCAAACAAAACCATAGTAAAATTATGGAAACCAGAAAATTAACGTTGATATTGATTAATAGCTTGAATAATCTATAGGCTTTTTATTCTAGTGTCACGAATTTTGCAAATAATATTCAGTTGGCAATCTTGTATCCAATGCAAGATCTCATATTATATGTAAATATTAGGTGTCCTTTTTCTCCATTTTCTGACAGTTCCCTACGTTATTTCTGTCTCAAGTACTGGACACGTTTGAAGAATACTGGTCAGCTATTTTGTACAGTGTTTGTCAATTTCAGTTTGTCTGATTCTCAGGATTAGATGGAAGTTTTGCATTTTCGGCAAGAATCCCACAGAAGTGATGTGGTGCCACTCTCAGTGCATCACAGTAGGGAACACATAGTGTTATATGTCTTAGTATTGGTAACGTTAACTGTAATCACTTTGTTAAGGTGATGGCTGGTAAGTATCTCCACTTTATAGGTTACTATTTTCCCTGTGAAACAAATAAGGGCCTTGTGAGAAGATTCTTTACGATTACAAAAAAGTTTGTGTAAAAGTCTACTACTTTTAGCATTGATCAGCAAATCTGTTTACAAGTATTATTAATGTAGTGTTTGCTTAGTGATAATTTTCCACTCCCATTATCCCTTCTACATTAAAATTCTAATTGCAATTCTGTAAAAGTGAACTGTTTCTTCTTTCCATTTATTTATTTATATCAGTATAGTTCTGTGGATATTTATTTTACCCTCTGGGTTATACTTTATTAGATTCATTATTTATTTTGATGCTCAACTTGTGACAGACTTGGCAATTAAGAGCTCCTTCAGTGGGTGCCTGTGTTCGTTGTTCATTCAGCATGCTTCCTTTATGTGTTGCTATAAGATATTCCAGGATCACCTTGTATTTCTCCTGCCTCAGTCCTGTAACCAGTCACTTCTCCAAGGAGCCTTACTTCCTTTTATTGAAGAATGGCATTTAGAAA
Organism: Homo sapiens; assembly: GCF_000001405.40. Classification (NCBI taxonomy): domain Eukaryota; kingdom Metazoa; phylum Chordata; class Mammalia; order Primates; family Hominidae; genus Homo; species Homo sapiens. Next base: position 34,988,306 of record NC_000008.11, read on the forward strand.
CCAAGATCTGGGCACTAAATGTGTTCATTGCTACTAGGGATGTCCTTGCTTTTGGTCCTCTCTTTAGGCAGAGAAAAGGAAATGTGAGCTTAGTTACATACACATAGATATAGCCTTGTCCATTTTCTTACATGTAGCTTCTTTTTCCGACACTCAGAAATCTGAGTCTTAGTCCATAACTACAGTAAAATATCATAAACTGGGTAGCTTGTAAACAACATATTTCCCAGTTCTAGAGACTGAAAAATCCAAGGTCAAGGTGCTGGCAGATTTGGTGTCCGGTGAGGGCCCACTTTCTCATAGACAGTGGCTTTTCACTATGTCCTTACATGGTAGAAGAGACAAGGCAGCCCTCTGGGGCCTCTTGTATTAATATAAGGATCCTAGTTCCATTCATGAGGGAGGGGCCTAATCACCTCCCAAAAGGTCCCATCTCTTAATACCTTCTCCTTCAGGGTTGGAAGTTCAACATATGAATTTGGGGGAGATACAAACATTTAGACCATAGTGTCTGGCTGTCATTACTATATATTTACTTATTTTCTTAATCTTTATTAGGATTAAAATTATATATACATAACTTTATATAATTATATATAATTTTAATTACATATTATATATAATTTTAATTATGTATTTTATATAATTTTATTATATATTTTATATATATAATTTTTAATATATATTATATATATAATTTTTAATATTATATATAAAGATTATTTGAGAATTAATAGCCAAACCTTTATAAAAACCAAAGTTGTTACCTAGAATGCCATATCAGTGTATTGCACTTTGTATTGTTGTTTTTACAAGATGTAATCAAAGCCATGGATTTCTAAAGTCATTTAGGTCAGTTTTTTTTTTTTTTTCACACTTCCTTCAGTGTGATTATTTTATCTGAGTGACTCAAGCATAGTGAGTTCAAGGTTATTTGTTAGAGTTTGAATTCAACTTAGAATTCCTGCAAGATACTGGTTGATTTTAATTATTTACTTATTTGGCAAGCATGTAAAACTTTACCAAAGCTAAACACAAAGGTTTCTTTAAATAAGTGTTATCCCCTCCTCCTCCCTTCTACCTGGTTATGATTCCTCCATTCTTTCCCACCCGCTACTATTAGGTAACCTATCACATTAGGTGCTGGTTTATCCTTCCCCCCATTTCCAAGTATCTATACAAATGAGCAGAAACTTGCGTATTTTCTCAGATCACTTTCTTTCTTATATAAAGAGGAGTTGACTCTAGATAAACTTTTGTACCTAATTTGCAAGTATTTTGATGAGAAAACAGTGTACTCCCCCCACCCATGTAACTGACTATAGCTAATTAAGCTGGAAACTTATTACATGGACTTTGGGGCCAAAAGTACATCAGTTTGAACCTAGGCTCAATCAGGTATCAATTGTGTGATCTAGAGAAAAGTAATATTTCTAAATCTTAGGTTCTTTATCTATAAAAATGGAAATAATGTTAATATCTTTATCATAAGTTTTCTTAAGGAGTACATGAGCATTACATGGAAAGCCTTTAACATAGTACTTGACATTTGGTTAAGTGGTCAAAAAATCTTGGAAGTACTAGTAATACGAAGTATATTAGAACAGTAACTATGACTTTGTAATTAGCTAATTGACTATAGCTAATTCTTTTTCCGTCCTAGTTTATCTCTTAAAATCATGAGGACCACTCAGTAACTTTTATTGCTCATAGATAATTTTCTCCCAGAGAATTAAATAAAAGATGAAACTGATAGCACTATTAATTTAAAAGAAAGTCCTAAACTCTGCCTCACTGAAATTGCAATTAACTGTACATTATACATACACCTTGTTTTATTGAACTTCTCTTTATTGTGTGTTGTTTTTTTGTTTTGTTTGGTTTTGTTTTGTTTTACAAATTGAAGGTTGGTGGCAACCCTCCATCCAGCAAGTCTATTGCTATCCTTTTCCCGGCAGCACGTGCTCAGTTAATTTCTCTGTGTCACATTTTGGTAATTCCTGAAATATGTTAAATTTTACTATTATTATTATGTCTGTCATAGTGATCTGTGAAATGTGATCTTTTATATTACTATTGTCATTGTTTTAGGATGCTACAAACTATGCCCATATAAGACGGCTAACTTAATTAATAAACGCTGTGTGCGTTCTGACTGCTCCGCTGACAGGCCATTTCCCTCTCTCTCCCTCTTTTCAGGCCTCTCCATTCCCTGAAACACGGCAATATTGAAATTAGGCCAATTAATAACTACACAATGACTCTAAGTGTTCAAGAGAAAGGAAGATCCGCATATCTCTCACTTAAAATCAAAAGCTAGAAATGATTAAATTTAGTGAGGAAGGCATGTCAAAACCCAAGATAGCCCAGAAGATAATCCTCTTGTACCAAACAATTAGTGATATTGTGAATGCAAAGAAATAGTTTTTGAAGAAAATTAACATTGCTATCCATTTAACACATAAGAAAAAGAAACCACCTTAATCGCTGATATGGAGAAAATTTTAGTGGTCTAAATCGAAGATCAAACCAGCCACAACATTCCCTTAACCCAAAGCCTAATCCAGAGCAAGGCTCTAACTCTCTTCATTTCCATGAAGGCTGAGAAAAGTAAGAAAGCTGCAGGAAAAAAAGTTTGAAGCTAGCAGAGGATTCATAAACCTGCTTCACGAGGTTTAAGGGAAGAGGCCATTTCCATAATGCAAAGTGCAATGTGAAGCAGCAAGTGCTGATGGAGAAACTGCATTAAGTTATCCGAAAGATCAAACTAAGATATTTGATAGGTGTCTGTTAGGTGTGCTTGGTCCAGAGCTGAGTTCAAGTCCTGAATCTCCTTGTTAATTTTCTGTCTCATTGATCTGTCTAATATTGGCAGTGGGGAGTTGAACAATGAGAACACACGGACACAGGGAGGGGAATATCACACACCGGGGCCTGTCGGGGGGTTGGGGGCTAGGGGAGGGATAGCATTAGGAGAAATACCTAATAAAGATGATGGGTTGATGGGTGCAGCAAACCACCATGGCACGTGTATACCTATGTAACAAACCTACACATTCTGCACATGTATCCAGAACTTAAAGTATAATAAAAAATAAATAAAAAGATATCTGATAAAGGTGGCTACACTAAATAACATTTTCAATGTTGTTGAAAGAACCTTATTTTGGAAGATGCCATCTAAGATTTTCATAGCAAAAGAGACGAGATTAATGCCTAGTTTCAAAGCTTCAAAGGACAGGCTGACAATCTTGTTAGGGTTAATGCAGCCGGTGACCTTAAGATGAAACCAGTGCTAATTTACCATTCTGGAAATCCTAAGGCCCTCAAGAATTATGCTAAATTTACCCTGTCTGTGCTCTATAAATGGAATAACAAAGCTTGAATGACAGCACATCTGTTTACAGCATGGTTTACTAAATATTTCAAGCCCAGTGTTGAGATTTACTGCTCAGAAAAAAAGATTCTTTTCAAAATATTATTGCACATTAACAATGCACCTGGTCATCCAAGAGCTCTGCTGGAGATGTACAAATAGACGCAGCATATGGATCAAGGAGCAACTTTCAAGTCTTATTATTTGAGAAATATGTTTTGTAAGGCTATAGCTGCCATAAATAGTGAGTCCTCTGATGTAATTTGGCAAAGTCTTTGAAAAATCTTCTGGAAAGGATTCACCATTCTAGATGCCATTAAGAGCATTCATGATTCATGGGAGGAGGTCAAAATATCAACATTAACAGAGTTTGAAAGAAATTGATTCCAAGACTCATGGATGAATTTGACTAATTCAAGACTTCAGTGGGGGAAGCAACTGCAGATGTGGTGGAACTAGCAAGAGAACTAGAATTAAAAGTGGAGCCTGAAGATGTGATCAAATTTCTGTAATCTCATGAAAAAATTCACAAAGGTGTAATTGTTTCTTATGAAAGAGCAAAGAAAGTGGTTTGAGGTGGAATCTACTTCTGGTGAAGATGTTGTAAACATTGTTGAAATGACAACAAAGGATTTAGAGTGTTACATCAATTTAGTTGATAAAGCAGTGGTAGTGTTTGAGAGGATTGACTCTAATTTTGAAAGAAGTTCTATGGGTAAAATGCTGTCAAACAACATCACAGGCTACAGAGAAATCTTTCATAAAAGAAAGGGTGAATTAACACATCAAACTTCATTGTTGTCTTATTTTAAGAGATTGCCATAGCCACCCTGAATTAGTCTGTTTTCATGCTGCCGATAAAGACATACCCAAGACTGAGTAATTTATACAGAAACAGAGGCTTAATGGACTCAACAGTTCCACATGGCTGGGGAGGCCTCACAACATGGTGGAAGGCAAAAGACATGTCTTACATGGTGGCAGTCAGGAAAGAATAATTTTGCCAAGCGAAAGCAGAAGCCTCTTATTAAACCATCAGATCTCATGAGACTTATTCACTACCAGGAGAACAGTATGGGGAAAACCACCCCAATGATTCAGTTATCTCCCACTGGGTCTCTCCCACAACACATGGGAATTATGGGAGCTACAATTCAAGATGGTATTTGGGTGGGGACACAGCCAAACCATATCGCACCCCAAATTTTAATTAATTGATTTCAGCAACCACTATCCTCATCAGTCAGTAGCCATCAACATTGAGACAAGACCTTCACCAGCAAAAAGATTATGACTCACTGAAGGCTTGGATTTTTGTTAGCACTTTTTAGCAATAAGATATTTTTAAATTAACGTCTGTACTTTTTTTACATATAATGCTATTGCATACTAATTGACTACATTATAGTATAAACAAAACTTTTATATGCACTGGGAAACCAAACATTTAGTGTGACTTGCTTTATTGTGATATTGTGGTTGTCTATAAATGACCACTGATATCTCTGAGGTATGCCTGTATTTAAAAGTTCAAATATTCTGTTTGTACTAATCTTAATCTCTTTCACTTTTACTACAAGATTCATAGTCTCCTCTGCGTCTACTTCATACATGATTTGTGACAGTGAATTTGTAAAAGACTACATCTTTATGGCTAATCTAACTTTTGTATCAGACAAGTTAATGGTAAAAAAAATGTAGTTTGTTAATTGGTTGCAAGTATGCTGCTGGAGTAATTTTAATAGGTTCTAATATTTAATTATGAATTTAAAGTGGGTGGATTTTTTTCAAACTAATCAGAATTGGTTTCACAAACCCTGTCCTGGCAAAAGTTCAATGTATTAACATTTATTAAATGCCTAATATAGGTAAGACTTATATTAGATGCTGGAAGGAAAACAATGAGAAAGAGAAATCCCTTTATTCAAGGATCACAATCTAGTCAGTTCCCAGAAGTTACTTGAGTTGGTGGAAAGCCATATGAAAACTGAGCTTCACAGCTGGAATCTTTGATCTAGCCAGGTCCTAAAAGCCAATGTCCTATCTGTGAAGCTATTGGAGGGCTTTGAGCAGATGAATTGGATGCCTGGTTCGTAGTTTAGAAGGATCTCTCTGTGCTGAGAATAGGCTAGAAGGGCATGTGGGTGAAAGCAAGAAAATCAAGTAAAAAAAAAACAGGCAATGGATAATGGATTCTTGGATGAGAAAGGAAGCAATTAAGTGTTTCAGTGGTGGTTTTCTTGAAGTATTTTGATTGTAGAAACTACAGAAAACATGGTATGGGGTGTGGAAAAAAGAAAGGAGTTAAGGGTAAGCCCAACATTTAGACCTCGGTTTTCCTGAAAATCAAGCTTGAATTATTTATTATCTCTTAAGGGTCCCAATATGAAGGTCATACTCTTCCTTATGAGAAAGCTTTACTCCATTTCCTAAGGTGAATAACAGAATTAATCTAAAATTAAAGCATAGAGAAATGCATGATGTTTCAAAGGGATGGAAGCCCATCACCTGCACTGCTTTGGGCATAACCTTGCTAGGGAGATGGAGGAATTTGTATTCTTACTCACTTGCATAGAATAGAGGCATCCAGAGCTATAGGGACATTTTCTGATCTTCAGCAATGGGAGAAAAAGCTGAGGCTAGTCCAGTCTTGTCCAACACAAACCTGAATCAGTGTGGTTCACCTCCACATGCTGTAATCTGACCCACATCCTGTGTCTTCTGCAGGGTCAGAAATATGTTTTATCCTATACCACTTTAGGAATTTATTTTTTTGGACTACATAGCTTGGGATTTATTGGCAGCTTAGGAGCACACTATGCTTGAAATTGCAGGGCCTTTACTAGAAATTGAGCTTGGGTCCACTGTTGTTAAGGTTAGAGCATGTTCCTTAATTACAGAGCAGGACAGGACATTTTGCTGCCCAGATAATCCTCTAGGAGTTTAGAAAAATCAGATGTTTCTTTGCTATCAGACATATAATGTTCTGTCTTATTTCTGGATGTGAAGTTTTTCTGTACTCTTTCAATTTATGAAGGCCATGGTGGATTTATTTATTGTTAGGATTTGTCTATTTTTTTTTCTTCTGAAACATTGTGTTTTTCTTTTCCCTCTGCGATGTGTTAGGTTGCCTACATCTATCTAGTTTCTTAGAAAAATATTAAGACTGACTTGAGGAAATAAATTTGTGTTGGGCAGACCCCTCCTGCTCTGCCATATGCATTTTAAATAACCCAGAGGAATTATCTGTATTAATAAAAATGAATTATTAATAATGTCTTATAATTTAATAGTTGAGGGCTGATTTCTTAAGTTTATTTTTAGAAAAAGGTTCCACTTAGAAGTATAATGGACACATTTAGATATACTAATCTTGGTTTCAAATCCTACTTTTGGGGAAAGCAGCTCCAGTTGCAAATCGCACTGCAAAAGCCAAGGAGGAAGCAATAGATTCAAAGGAGAAGTGGTCTAGGGATCTAATGAGACACTTGGGCTTTATTACCAGAAGCAGAGAGCAACCCTAACTCTTATTCCGGGGAGTTCTGGCAACACACACAGCTGTTGTAAACCCAATGAGCTTGTCAGGGTCTGGTGCCTCTTTACACATGGGCTCCATTTGTTCATTAAAGCTGGCAAGTAATGGGAGGTAAGCAGTGCTCCCATGAGGATTGGGGGATGGATTCACTAGAGGCCGTGTCCACTACTGCTTCCCAGGCATGATTTAGCCAGCTCAATACAGTCGAATACAGTGGGGTCAGGCAAGAACCCTGGAAAGAGCATGAGAGTTAGGATGTGGAAATATAAACTAAATGGTATGACAAGTGGCAAGCACATCAGGCTTCTGAGAATCAATTTTCTTATCTGGAAAAAGCTAATAAGGGGATTTGAATAGGTAAATTTTGAAGCAGCTTGCAAATTTGAGATTTTTAAAATATTGTTTTCCTTCAGGAGGCCACCAATATTTTTAATGACTTTTTAGAATTTTTTTTCAACTTTTATTTTAGATACGGGGGTATCTGTGCAGGTTTATTATATGGGTATCTTGCACCCAAGTAGTGAGCATAGTACCCAATAGGTAGTTTTTCCCTCCATGCCCCCATCCCTCATTCCCTTCAAGTAGTCTTCAGTGTCTATTTTTCCTACGTTTATGTCCACGTGTGCTCAGTTTTTAGCTTCCACTTGCAAGCGAAAACATGTGGTATTTGGTTTTCTGTTCTTGCATTAATTTGCTTAGGACGATGGCCTCCAGCTCTGTCCATGTTACTGCAAAGGACATGATTTCATTCATTTTTCTGGATGCATAGTATTCCATGGTGTATATGTAACACATTTCCTTTAGCCAATCCAGCATTGATGGCCATGTAGGTTGATTCCATGTCTTTGCTATTATGAATAGCATGGCCATGAACATATAAATGCATGTAAATTTACGTTATACATTTTCCATATAATGACCTATTTTCCTTTGGGTATATATCCAGTATTGTGGTTCCTGGGTCAAATCGTAGCTCTGTTTTAAGTTCTTTGAGATATCTCCAAACTGCTTTCCACAGTGGCTGTACTAATTTATACATTGCCATCAACAGTAGATAAATGTTCCCTTTTCTCCACAGCCTCACCAGCATCTGTTTTTTGGTGTGAGATGGTATCTCATTGTGGCTTTGATTTGCATTTCTCTGATGATTGTGATGGTGAGCATTTTTTTCGTATATTTGTTGGCTGCTCATATGCCTTCTTTTGATAAGTAACTGTTCATGTCCTCTGCCCATTTCTTTATGGGGTTATTTGGTTTTGGCCTGTTGATTTGTTTAAGTTCCTTGTAGATTCTGGATATTAGACCTTTTTCAGATGCATAGTTTGAAAATATTTTCTCCAATTCTGTAGGTTGTTAAATGGCTTTTTTGATAGTAAAAAAAAAAAGTGGCTATTCATAGACCAATGATAATACACACAACTGTGGCCACGTTCTTCCTTCCGTGTCAAATGAGGAAGATATTGGAATGTGTTTGAATGTGTTCAGGACCAATATCAGTCCTCTAGCTACCTACCACACTTGACCTAGGATGTGGTTAATGGCTGCCAGGGATCCAGCTCTCCTGTACTTACAGCAAAAGGTTGCTTAAATCTGATGGATTTATATTTGACCCAGGAGCAAATGATTTTTAACTCTAGGCTCTAATAATTTAAAACAAGCTCTGAATTGAAAATTACTTGGGATAACATAAAAGTGGGTAGCTAGAATATATCTGTGAATCTTCTTCTGGGAAGAAGAAAATAATGAGAAAAAAAAAAGTTTACCTCAAATCACATCATTTAAGAACAGAAATCCCAGATATAGGAGCCCTTTTTATCCTAAAAGATGCTTTTTGTAATTTTATTCCTGAGACTTTGTGGGGTTTGTAATAGTTTCATAATCATTTGGGACCCCTACCGTCAACTAATCCCAGTTATCACTGGGGTTCACCTATTGATGCTAAGAAAGCCAAGGTGCTATGTATGTTATTGAACATCTAACCACACAGTAGGCATTGCCCTGGTTCTTCCACATAATTACTCCAGTGGTAACTATGTGCCAGGCACTGTGTGCTGTAATAATAACAGCAAACGCACATGTGGTACTTTCTATGTGCAAGTATAATAAGTGCTTTACATATTATATACATATACATACATATTTTAACCCTCACAACAGCACTGTAAGGAAGACACCATTATTATCACCCCTTACAAATGAGAAAACTAAGACACAAAATAACTTTCCCAAGGTCACACAACTAATGAGTGATTGTGCTAAGTTTTAAAACTAGTAGCTAGTACTGTAGTCCCTGCCTTTTACTATGCAAAGAGCTCAAGCATTAGTTTCTTCAATCCTTATAGCGTGTCATTTAGCAGGAATTATTGTTCTTGTTTTAACAGAAAGAAACAGAGAAAGAGAGAGGTTAAGTAATTTGACTGAGGCTACAAATATAGTCAGTGGTTTAGCAATGTCTATAAGGTGCATGATTTTTTTTTACTATGGCATTAAAAAAAATCATATGTGTTTGCTTTTGAATTTGTTTTGGTCCCTGAAGCTTGATGGCTATAATTTGAGAGTATATGTTCCTAGACAGAATTTCAAAGAGGGGGATAAACGAAAGTTATAAAGTTCTAAGCCTAAAAGACATGGCCAAAAACAGAAAAATCTGGCCAAAAACAAAAAAAAAGGTCATCATAATACTTAAACTCACAGCCCAAAGCCAGGCACAGTGGCTCACACCTGTAAACCCAATGCATTGGGAGGCCAAGGCAGGAGGATCATTTGAGACCAGGACTTTGATATCAGCCTGGACAACATAGTGAGACTCCATCTCTACAAAAAAATTTTAAAATTAGCCAGGAAGCTAAAATGGAAGAATAGCTTCAGCCTGGGTGTTACAGATTGCAACGAGCTATGATCTAACTACTGTACTCCAGCCTGAGCAACAGAGGGAGACCCTACCTCTAAAATCAAAAATAAAATAACAGGTCAGGTCCAAAAGTTAAAACTTTGAATATGAACTCGGCTCCAACACTTATGAGTATGGAATCTGTTCTGCATTCCTTCCACTATCTGAATTCTACAGATACATGAGTACTGGGCAGGTTAGCAATTCTGGAACCCAGAATATGGAGACCCAATTACAGGAATCAGAGGATAACATGAGGATTTTGTCTGAAGTCCTTTTGAGAAGACCTGGCCTTTTGGGATCAGTAAAAAAGAAAGAGTAGATAAGAGTTAACATCTGTTTGATGCTCAACTGAGTCACCTCAATTTCTCACTAGGGCTTCCTAAAACCATTCCTGACTTTGAGCACATTTGAATTGAGGGGGTCACAGTGAGTGACACTTGGTGTGAGAATTTCAGGGCCCAATTTTGAGAAGAGGGAGAGAGGACAGAACACTAGTTACATATCAGATCCTGCCATAACAAAGAGGAAAAGTGGTGAGGTTGGTTTTTAAGTGGTGATTAGTTAACCCTTATCTTTATGGGTCATTTATCTGTTTACTAATACTTTTACTTTCCCAGATAGAAAACTGGGGCTGGTGAAGAACTACCTGCCTTTCTCTCTGGAAACAAGTAATCACCAAAATTGGCATTGCCTTGTAAATTCCTTCTCATGTTAATTCATCATACTGAGACCCACCAAACAGTTGGCTATTCATACATTGTCTCCCAGAGATGTATTTTTCTATCCCTATAACCAGATTAGGGAAGGTCTAGGTTAATAATAGAATATTGCATTACATATACACAATGGAATACTATGCAGTCATAAAAAAGGATGAGTTCATGTCCTTTGCAGGGACATGGATGAAGCTGGAAACCATCATTCTCAGCAAACTATCCAAGAAAAGAAAACCAAACACCTCATGTTCTCACTCATAAGAGGGAGTTGAACAATGAGAACACATGGACATAGGGAAGGGAACATCACACACTGGGGCCTGTCAGAGGGTGGGGGCTAGGGGAGGGACAACATTAGGAGAAATACCTAATGTAGGTGTTGAGTTGATGGGTGCAGCAAACCACCATGGCACATGTATACCTATGTAACAAAACTGCACGTGCTGCACATGTACCCCAGAACATAAAGTATATTAATTTAAAAAAAAGAAAAAAAGACAAATAAAAATGGATTAAAGACAAAAAATAGAATACTGCATTAATCAAGGGCTCTGCTCATAGTAATATCACGATGATCATTTATTCTTTAGTTTAATTAGGATCTTCAACTCGCTGAGAGTTTCATGTAAACATTGGTGAAAGATAGGTCAGCACCACCAGAAAAGAAAAAGCTAAATTATCTTATCATTATGAAATGTGAAAATATATCTCAATGACCAGCAAGTAACAACTGTAGTTGAACAAATAAATCTGCGTTTACACAAATTGGTAATGTTGAAAGGCAAATACAGAGAATGGGCTTGTCGCGACTCAAGGTGACTAACTTGCTTACCAACGTCAAGGCAGAGAATGATTAGTTTTCTCCTTTCCTAACTTCCCTAACCTGACTAAGGCCTGATTGTCAAATGTGATATGTCCAAGATGTGCCACAGTGAAGAAAAAAACTAACTCCACCACCACCACCTGCGACCCCCCGGTGCCCCCGTCGCCTTACTTCTACTCTTCTCTGAAGTTTGAGAGTTACCCATTCCAAATATTTAGCAGGAAACAGAAATGATACACTGGCCGTCTTGGGGCACTGAGGCACATCCAGACACAGAGGTACACCGCGACCATCTCTCAACTTGCATAACATGACGATCAAAATGCTCAGAAATAAAGTGACTCAGGCTGCTCTAGAGTGTTTACTGGGAACAGAGACCCACTCGACATGAGAGCAACTTGAATGAACATAATAGAAGTCACAAAGTAATTAAATTCTTCCACATCACATGTAAGTATAATGTGTTAATAAAAAAGTAATCGCACCTCCATTGTTTCTGCAGTTTCAGCTTAATTACATGGCAGTTAGAACTCTCTCTCTCTCATTCATACTCAGCAAGGACTCCCTTTACCATCTGCTGATAGTTAATTAATATACATTAAACGCCCTGCTCTATTATTAAATGTAATTTAACAACTTCCTCTGTACTTTAAATTCAGGGCAACGTGAATGGGAGACATAATGAAGGAAAACAGAGTCTATTCTCCTTATTAAAATATTACATACACATTTATCCACACATTACTTCATTTAATCCAATTTTGTTAAGATATTTTTCACCTCTTAAACATGGCATGACTATTGGAAGCTTCGAGAGTTCACAGTTTACTTCGAGCCAAGAAAAAAATTTTCTTGCTTAGCAGAATAATCTGATTTGAAAATAGTCCCCTTTTTAACCCTTTTTCAAAAGCCTGGGAATTTGAAGAATCAGTAGGTGATTAGAAAGAAAACAGTGTGGGTTTTTTTCTTATTTAACATTTTCAATAAATGTTTAACACTAAAATGTTATAATGTATGGATGTCAGAGGTGAAAGAGAATAATAATAGGTTTAGAGAAAAGAGTTGTCCTTGTTACGGAAATTCAGATGATGTCAAAGTTTCCAGCTTAACTTTACTTAACTTTCCAAACCAGAGTACTAACCCTGCAAGTTTCTGAATTTGTGAGTGCAAACACAGACTCAGATCAGCATTGTCATGCTCCAGGTTATTTAGCTGGTTACCGCATGGCAAAAACAAGAACCCAAGCCAATGATCTAAGAACAGAGGAGATAGGAAAATGGTTCCCTGCCCCAGGTGCAGACAGCAAGGAAGTAGAGCATTGTCTAAAGAGAAATTAAAAACAATTATAAAACCAATTAAACGTCAGTCTGCTTTTTATTAGCACCAGGCAGTGGCAATTTCCATGATAAAATACTTCTTCCCAAGGGACAGACTGGGCCTCCCAAGTCCCCCTTACTTCCCATTGATATGGTACTGCCTAGAGCTCCTGACTCAACCATTCAATCCCAATTTACAACACCTTGCCATCTAATTTCACCTCACTTTCTAAAAAATGATTTATAGTAGAAATGTTTCAAATAAGGCGTCTTCGTGTAGGTAAAAATCTATTTTTAGTGTATCTGAGTTAACCCAAAAAATGCAGATACCAGATTCTGCTTTGAGGAATCCTGGCATGAGTCTACTCTCTGAAAATATAACTCTTAAAGAACCTCTATCTCTACTAAGTTATTAAGAGGTAGGAAGGAAGAAGTGTCTCAGAAATCCATTGCTCTGAACTCTGCATTCCTAAAAATTCAAAAACTTTCTTTCACGGTAGCAACATAAAACATCCATTTTTGAACTTAATACATGCTGAAATGTGAGTTCTGGGCATTTCCCCTGGATCCCAGGTCTGCGCTCTCTAAAATTGGCAGACTTTGGTGTTTAAAAATGAAGTAGGCCAGGCACAGTGGCTCACACCTGTAATCCCAGTGCTTTGGGAGGCCAAGGTGAGGGGATTGCTTGTGCCCAAGAGTTCCAGACCAGCCTGGGCAACACAGCATGACTCTGTTGCTACAAAAAATAAAATAGTCAGGCATGGTACACAAATAGTCCCAGCTACTCAGGAGGCTGAGGCAGGAGGATCACTTGAGCCTGGGAGGTGAAGGCTGTAGTGAGCTATGATTGCACCACTGTACCCTAGCTGGGGCAACAGAGTGAGACCCTGTCTCAAAAAACAAAAACAAACAGACAAAAAATGAGGTCATGAGGGAATCTAAGAAAACACTGAAAACGTCTTCCAAAGTTTCCTGTGTGAACTAGGCCTTTTCTATAAGGGACCTAAGTTTTCTCAGAAAGGGGTATTAACAAAATGTAATGAAGAAGACCAGAGAATAATTTCTAGTCATGGAATTATAGAATGGGATTGCTGGATGAACCTAGATATGCTTTCCTGTGGTTCCGTCATATCAAAATGAGGAAATTGAGAATTATGGGTGGTTAAGTCTTTTTGTTTGTTTGTTGCCTTCTCCTTTATACTTTTCCTTCTTTTTAAAAAAATTTTACTTTAAATTCTGGGATACATGAGTGGAATGTGCAGGTTTGTTACATAGATATACATGTGTCATGGTGGCATACTTTTCCCTCTTTATGCAGCACATAGGAGAGTGGGTGTAATCTTAGGAGCAATAGGAGTATGCAGAGTCAATGGAAAGTTCATTCTCATATTTAACAGTTGATAAGCTGTGGATCTGAAGTAGGACTCAGGTCTTGCAACCCCAGTGCCCTCTCAATGACAGTATGTTAGACTATTACATTCCTGAGTTAAGTATTTGTTGTGTTCTCCTCTCTGTCCAAAACACCCAAATTAACCATCCTTTCCCCACCCACTTCCACTTGCTGAGACTGCTTCAAACACGGGTAGATATATATTTAGTGCTTAGTATGTGCTGGGCACTTTGCTAATTTAGGGGGATATAGTATTGAACATGATTTGTAATGTGGTAGGGAAGAAAGACATTAAACTAGAAATTACAATTCAAGTACAGTGTGTGATGTGACGTGGGTGTGAAGTACAGGTGCTCTGAGAACACGTAGACCATAAGATCTAGTTAGCTCTCAGGTCAAAGAATGTCTGGCCAAGAAAAAGATATTTAAGCTGAGCCCTAAAGGATCAGTAGAAGTTAGTCAAGATAAGAGAGTTCAGAAAAGAAGAAACACTTACACGAAAGCGCTGCAGCCAAATTATGTGATCTGTTCAAAGGACAAGGAAGAACAATTGGATGCTGTTGCTGGAATGCACAAAAGAGGGAGTGATGGCCTAGATGGGTTTGGTGACTGTGAGAATAAAAAGCGTTCATCTGTGGAAGCAACAATGATATGTGGGCATTGCTATCGTGCAGTGGGTAATGCAGTGGACAAGGAAAACCCTTGGTGTTGTCTAGGTCATGGAAGTCTAGTTCTGTATGTCTTAGTCCCAGCCATTCTCCTTGACGCATGCAATGTTCCCTACAACGCCTATGTTAAGGTTTGTTGTTTTCATGTTGAGTTCACAAGGTACTCAGGCTAGTATTCTTATTTATTTACTTATTTCTTTATTCATTTTTTGAGACAAAGTCTCACTCTGTCGCCCAGACTGGAGTGCAGTGGCACGATCTCTGCTCACTGTAACCTCTGCCTCCCTGGTTCAAGCGATTCTCCTGCCCCTGCCTCCCGAGTAACTGGGATTATAGGAATCCTGCAACCACGCCCAGCTAATTTTTGTATTTTTAGTACAGACGGGGTTTCACCACGTTGGCCAGGCTGGTCTCGAACTCCTGGCCTCAAGTGATCCACCACATCGGCCTCTCAAAGTGCTGGGATTACAGGCATGAGCTACTGCACTCAGCGTAGTATTCTTCTTTATACCCCTAGTACTTTGCTCAGTGCCCTTCCTGTAAATAACTCTAAGGTAATGTTTATTAAAGTGAAATTATTTTATCAGAATTCCTGTTCTATCAGGTGTTACAGAAAAAGTTAATTGGGATTAAATTATTCATTTAAAGTCACACACCAAAACAGAAATATTCCTCATTTTCACTTCTGAGATTCTCTCCAAGGTTCAAACAGGATCTATCTGTCTACTTCAGGGAAGGTTAAAGGTTCAACTTCATCCTCTCAGGGACTATCTTTCCAGAAACCCTCATCTCCCTTCTCCCCAGCAAAATCAAAATCCCTTTAGGATAAGTAATTTAAAAGTTATGAATGCCTGAAGTCTCAGTTGCCTCTGTAAAGATGGGAAGGAGAAAATGTTCTCCTCATCACTGTGGCTAAAGCAAACTGTCATTCATTGCTGACAAAAGAGCCAGGGAAAGCTATTGTTGAGATCAGCCTCTTCCTCCACTATTGCTGACTGCTTCATAGGAAATGATCAGTGAACTTTATGTCCTTTACAGCCAACTCATTTTCAAAAGACATGCAAGTGCACAGCCAAGGTATCACTATCATTTCGGAGTTTGTGGTTTTTTTGTTTGTTTGCTTGCTTTTAATTCAATTATTTCTTAGAGAGAAAAAAAAGAAGGTCTGGAGAAATATAAAGGGAAAGAAACACCCAGTAGAAATATTTAACTGTAATTTCTGATACTAGATAACATCTCTGGGCTGCCTTCTTCTGTGCTTGATTTTACAAGTGTGAAATTGAATGCATTCACTCTGCCATCCTCAGAGGCCATCAGCAGTTTCACCCTGCTGGCTGCACAGCGCCACGTGTCCAGAACAGAAAGGACAAGACACTGGTATGGTCCACCCCACGATGCTCTCACTGTGATGATGCAATGGTTTTCTTTTTTCTTTTCTTTTTTTTTTTTTCAGGCTGGGTATAGCTATTTTTTTTTACCATTTGTTTTTCTACCTGCACATGTCTGACATCTAAAGAATAAAAACCCTGCTAACTTCTAAAATTAACATTCTTTCTTGCTTTAGTTGTATTTCTTATCTCTTTTACAGTAGCAATCAAACTTTTTTGAATACAACCCAGAGTAGGAAACACACTTTACATTCTAACCCTATAAATAAACAATATATTTTCTGTACTTACACATATATAACTCTGACAAATAGTTCACAAAACAATACTTTACCATATAGTGAGATACTTTCAATTTTCTTTTCTATTCCTTTTCCTTTTTTTGTTCTCTTTCTCTTTTGTCTTTGCTTCTTTCTTTCCATTCTTTTTTTGATTTTATTGTGTGGCAGGACCAACTAATAGGTAACTCTTGTCAGTTTGAGAAACACTGCCTTATGCCACATTAGCAAATATTATTCACAATGTGAATAATATTTACATTAGCAAATATTATTCCTGGATATCCATTTTATAGCTGAAACTGATTATCTATTCAATAAAGAAAATGAACCTTGGCCTCATTTTGGGCTGTTGCCTAATGACTGATAGAATACAATTCTGTGGCCAAGAGACTAACACAGTTTTTTAGACCAGCCAAGAGTATGGGGCATAAAACAGGCAAAAGTGTTTATACAAAATGCTAGTTAGGTCACACTTGGACTAGTGTGTATAATTCTGGTTAAATTACTTCAAGAAAAAGATAATGAAACTGGAGTGATTCCTGGGAAGACAAAATGACTGGGTTGAAGTCAGCTTAGCTACCAGTCAAAGGAGAAGTGTGGGAAGAGAGGCTTCCCAGGAAAGACTTCAGTTCCCAACCCACCTGCCCTATGGCATCATCACATTTTGTCTCTGCGTCCAACAGGGAGTCTGGGGTTCTTTTAATTGGACTTTTTTAGATTAATATCAAAGTGTTTGTTTGGAAATCAGTGAGTTTTCTTTATTTTTGGATTGAAACAGCATGAAAGCATCTATGTCTTCCACTAGGTGTTTCTCTGAGCCTCAAGAAATGGCTTCTCAATATTGTCTAGAGAATGGTGCCCTCAGCATGTTGTGATAGTGTTATGAGTGAAACTGCCTCACGGAGAGGTTCATTTCATACTTTATTAATTAAACACCGTTAGATATCTTGGGATGAAGGCAAAGACAGATCTATTCTTTAGACACGCAACTTTCCAGCCAAAAGCAATTTTAGAAATCCTGCAATCCTCCCTCATCATAACCCTTTCATCTTGTATGACTTGATCAAGGGTACAGAAGAAATTAGGTCAATATTAGTACACAAGTTTAATTTTCCTGATTCCTAAATCAGTTGGTTTTAAAATTTTTTAACATTGTGTTCATTTCTTATTAAACCACTACATCTTATCCCTTAAATGTGATCAGAGAATTATTTAAGGGGAATACTGCTTTAATTTAAGCTGTAGCTGGGGAGGGGAAACAAATCACTCCCCCTACCGAGAGTTTGTTTCCACTTCTTTGTCTTTTCCTATTTTTTAAATCCAATCTCTACAACCAAACACAAGCAAATGCAACACCCTGAGTGTCAGCAAGTCCCCATGACCACTGTCATGCACAGGCCAGCCGGGGTAAAGGAGGAAAAGATTATATCTGAGATCTCTTTGTCACCTACCATCAACAGAATAATTCTGGGCTTGAGCAAATATTTGTGTCAAGGTAATTGTCTGGAGAATTTATTAATTGCACTAGTTAATCAATAATTATCAGATCATACCCAGATGTTCTCTTCTTCTTTTTTTTCCCCACTGGTACACATAATATAGCAACAAATTTTCCATTTAATACTCCAATAGATTTGCCTTATCTTGTGTTTCACTGGGAATTTATTTAACCAAGACTTCACTGATATGAGCAGTTGTTTAAATTGAAAAATTGCAATGCTTTCCCCAACAACCTTGATACAAGTCTTATCTGTGTGTGGAAGTGACAAAAACATATCTTTTTGTTGAGACAGTGCTGGGATTAGCTAAGCGACATAAAGGTGTTATTTTATATCTAGGGCTAGAAATAAAGAAAAGTCTTTGTCCTTTCTTTGGGTTCACCTGGTTATCCTCACAAACCTGATGTGAGCCAATGACTCCGTCACCCCCTGGGGAACTGTCTCAGCAGCCTGAAGGGGGAGGTCATTGCATTTACGTAGAAAAGGGTGTGGATTCTTGACATTTAGATTTACTAAGGGATGGGAGGATGGGATCTGGAGAATGTCTATCTAGCCTTCATAAGTATTAATTATTTGTTGAATCAGCTAAACATTTTTATAGGGACATCTCCAATGTACCAATAGACTCTAATAGTCTAAGAGACTCTTTCATGATGGCCATAGTTAAGCATCAAAATAATGAAGTTATATATTCAGAAGAGCTACTCCTGCTCAAACATACAGCCATTTTAAGCACTGAGATTATTATATGAAATAAATACACTTTAGACCCAAACATAGCACATAGAAGGATATTTGTTCTTAAGCATGAAACAATTGTTTTAGTTTAAGGAAATACCTGACATGACATGGTGCATTGAGTTTCTTTTCATTTTCCTTTATAATTTTCTTTATTACATGTAAAGGTAGAAATGGCAGGGAACCATAGCATAGAAGGAAGGAAGAATGACTGTGTATGTGTGTGTGTATGTGTGTGTGTGTGCGTGTGCATGTGTGTGAGAGGAGAAAGGGTGAGAGATCAGAGAGAGTGAGTGATGGTATAGCTGGATATTAAGGGTATAAATGGCCAGATTACTAGACCATAGGATGTCTAGAGTTAGATGAGAAATGTTCCTCAGAGAATCACAGCTGGTTTACAGGAGTGACACTTGCTGATATATGCACCAGAAGCTTACCATTTCCAGATAAATCATTTCACAGCAATGATTCCCTAGGTGAGATAGCAAGAGCAGATTACTAGTATTAAATAAAAAAAAGAACCAGGAAAAGATCATATGATATATTTTAGGGTCTTACACAGTCTCTCAATTTTGTAAAGATACGAAATAAAAATAAGAAATAAAAATTGTTTCATCTCTCTGACTGAGGAAGAGGTGGGACCAAACACAGTTTGCTGTATTCTCATGCACGGTTCCTGGGCTGGCAATAACAAATTCATCATTATGAGGCACTTTAAGATATCTTAAATCTGTATGCAACCACACACACACACACACACACACACACACACACACACACACACAGAGTATTGTTTTGTAGCACTCCTTTTCAGCAGGCAAATCATCCCCCAGGGGTTTGGCTCACTTATTTATTTCTACATACATAAATGAAATTTGTCTTTGCGAAAGAGAATGTAGTCACCGGCCTTTACAGGGAGTGAGAAGCAACACTGCAACCCTCACTTCCTAATCATGCACTCCTCAGCCAGTCCTCAGCCACAAGACATTGGTAAAACATTAGCTGTCAGGGAATAAAATTTTTAAAAGTCAGGAAAGAGAACAACACTAGCTAACAATACCCAGCCCCTTTTCATGAAGCTAAGGAATCCAAGAAGCTAAGGCTCCTTGTGGTGGCAGAATAAAATGCTTCCGAGCTTCTGAACCCTACCTTTGCTAAATTTTCTTCAATTTGCCTGATAGGATTCAATGCATAGCCTGTCAGCATAACATTGTCTTTCTGATATCTGGAGACAAGTTTAAGCTCCTTTGAAGGGATCAGTATTGAAGAGGTAAGTCTTGACTCAGACTTACAGAATGAGGGCAAGAATGTTCCACACATTTCCCCAGGGCTCAGGACTCAAGCAGATGCAGGTATGACACTCTCAACTCTGGAGAAGCTCACAATCCTCATAACAGGGCAAACATTTTAGAGTGAAACAACCACATTAATCAAACATGTACCGTTTGTTCTACTTGTACTATCTTTAGTTCATGTAAGATTTTCTGTAGTTAATACGCTACCCATTTTGCAAATGGCTAAACTGAGGCTTAGAGAGGTTAATTTATTTTCTCAGGGTCACCTAGCTTGTGGATAATGACAGAGTCAGAATTGGGTCACTGGTCTAATTGATGCTCAACCTTTGCCACAACTTCACCAAGACTCTCAAGGGTCAAGCTTGAGAGAGGAGAGCTCTTTTCATCCAAAATCACTTGGAAATAGTTTTCATCTGATACTCATGTCCTGACTCAATATGAGAAAGTCTGCTGAGTGTTATGGGGGTATAAAAAACCACCCATACAAACACAGTATTATGGAGGAGAGAAAAACAGACACAAGTACAAAGACATTGTAATGAGTACATAGTAAATACATACATGCACAGAGAGGGACAATAAAGAAACAGGAAAGAAATAGATTAACTCTGCTTTGGATGATTAAAGACACTCATGAAGAAGGTGGAAGTTAGTTATGCTTTCAGAGACAACTGCACAGATACAGGAAATGAAAACATTTCAGCTTAAATGGAATAGTGAGATAAGCTCTGAGTGAAAGTGTAGGGCAAGGTCTGGGAGGTTCATGATTTAGCAGGATTCAAGAGCACTTAGGTGTTAAAGTAGACTTCAAAACACAAGTTAGGAAATTTAAGCATATATAAAGCGGATATGTGAAGTATTCTAAAGATGAAAGTGTAATTGTTTTGCAAATTATGAAGGTTACTCTGGTCCCAGCATGCAGAAAATGGAACTTAATGGACTTTAGGCTCTGGGGGAAGTATGTAGAGTCTAATAGAAATAATAATAATAATATCTGGAAAAAAAAAACCTCTGGCTGAAACCGCTGAAATTTGAAAAGAGAGTCTGAGAGTCTTACTAATGTGCCTGACCCTACATACTAATAAATAGTGATCCCCAGATAGCACCAAGTCAATTAGCATTGCCTTCTGGGAACCCACTCCCTGCACTAAAAATGACTTACTTGTTTTCTGAGGAGTGAATTGAATGCATCTCCTCTAGAAAGTAAACAATAAACACTGTTTTCACCAACCAAGCTTTGGATAAGCTTTAAGGGCAGTGAATTTAAGGCCGTGGACATCCTGACAAGTATCTGGAGAGTAGTTAAGTATGGAGCCTTATCTCTTACCTGCTAGCTGAGGTAAGCTTTGGGCTCATATCCTCTCACGAAAGTTGAGAATCTGGAAAAGACACATCTATGCACTTAAGCCCACTCTCTCTCTGAGATTGCCTAAATACACCTGGCAAAAAGGCCAAGATTCTTTTGACAAAACAGCTTTCATTTGCTACAGTCAAGTATCAACAAATTGTACATTGCCTTCAAATCTTATAAGTACTATTATTTAGATATGAAAATATTTAAAGCAGACAAACCTAAACTCTATATACCATTATCTTTGTCGGTAATGCTCCCAAGAACTCAGAAGTAGATTTACTGTGAAGCTAATGAGGTTTAAGTTTCAGCATCCCTGATTTCTGGGCTCCTTCTGAGATTCTAGGAAGGATTCTAGAAACTTGTGAAGTATGGTATGTGTTGGCTTTTTGAGTTGTAATTTGTTATTTTTTCTCATCTATATAAACATTCGCATTTAAAACTGATTTTTAATTCTGTTTTATAAAGCAGGTCTCCCCAAATTCTATAAGTAGCCTCTGCATAGCTTTCTACCTTGGGCCATATAACTTTATTATTCCTCAAGATACATTGGTTGAAAACCCCATATAAAACCTAACTTACTAAATAAATTAACTCACTAAATATGATTATTGATTTTCAGTCACTTAAATATCAGGCATTGTATACAGTCATTAAATTGGCTCTGCAATAGTTGTTTTGCAGCCACTCATGTTGTTAGTTGACGAAGGAGCCTATTGTCTATTAAGGTCAATCCTTGTTCCTTACAAAAATCTATGTAATATGTATAAAAGAGAAGTCATTGGCCAGGCGTAGCAGCTCATGCCTGTAATCCCAGCACTTTGGGAGGCTGAGGCAGGTGGATCACGAGGTCAGGAGTTCGAGACCAGCCTGACCAACATGGTGAGACCTCGTCTCTACTAAAAATACAAAAATTAGCTGGGCATGGTAGCATGCACCTGTAATCCCAGCTACTCAGGAGGCTGAGACAGGAGAATTACTTGAACATGGTAGGCAGAGGTTGCAGGGAGCCAAGATAGCACCATTGCACTCCAACCTGGGTGACAGAGTGAGACTCCATCTCAAAACAAAAAAAAAAAAAAAGAGAGAAGTCTTCATCTTTCAGCTCTCTATGGCAAATGGCACATATGCATTTTATACAAGAATGATTTCAAGGTATTAAGGAATAAGTTAAAGAATAAAAGTGTAGAACAGATCTTCATTTTTTAAAATTTTATTTTTAATTTCTGTGGGTAAATAGTAGGTATATATATTTATGGGTTACCTGCAATGCACAATAATCTCCATTTTGAAATGCTAAAAATTGAAATTGTCCAAAATAACTTCTTTTGTATTATCATGGCTTTCTGTGAACAATAATAACTCAGTAACTAGGGATTATCTTGGCTCCAACAGTTTACCTGGCAACTAATCCATGTCCACAGAGTCAAAATAAGTGGAAAGGTCAAAAAACAGCTGTTAAAATAAATTTGGCCTTAGGATTCCTACATACTTCGAGTCCTTATGTAACAAACTACAACCTAACTTAGTATTTAAAATAAGTGAAAGCCTAATGTAAGAGTACACTTTTGTAATAAATATCTGAGTCAGCCAATTACAATAGCCGTGTTTTAGTTAATCACAGGCACCAATTGATCAGACCATGTTCAAATGAGGCAAACACCAAGCTGTAGCCCATCCAGCTGCTCCTGTATCTCACTTTTGTTTTCTGTCCATAAATATTGCTTGTCCACATTGTAGAGCAGAGCTCTCTGAACCTCTGTTGGTTCAACTTGTGAATCATTCTTTGCTCAATTACACCCTGTTAAATTCCATTTATTTAAAGTTTGTATTTTAACACAGTCATAACCTTGTATTTTTGTAGCTGGTTTTTACCCATGGTGATAAGTAGTATCATTAATTGGGGTCAACAGCAACATAACTATATGTGGAGCTTATTTTCCTTGTGTAGAATATCCATCTTAGAATAAACAACATAATGATCAATATGAGAATTGGTAAATATTTTATATGGAATGTTTAGTGAGCTAATAGCTGCTAATT